>NC_000004.12:29322916-29947010 GCF_000001405.40 Homo sapiens | reverse complement strand
GTCATCCTCTGGTCTTAGCCTCCCAAAACCCTGGGATTACAGGTGTGAGTGACCAGGACTGGCTAATATTATTTTTTTCACATGTGCCAAAGATAATTGGCTGTATAAACATTTTATTGATTGAATGTAGTCATTAACTACTAAATTATTATTATGTTGATTATTTTAAAATATTGAGAGTTCATGGAAAAATAAATTGGAAATAATACAGTTAAAGGAAAAGAAAAAAGACAAATTATTATCTCTTGTACAGATGAAATCATAGAGATTTACTAAATAGTGTATTTCCTTTAAAATTATTTTCTTTTAATTTTAAAATTCTGTGCATATTAATATTATGTCACTACAATGTAGATAAAAAAAAAAAAAAACAGTGTTCTCATTCACTGCGTGAAAATCCTTAAGGGTTAAAATAACTTTTACTTCACTCCCTGGCCTGTTTTCAGAAATTAGGTCTTCGTGTATTTTCATGTGTGTGTGTTTAAAAATTTTGCTTAATTACTTATAACAATTTGACAGTTGATATCCCATGGCATCAGTTGTTTACACTTATATAATTAAAATACAGTTTATATCATAACATCTAATATTATAAACTTGATAAAAAATTAACTACTCCATTTTGTTCAAGCAAAAAAAAATGAAGAAAAAAAGAAAAAGAAAAAGTAATATGTAAATGTTAAAGCATGTTATTATTCAAATGAAAATTTCATAGACTATTAAAAGGGATTTTAAAAAATTTTCTAGGACAAATTACTTTTATTGCTATATGTTATATAACCTTTATTGCTGTCTGACAAACCACCTTCACTTCTTATAACTTAAGGAAAATAATTAATTACTATATCTCAGCAATCACAAGGCTGTGGGTTTGCATGTCTCACCTGGGAACACTCAGGTTTCTGTGCATGATCTGGCTTATGCATCTAGAGGTAGGCTGAAGGCCTCATTCAAGGTTAGCTTGGCTAAATGAAGACGCTTAACTGGGGCAGCCCTGCTTCATGTAGCTTTTATCCTTTTTCAGCTCTGGAGGCCAGCCTGGGCATATTTCTAAAGAAGATGATGCAGGCATAAAAGTCAAGCAAAACACATGGATTTCCTGAGATTTAGACATAGAACTGTCAGCACTACTGCTACTCTCACTCAATTAGCCAATGTGTGATCTAACTCACTGTTTGGACCTGCTTTTCACCCACAATGGAAGTAAAGTGCAAATGGCATAGATTCAGAGAGACCATTTATGCAAAGTTACTATAAAATAATCAATTTTCAATAAGATGTATGTACATAATAAAAATACTCTTGTGGATATTTAGTCTTATAAGTAAATAGAGAAGAGAAAATTAAAATAATAAGATACAATTTCTTCAATCAGATTTCAAAAAATGATATGGATATTAACTTTATGGAGGCATACATACCCTTTCTAGAAGTAATGCAAATAAATAAAGCCAATCTGGAAAATTGCCAATATTTGCTAATATTGAAAACTTTGAGGAGCTGTAACTGTTTGCTTTCTAGATACTTAAACATTTTGCATCCACACATTTGTGAGAATTTGATAATGCATGGTACTCGTTTCTCAGACAAGTTCATATGAAGCATACACAAGATTTATATATTTTCAGGTATTTCATTTGCAGTCTACAGCCTATACAATATTCCTAAGGGCTTATGAACCCCATTCAGAGGTACGTAGCAATTATAGAGAAACATGTTCACAGCAACACTGTCTGCAAATGCAAAATTTGGAATTACGCTACAGGTCTAAACATGAAGATCTAGAGAGTAAAACTGTGGTACTCTTAAGAAGTATATCATGAAGCCATCCAAACAGATGTCAATATCGATGAGTCTCAATTGCATGATAATGAGTAAAAAAAAAACCCATAAAATTCAAAATTAAGCCTAGAATACTAACCATTTCTCAGCGAAGAAACTCAGAAAATGCACTTGAATGTGAATTAGAAGACTCGCATTAAATCTTAGCAAGTATTGACTATGACCATAGGATTCAGATTTTAATTGAAATAAGGGCTAGAAGTGGGGAAAGGGAGATATATGTCTGAATAGAGGATGATAATATACCTTTAACTAATGTTATTATATAATTAACTAATAATTGTATTAAGGAGTATAGTTTGTGGAATAGGTCAAAGTTTATGCACCTGAAGTCATACATAAATTTTATTTTATTTTTCTAAAAGAAAATCAATAACTACATATATATTCAATTGCACAAGTTTTCTTTACTCTCCTAGACTCAGATTCCTCACATAGTAAGTTCATGCACAATACCAGTCACTACTAGATAAGTCTGTAATGAAGATTAGTTGAGATAATGTATGCAAAGTAATAATAAGTGACTGGCTTGTTGAAGAGTTGTTTAACATTTATTTTTTGAATACTGTGATGGCTAATTTTAGGTGTTAACTTGATTTGGCCATGGGATTTCCAGATACTTTGACAAACATTATTCTGGTTATTTTCTGTATGGGTGTTTATTTTATGAAATTCAACATTTAAATTGGTGGATTAAGTAAAGCAAATTGTCCTCGATAATATGAGTGGGCCTCTTTCAATCATTTGAAGACTGAAATAGAACAAAAATTCTGACCCTACCTCCAGTTAAGATAATTCTTCCTGCTTCGTAACCTTTGAATTAGGACATCAGCTTTTGTTCTGTTTCCAGACTCAAACTGGAACACAGGCCCTTTCTGGGTTAGGAGCTTGCTGGCCTTTAGACTGGAATTCTACCACTTGCTCTTCTGGTTCCGAGGCCTACAGATCAGACTGGTGCTACCCCATTGGCTTTCCTAGGCCCTCAGCTTGCTGACTCACCCTGTAGACCTTGGGATTTGGCATAATAATATGAGACAATTCCTTCACTTATTATATATATATATGTGTGTGTGTGTGTGTGTGTGTGTGTGTGTATAATTTTGAATATTTATTCTCTTTCTCTGAATCCAGACTAATACAAACACCAGACACCAATATAAGCCAAGGTAATAACAATAATGAACAGATCAATGGAGTTTCTTTATTCATCGAGCTTGAATTCTAGATGGGTGATGATAATAAAATGAATGAATCCATGAAAGAAAATATACAGATGGGTGAGTCAATGTATGCATCGATGGATCCACAAAGAAAAAATCAAAGAGTAATAACTTAAATATAATAATTAATATTTAGTGATATCAACGTGTGTGTTTGAGTGGCCAGCTTTAGATTTGATGACCAAGGAGACAGTTTTTAAGAGGGCTACATTTAAATTAGGATATAAATAATAAGAAAAAAACAACCTTGCAGAAAGTTGGGGAGATAATTGCAGGAAGAAGGAAGTCAACCAGGGAGAACAAAGTGTTCTACCTAGTTCTTTTTAATTCAAGGAATTAAAAACGCCTGGGTGGTACGAATATTATAGGGCCAGCAGGAGAAGAATGCTAAGCCTAGCCACAGAAAGTTAAAGGAACCATATTTGTTTGTTTGTTTTTTCCCTGTTTGTTTCTTTCTTTCTTTATTTTTATTATACTTTAAGTCCTAGGGTACATGTGCACAACATGCAGGTTTGTTACATAGGTATACATGTGCCATGTTGGTTTGCTGCACCCATCAACTTGTCATTTACATTAGGTATATCTCCTAATGCTAAAAGCCAAAGTAAAGAGTCATCATTTGATTTCAAATGCAATGTGAAAACATACCTGGTCTTAAAGAAGTGAGTTATATGATACGATTTATGTTTTAAAATGATTGTTTTGACTATCATGAGGATAAGGGATTATTGGGGAATGAAAATTTGAGAGGAGATTTTAGGAAACTCTTTAAGTATTCTAGATATAGATAATAGTGCCTTAACTAGGGCAAGAATAATGAGAATGAGAAAACAGCAGACATGTTCAAGAGAAGCTTTTCAGATAGATTCTACAAGACTCCTTGAAAAATTAGATGTAATGACTGAAAGAAAGAAAAAAGTCAGAACATTTTCTAGCAATTCATTATTGCAAGACAATTCATAGGAATTATCATATTGGGTATTGTCTTTGCCTTTGATGACCTTAAGATCTAAACAAAATAGTATATAGAAAGACCTTAAGATCCAAACAAAATAGTATGTGCAAATAAATATCTATACTATATATAGGTATATCTATAGGTTTGTTTACAAACTACCTATCCTCTTAAAAAATATTAGAAGTGGCATATTCAGAAAACTTATTTTATGTATTCTAATACTTAAAAATTTCTCATCAAGGCATCAAAATAATTAGCTACAATGTAAAGGAAATTATTAAATAATAAGGCAAGAAAAAAGACTTAGCTTTGGATAGTTCTGGTATTTAAATCCAAAATTTATTTCTAAGACTTCATAAGTCAAAGTCAAATAAGAAAGTCAATGGATTAACAAATTATTAGTTTCCTGGAGCAGGATGCATCTGAGAACATCAATAGAGATCTCAGACTTTTAATGACTCTGAGTTGAGAGAAATTGTGATATGATAATTTAAACAATGTAAAGAACAGTATATTCTCTTGATTCCTTCTATTTTTGGCTTAATCTTGGTGACAGGATAACTTAAAATCACTTTACAGAAGACACTGCTCCTGCATTCCTTTAGCCATGTCTTATACTCTAAGGAATCCAACCAAGTATCTCTTTTATTATTGACACTTAGTTCAGGGGATAATTTATATCTCATGGATAGGAACATTCTCATGTTCAATCCTTCTGGATTCCACGTAGCCAAATCCCACCTGCCTACCACCCCAGCCCAAGAACAGAGAGAAAAAAAATTCTCTTATTTTGCTATTCCACCCAATAACTTCTCAGGTCTCTTCCTTGGGACTCAGGCCCCCTAAAAAAACACACACACACAAAACAATACTTTACATTATATCATGTGTAATGTAGAGCAGTAGAGCTCTTTACTTCAGAATAATATTTGAGCTTTACATTTGCATAGGCAAGTGGCCTGTTGAAGCAGAGGCAAATTCAATCTCTTGCTGCACAGAAAGAAATGTTGGCAGCATTTAAAGAGCAATTTGTCCCCAGTGAATTGACAATATCATTTATGAAATAGCCTCGAGTTCCTTAAGAGCCCACCATGCAATTAATTACATTATTCATTTATTTAACAAATATTTGCTATTTACTATTTGTGTTAGTATGATTTCACTATAACAGTTATTTATAATAACTGAAAAGAATGTAAATAAAGTTCAAGTAGGTTCTTTGTGCTTCGTAGAAAGGCATGCATATGAGCAGCAAAATATAACATAAAAGCGTTAAGTGCTAATTGAACTAAGACATTTGTGGATAAAGTCCTGGGAGCGGGATGTATATGAGAGAGATTTGCTTGTTGGTATGTTTGCTTTCCTAAATGGAGCACCTGCTTGGAAAGACTTTAGAAAAGGTGTTATATTTAAATAGAACTTCAGAAACATCACGTTTTTGGACAAAGGAAGATGGTGGAAAAGGACATCACTTGGAAAAAAAAGTGAACATATATAGCCCCCCCAAAAAAAAGGATATAAAGAGAAAAAGAAATGGTGAATAGTTGACCTTGGCTTGAGGGTTTGTGTTTTAAAGATGAGTGCTAGAGATAAAGTTCAAAATACAGGTTAAAAATGAACTGCAGGAGCTTTGTTCTTTCCTCCAGAGAAAATAGAAATGTATTCATCATAAAACATATATTAAAATTGTTCTCAGGAAAATTAATATGGCAACAAAGAGGAGAAGTAAGATAAAATCCTCGTGGATCTCATCTGGCTCCTTGCACTCGTCATCTGATACCCACACTTTTAACCATTGCCTTGCCTTAGTCCAATGCACGACTTAAAACTTTGCAACTAAATAGTATGAAAGACTAAAGGTAATAGAAATATCTAGCATTTCAGGGGCAGTGTTGTTAATAAAAAGAAAGATGGATGGCTAAACTCTCACATTTATTCATGAAAGATAGATGGGTAGAGAAAAACATTTTAAAGACAAGAAATGAGTGTGCCTCTCCATGATAAAAACTAGGAAACTTTCATTGGTCACGTACTTCTGTATACATTTATACTTCGAAGGAATAAGAACTTCTGCTGCATTATTTTCCATGAAGAATTCCAGTGAAAAATAGAACATAAAGTAACACTACTAATAAAAACTACAGTATCACCAGAAATTAATAAACATAACAGCAGCAGGAATAAAATAGAAACATTTTTCATCTTGAGATTTGTTTTAAAGAATGGGAATTGTATCCTGTGACACATTTTTAAGAATTTCGTATAACTACATACCAATTTGCCTATTCTTAAACGAATGTTATTTTAAACTATTTTAAATGTTATCTTCTGCAAGTTGAAAAATAAAATGTAGCTTGTATGATAAATATACCAAATTACAAACATAATAGAATAAATGTAATAAAATATAATACTACATATGAATGCATAAACTTTCATAGTTTGTAATATTATATTGTTATAATAAAAAATAGTTTTGCACTTCTAGGATTTCCATACAAAATTTGTATTTTTAATTTTCAATTTAATCATGATATATTGTTCAATTTGATCATGACTTGTATAAAATGTTGTCTTTATATACATACCATGAACAAAACATTTTATCATTAGATGTTAATATTTATATATTAATTCATTATTTTTGCTGTGTTACTTATATATTTCTTGTTTTCATAGCATATATTTTATGATTATTTTAATTCTTAAAGTCAATTATTTCACTCATATTTACTCTATTTTTGATTTATGACAAATCATTTTAAGAAATAATTTTTTTCTCTGATGACAGTTGTGTCTCTCTCCTAAATGTTGTTTTCTTATTTACCAAATATCATCTAAATGCATTGCCAGTTTTTATTAGGTTTTCAAAATATAAAAATTATGAAGGTAGTTTTGTTACTATTTGCTAATATTCTTGAATTATGGTGAAATAATTTAAATATTTTTATTCACCTTTGACATTGCTTTGAACCTACTATAAACTAAATTTTGTGAATATTGTCAGGGCTTTGGGAAAGTTTTATTTTCCATATTTTGGTACTAATTTTACATTTTTCCATTAGACACGTTAAACTATTAAAACGTCCTATGTATTTGTTTTCTTTGCTTCTTTTATATTTTTTTCAAAGACTGAGCTATTTGTATCAGTGTCAATAATCGTTAAACAAGCATCGTTTTGTTGCTATTTCTCCCGTGTAATTAACTCTTCACTGACCCAACTATATTCAAATAAAACAACATAGGTAGATTCCTCTTAAGCCTGTATTCTGTTGTCCTATGTAATTAGCAAATCCTCATCCTAAGGAATAATATATTAATGGTCCCTTTGATTATAAATTCACAATCATTTCTTTCTTTACTTGTCCAGATTGATACTCTCTCTGACACCCTCTTATGCAATCAAAACCCTCACATCTCAAATATTCCTAGGAAATACTGTAAAGATGTACAGGGAGAGTTTAGATTAAGGAATAAACTAATATTCTATTTCTTAAAATATAATATCCTTGAGATACAGGAGCATATTTTAGCTTGATATAGGCTTAGAATGCCTTAAATAAGAGCAGATAAAGTGGCTGTCAGAATGTTCATTTTTCTCTCAGTTTCAGTATTTAAAACCTGGTATACAATGAGAAAAATCTGAGATAGGTTTCCCTCATTCTCACTCCATTTGCCTTGAGGTTAGGGGGAATTTCTTCCAAAATTTGGTCTTAGGTTGCAAATGATATCGCAAAGTTTTCTGTCTTCATGTGGGTCCTTCTAAAGAGTTTGGTGAGGTGGCTCATGCCTGTAAATCCCAGCACTCTGGGAGGCTGAGACAGGTGAATCACTTGAGGTCAGGAGTTTGGGACCAGCCTAGCCAATATGGTGAAACCTCATCTCTACTAATAATACAAAATTAGCCAGGCATAGTGGTGTGCACCTGTAGTCCCAGCTACTTGGGAGACTTAGGAACGAGAATCACTTGAACCCAGGAGGCAGAGGTTGCAGTGAGCCGACATTGCACCACTGCACTCCAGCCTGGGTGACAGAATGAGACTCTGTCTCTAAATAAATAAATAAAATAAAATGAAAAGTTTGGTGATACTGCATTGGAGTGAATCAGATAGCACGTTCAACTTGAAGTCATGTGATTCTCATATTTAACAAACAAACAAAAGCTCAGTTAGTCATTTATCCAATCCTAACTCCGGGTTCCCTCAAAGTTGTAAGTCTTTTACTTGTACTTCTAGATCCACTCTTACCTTTATGTAGTCTACTGTGTGCCAGGATATGGGGTCATCAATGGATATTCTTACTCTCTAGCTTCTGGTTGGGTTACAGGATAAAAAGCATGCTAGGTTAGTGAAAGATGGAGGAGAAGGAGGTGAAGTAGTTTATTTCCCTGTTTCTCTACTCCAGGCGTGTCCCCTCTAGTTAGCTCTATCATAGGTATGGCTAGGTGAGCTTTCCACTCAATAGCTCTATCTTCAAGTTCCAAAAACAATTTTATTTTTCCTGATCTATTTAGGCTTAAGTGTAATTCAGAATGTTCCTTCACTGTGACCCCAACTTTGTAAATCTCCCTTTCATTAAAATAGCTTCATATTACCCAAGAGTATACTATCTCATTTATCTTTGGACACTGACTGATACACCATCACTGATTAAATTATGTCCTTTGCTACATTCAGTTACTTACATGTATCACCGTGCAGTCATCTCTCTAATCCCCGTATTGACAATATTGACAAATCCTGATCAATGTCCAAAACTGAAGCCTATAACAGTTACATTAAAGACACATGAATCTCAGGCTGCAGTCAGAGAGCAACTTAATTTTATCTACCACTGACAGTTGATATGTGCTTTGAATGACTAGATCTTCCACTGCTGCAGAATAAAATTGAGAAAAATTCAATTAAAATTAGCTTTGACTTTGACACACACATATATGCACATTCACACGAACTGAATTTAAATAATTAATATGCAAGGCTTATATAATGGTGGAGATTGCTTTCATTCGGGATAAAACCTATTCTCTATCATTGTCCCTAAAGGGGGCCATTCAGTTATAACCACTTAACAACAGTGGAAAAACTTGGGCCCATCTGAATGTACATTACTTTAATTTTGCCATTCTCCAACACTACGCGATTCTCATTTTCTCCATTCCTTTTGGTTAATTCAGTGACATTTGAGAGACTTAAGCAGAAACAACGATAACCGACAATGTTGAACTTTACCTCAGTCCTGTGCTCCTGGAAAACAGAAACAGTTAAGAAATTCTTTCACCGTTTTGTGTCTGGAAACAGCTTTTTGCAAAGAGACATTCTTCCCCATATGACTTAGATTAGACTCTCAGATGATACCCTGGTTAGCCTGTGACAGGGACAGACACAGACACAACACCCCCCACCCCCAGCAATGTCATTATTTTTCTCATAAACGATTAGCTGAACAGTTTGTCCCAGTGAGCCATCTGGACAAAATGCTCTGTAACTTGTCTTGACCAAAATTTAGTCAGATGTCCTCTTTCCCCATAGGCCCCTAACCTTGACCCACCTCGGGCAGGCATTTGAATGTGGCATCATCTCTCCTTAATGGCCCCTCCTGAGAATCATCTGAGCTCAGGGAAAAACATTCCCTCAAATGTCTGATCTCACCATCTGCTCATCCAGCACCCCACACCTGGTTCTGTCTAGCCTTGTTTACTACTCCCCGTAAAAGAAAAGTCCCTATGATCTTATGGTCAGACTTTTGTCCTTACTGCAACCGTTCCTCTTCCCTTACTGCAATAGTATTTTCAAGTGAAGTGTTTCCTTACTTCAGTCTAGATTTGTTTTCTACCTGATATAACTATATCCTCAGTTCTAGGGTAATGTACAGATTACTCAATAAAAAGTAATCTTTTTATTCAAATTTAAATTATTTATTTTTTATTAAACAGTGGATCTTCAAAACATTGCCAATTTTACAAATTTCTAACCCTGCCTTATTGTCCTTTTATGCTCTCAACACATGTTCTCTTCCCATTTACTGAAAATGATGCCTACATGTGAAACATTATGTACCTCCATTACATCTAGGGTTTTTTGTTTTATTTGCTAAAAGTAACCCTTCTTGTGTGCTCTATATCCTAAGCTTTTCCAAACTCTAGAGATCTTGCTCAATCAATTATTCCTTTAAATGTGCTCCATCTTTTATTTCTCTTCCTCTCCCTCTATATTAGTAATACCTATAGGCTAGGAATGTATACCGATATATCCTCTGGTCTTTAAAACAACGACGACAACACACACACAATGTTGTTTTAAATATCTTACAGACTCGTTGAAATCTTTTTTTTTTCTCTTGCCTTTTTGTGTTAAATGTCCTGAAATAGTAATCTTTGCGACCTCTCCCTGACCCTGCTCTTGTTACTTGGCCACCTTAATGATCTTCACACATCATCTGACTGAAACTAATATTTTAAAAACTAAATCCATCACCACTTTTAAAGGTTACTCTATCTTTATCACATAGTATTAACACTACGGAGAACCTCTCACCAACTTAAAAACCTTCACGGAACTCCATACTAAGTAGTCTAGATGTTGTTCCTCTGTGGCACTGATGGTTTCTGTCTTTCAATTTTTCCTATCTGTCCTGCTTGGACTCAACTGAAGTTGTAAGTGTTAGATTAAAGTTCTGTTCTGCGTTGGGACACCTTTCCTTTTCCTATCTGTTTTTTTTTATCCCTGGACAAATTTATGCTGTCATGATTTCATGTGTCATTTCAAAAAGGAATAATGACCAATTTCATATATTCAGCTCTAATATCTTACCCATGTTGTGTGCTTCCTTGAAGCACCATAAACCTGATATATCCCAAATCAATAATAACTTTTCCCTCATTAGCTAGTTTTTCCTCCTAAATTCTGTAATTTGTTTTTTCATAATTTTCTCAATCATGTTGTTTTTCATTTGATTTCCAACACTTTTTCATCCTCTGTCTTACTCTTTTTTTTATTATTATAAAGTTCTCAGATACATGGGTAGAACATGTAGGTTTGTTATATAGGTATACACGTGCCATGGCGGTTTCCCACAATCATCAACCCGTAATCTACATTAGGTATTTCTCCTAATGCTATCCCTTCCCTAGTCCCCCACCCACCAACAGGCCCCAGTGTGTGATGCTCCTCTCCCTCTCCCTGTGTCCATGTGTTCTCATTGTTCAACTCTCACCTATGAATGAGAACATGTGGTGTTTGGTTTTCTGATCCTGTGTTAGTTTCCTGAGAATAATGGTTTCCAGCTTCATCCATGTCCCTACAAAGGACATGAACTCATCCTTTTTTATGGCTGCATAGTATTCTATGCAGAATGTGCCACATTTTCTTTATCCAATCTATCATTGATGGGCATTTGGGTTGCTTCCAAGTCTTTGCTATGGTGAATAGTGCTGCAGTAAACATACGTGTGCATGTATCGTTATAGTAGAATGATTTATAATCCTTTGGGTATATACCCAGTAATGGGATTGCTGGGTCAAATGGTATTTCGGGTTCTAGATACTTGAGGAATCGCCACACTGTCTTCCACAGTGGTTGAAATAATTTACACTTCCACCAACACTGTAGAAGTGTTCTTATTTCTCCACATCCTCTCCAGCATCTGTTGTTTCCTGACTTTTTAATGATCTCCATTCTAACTGGCATGAGATGGTGTCTCATTTTGGTTTTGATTTGCATTTCTCTAATGACCAGTGAGGATGAGCTTTTTAAAAATATGTTTGTTGGCCATATAAATGTCTTCTTTTGAGAAGTGCCTATTCATACACTTCACCCACTTTTTAATGGGTTTTTTTTTTCTTGTAAATTTGTTTAAGTTCCTTGTAGATTCTGGATATTAGCCCTTTGTCAGATGGATAGATTGCAAAAATTTTCTCCCATTCTGTAAGTTGCCTGTTCACTCTGATGCTAGTTTCTTTTGCTGTGCAGAAACTCTTTAGTTTAATTAGATCCCATTTGTCAATTTTGGTTTTTGTTGCCCTACTTTTGGCATTTTAATCACGAAGTCTTTGCCAATGCTTATGTCCTGAATGGTATTGCCTCGGTTTTCTTCTAGGGTCTGTATGGTTTTAGGTCTTATGTTTAAGTCTGTAATGCATCTTGAGTTAATTTTTTATAAGGTGTAAGGAAGGGGTCCAGTTTCAGTTTTCTGCACAGGGCTAGGCAGTTCTCCCAACACCATTTATTAAGTAGGGAATCCTGTCCCCATTGCTTATGTTTGTCAGGTTTGTCAAAAATCACATGGTTGTAGATATGTGGCATTATTTCTTAGGCCTCTGTTCTGTTCTATTGGTCTACATATCTGTTTTGGTACCAGTACCATGATGTTTTGGTTACTGTAGCTTTGTAGTATAGTTTGTAGTCAGGTAGCGTGATACCTCCAGCTTTGGTCTTTTTACGTAAGTTTGTCTTGGCTATACAGGCTCTTTTTTGGTTCCATATGAAATTTAAAGTAGCTTTCTCTAATTCTGTGAAGAAAGTCAATGGTAGCTTGATGGGGATAGCATTGAATTTATAAATTACTTTGGGAATTATGGCCATTTTCACAATATTGATTCTTCCTATCCATGAGCATGGAATGTTTTTCCATTTGTTTTTGTCCTCTTTAATTTCCCTGAACAGAGGTTTGTAGTTTTCCTTGAAGAGGTCCTTCACATCCCTTATAAGTTGTATTCCTAGGTATTTTATTCCTTTGTAGTAGTTGTAAATGCGAGCTCACTCATGATTTGGCTCTCTGTCTGTTATTGGTGTATAGGAATGCTTGTGATTTTTGCACATTGGTTTTGTATCCTGAGACTTTGCTGAAGTTGCTTATCAGCTTAAGGAGATTTGGGGGTGAGACGATGGGGTTTTCTAAATATACAATCATGTCATCTGCAAACAGAGACAATTTGACTTCCTCTCTTCCTATTTGAATACCCTTTATTTCTTTCTCTTGCCTGATTGCCCTAGCAAAAACTTCCAATACTATGCTGAATAGGAGTAGTGATAGAGGGCATCCTTGTCTTGTGCTGGTTTTCAAAGGCAATGCTTCCAGCTTTTACCAATTCGTTGTGATATTGGCTCTGGGTTTGTCATAAATAGCTCTTATTATTTTGAGATACATTCCAACCATACCTAGTTTATTGAGAGTTTTTAGTATGAAGGGGTGTTGAATTTTATTCAAGGCCTTTTCTGCATCTGCCGAAATCATCACGTGGTTTTTGTCATTGGTACTGTTTATGTGAAGGATTACATTTATTGATTTGCATATGTTGAACCAGTCTTGCATCCCAGGGATGAAGCCGACTTGATCTTGCTGCATAAGCTTTTTGATGTGCTGCTGGATTCAGTTTCCCAGTATTTTTATTGAGGATATTTGCATCAGTGTTCATCAGGGATGTTGGCCTGAAATTTTCTTTTTTTGTTGTGTCTTGGCCAGGTTTTGGTATCAGAATGATACTAGCCTCATAGAACGAGTTAGGGAGGCGTCCCTCTTTTTCTATGGTTTGGAATAGTTTCAAGAGGAATGGTACCAGATCCTCTTTGTACCTCTGCTAGAATTTGGTTGTGAATCCATCTGGTCCTGGGCCTTTTTGGTTGATAGGCTATTAATTACTGCCTCAATTTCAGAACTTGTTATTAGTCCATTCAGGGATTCGATTTCTTCCTGGTTTATTCTTTAGGATGGTGTATGTGTCCAGGAATTTATCCATTTCTTCTAGATTTTCTAGTTTATTTGTGTAGAGGTGTTTATACTACTCTCTGATGGTAGTTTGTATTTCTGTGGGATCAGTGGTGATATCCCCTTTATCATTTTTTATTGTGTCTATTTGATTCTTCTCTCTTTTCTTCTTTATTAGTCTAGCTAACAGTCTATCTATTCTGTTAATCTTTTCAAAAAACCAGCTTCTGGTTTCACTGATTTTTTTGAAGGGTTTTTTGTGTCTCTATCTTCTTCAGTTCTACTCTGATCTTAGTTATTTCTTGTCTTCTGCTAGCTTTTGAATTTGTTTGCTCTTGTTTCTCTAGTTCTATTAATTGTGATGTTAGGGTGTCAACTTCAGATCTTTCCTGCTTTCTCCTGTGTGCATTTAGTGCCATAAATTTCCCTCTAAACACTGCTTTAGCTGTGTCCCAGAGATTCTGGTACATTATGTCTTTGTTCTCATTGGTTTCAAAGAACTTATTTATTTCTGTCTTAATTTCATTCTTCACACAGTAGTCATTCAGGAGCAGGTTGTTCAGTTTCCATGTAGTTGTGTGGTTTTGAGTGAGTTTTTTAATCCTGAATTCTAATTTGATTGCACTGTGGTCTGAGAGACTATTTGTTCTGATTTCCATTCTTTTGCATTTGCTGAGGAGTGTTTTACTTCCAATTATGTGGTCAATTTTAGAATAAGTGTGAAGTAGTGCTGAGAAGAATGTATATTCTGATGATTTGGGGTGGAGAGTTCTGTAGATGTTTATTAGAACAACTTGGTCCAGAGTCGAGTTCAAGTCCTGAATATCCTTGTTAATTTTCTGTCTTGTGGATCTAATATTGACAGTGGGTGTTAAAGTCTTCCAGTATTATTGTGTGGGAATCTAAGTCTCTTTGTAGGTATCTAAGGACTTGCTTTATGAATCTGGGTGCTCCTGTTTTAGGTGCATATATATTTAGGGTAGTTAGCTCTTCTTGTTGTATTGATCCCTTTACCATTACATAACGCCCTTCTTTGTCTTTTTTTTATCTTTGTTAGTTTAAAGTCTGTTTTATCAGAGACTAGGATTGCAACCCCTGTTTTTTTTGTTTTGTTTTGTTTTGTTTTTTGCTTTCCATTTGCTTGGTAAATATTCTTCCATCCCTTTATTTTGAGCCTATGTATGTCTTTGCACCTGAGATGCATCTCCTGAATACAGCACACGGATGGGTCTTGACTCTTTATTCAATTTGCTAGTCTGTGTCTTTTAATTGGGGCATTTGGGCCATTTACATTTAAGGTTAATATTGTTATGTATGAATTTGATCCTATCATTATGATACTAGCTGGTTATTTTGCCCGTTAGTTGATGCAGTTTCTTCATAGTGTCAGTGATCTTTACAACTTGGTATGTTTTTGCAGTGGATGGTACCAGTTTTTCCTTTCCATATTTAGTGCTTCCTTCAGGAGCTCTTATA
Source organism: Homo sapiens (assembly GCF_000001405.40). Taxonomy (NCBI): domain Eukaryota; kingdom Metazoa; phylum Chordata; class Mammalia; order Primates; family Hominidae; genus Homo; species Homo sapiens. Next base: position 29,931,809 of record NC_000004.12, on the reverse strand, counting down.
AGGCAGGCCTAGTGGTGACAAAATCTCTCAGCATTCACTTGTCTGTAAAGGATTATATTTCTCCTTCACTTATGAAGTTTAGTTTGGCTAGATATGAAATTCTAGATTGAAAAATCTTTTATTTCAGAATGTTGAATATTGGCCCCCACTCTATTCTTGCTTGTAGGGTTTCTGCAGAAAGATCTGCTATTAGTCTGAGGGGCTTCCCTTTGTGGGTAACCAGACCTTTCTCTCTGGCTGCCTTTATCATTTTTTCCTTCATTTCAACCTTGGTGAATCTGATAATTCTGTGTCTGGGGGTTGCTCTTCTCGAGGAATATCTTTGTGGCATTCTCTTTATTTCCTGAATTTGAATATTGGTCTGTCTTACTAGGTTGTGGAAGTTCTCCTTGAGAATATGCTGAAGAGTGTTTTTCAGCTTGGTTCCATTCTTCCAGTCACTTTCACGTACACCAGTCAAATGTAGGTTTGGTCTTTTCACATAGTCCTATATTTCTTGGAGATCTTATCATAAGTCCTATAACTTCCTCTCAGGTCAAAATCAAATTCTGTATTTTCAGGACTTGTCTAATGTTCTCTTTGTGTGTATGTTATCTTCTGTTACTATTTCAGACTAGACTATTCTCCTAAATTTGTTTCTAAAGAAAACTTGTAAACATCTGCTAATTCATACTCAATTTATACCATCTCTTTAAAGCATTCCTTTTCATTATTTTTTCTCTATTCTTGTCTTCATTCTTTATTTCATTAAGCTGACCTTCGATCACTGATATCCTTTTTTCCACTTGATCGATTCAGCTATTGATACTTGTGTATGCTTCATGAAGTTCTCTTGCTGTGTTTTTCAGCTCTATTAGGTCATTTACGTTCTTCTCTAAACTGGATATTCTAGTTAGTAATTCCTCTAACTTTTTTCAAGGTTCTTAGCTTCCTCGCAGTGGTTTAGAGCATGCTCCTTTAGCTCGGTGGAGTTTGTTATTACCCAGCTTCTGAAGCCTACTTCTGTCAAATCATCAAATTCATTCTCCATTCAGTTTTGTTCCTTTGCTAAGGAGGAGTTGTGATCCTTTGGAGGAGAAGAGGCATTCTGGCTTTTGGAATTTTCAGCCTTTTTGTGTTGTTTTTTTCCTCATCTTCATGGATTTATCTACCTTTGGTCTTTGATGCTGGTGACCTTCGGTTGGGTTTTTTGTTTTGACGTTCTTTTTGTTGATGTTGATGTTATTTCTTTCTACTTGTTAGTTTTCCTTCTAACAGTCAGGTCCCTCTGCTGCAGGTCTGTTGGAGTTTCCTGGAGGTCCACTTCAGACCCTGTTTGCCTGGGTGTCACCAGCAGAGGCTGCAGATCAGCAAAGATTGCTGCCTGTTCCTTCCTCAGGAAGCTTCATCCCAGAGGGGCACCTGCCAGATGCCAGCCAGATCTCCCCTGTATGAGGTGTCTGTTGACCCCTGCTTGGAGGTGTCTCCCAGTCAGGAGGCACGGGGATCAAGGACCCACTTGAGGAGGCACTCTGTCCCTTAGCAGAGCTCGATTACTATGCTGGGATATCTGCTGCTTTCTTCAAAGCCAACAGGCAGGAACATTTAGCTCTGCTGAACTGGGCCCACAGCCACCCCTTCCCCCAGTTGCTCTATCCCAGGGAAATGGGAGTTTTATCTGTAAGCCCCTGAATGGGGCTTCTGCCTTTCTTTCAGAGATGGCCTGCCCAGAGAGGAGGAATCTAGAGAGGCAGTTTGGCTAAAGCAGCTTTGTTGAGCTGCAGTGGGCTCCCCCCAATTCAAACTTCCTGTCGAACTTCCCGAACTTTGTTTACACTGTGAGAGAAAAACTGTCTACTCAAGCCTCAGTAATGGTGGACGCCCCTTCCTCCACCAAGCTCCAGAGTCCCAGGTCAACTTCAGACTGCTGTGCTGGCAGCGATAATTTCAATCCAGTAGATCTTAGCCTGCTGGGCTCCATGGGGATGGGATCTGCTAAGTTAGACCACTTGGGTCCCTGACGTCAGCCCCCTTTTCAGGGGAGTGAATGGCTCTGTCTTGCTGGTGTTTCAGGTGCCACTCAGGTATGAAAAAAAAAAAGAAAAAAAACTCCTGCAGCTAGCTCAGTGTCTACTCAAATTTCTGCACAGTTTTGTGCTTGAAACCCAGGTCCCTTGTGGTGTAGGCACCTGAGGGAATCTCCCGGTCTGCAGGTTGTGAACACTCTGGGAAAAGTGTAGTATCTGGACCGGATAGCACTGTCCCTCATGGCACAGTCCCTCACAGCTTTCCTTGGCTAGGAGAGGGAGTTCCCCAAGCCCCTATGCTTCCCAGGTGAGGTGACACCTCACCCTGCTTTGGCTCACCCTCTGTGGGCTGCATCCACTGTATAACCAGTCCCAGTGAGATGAGCCAGGTACCTCAGTTGGAAATGCAGAAATCACCTGCCTTCTGCGTTGATCTCGCTGGGAGCTGCAGACCAGAGCTGTTCCTGTTCATCCAACTTTACCAGCCACTGTTTTATTCTTTTTCATTTAATAAGTTCCCAAATTCTTATACAATACTAATGTGCAATGTAAATATTATTCACATGTATGTATGTGTATATGTGTATCAGACAGCTGTTATTTTTCCAAGTAGATCTTTACTCTTATAATTTTGAAGAAGATTTTAACAAGAGTATGTAAAATATAACCCGGGAATTATATTTGAGAACCCCAGGAGATGGATGATAGAGAAGTTGATTCTAGTTGAAAGGGGATAGATAACAGCCTGAAGGCTGCTTGATTTGTCTTTATCTTACTCTTCTCAGTAGATGCTAGAGCAAACTCATGAAAGTAGTTCAGAATTGCTAGTAGAAATTATTTTCCCAACATCTCTTGAATCTATACCTTTTCTTCTATTCTTACCAGTCTGCCTTATTTTTGTGGCTATTGTTAGAAATGATCTCTGTTACATTAATTTCTCTAGATTTCAACCCTCCTTACATCCTAGGGCCAAATTATCTCCATAAGAAATGTGGTAATAAGGGAACTCCTCATCCCAATTGCCTCTAATGACTCCCTACCGCCTTACAAATACATTTTGATTTATTTATGTAAGACTTATACATTTTCTGCAATTTAGAGTCAACTAACGCTTCTAGCCATACTTCTCCTAAGTCCTATAACTTCCTCTCAGGTCAAAATCAAATTCTGTATTTTCAGGACTTGTCTAATGTTTTCTGTCTGTGTATGTTATCTTACATTACTGTTTCAGACAAGACTTTTCTCCTCAATTTGTTTCTAAAGAAAACTTGTAGACATCTGCTAATTCATACTCAATTTATACCATCTCTTTAAAGCATTTTCCTGAGAAGAAAATAATCTGACATAAACTTTTTTATCTCAGAACTGATATACACTGTGTGAAATTTTTTACATCATTTATCACCTGGACTTATGGTCTGATGGTATTCACTGGGATGGCGGGGCCAATCTGTGTAATTTTGTAGTATATTTGTTGGCAAATTATAACTGTATGGGCCTCCTGAGGCTCCCCTGTTCAGCTATCCTGTCCTAGTGTGTGAGGGGTTAAGAGATTGACACTTAACTGGTGGCACCCAGGTTGAGAATGTTTGCAAACACAGGTACCTCTTTCGGTCAGGCTTGGAGACTTTGAGGTTGATTCCATGCCTGGTGGTAATGCTAATAATAACACTCAAAACACTCAAGAGGGCAAAAGCCTCAGTGTCCTTCTGAACTCAGAGAGTCTATGAGCACCATCTTCTGGCCTAAATCAATCAGAGTTACCAATATGCCTGCAGAAACTGCAGCTTCTTCCATGAACCATAGAGATTATTAAATATTTTGAATATCGCTATAAACTATAACATTCTGCTACATAGTTATTTGAGTTAATGCATGTAAAGCACTTAGAACTGTCACATGTTAATTGCTCTGTAAGTGGGAAGTCTATTATTTTTGTCATCTTTGCTATTGATATTCACCTAAGTACCTTTCAGGTACAGATTTGCTTACTTGAACTGGCATATACTAGAGGATGTAACCTACCTTCTTGTATATTATCTGTTTAATAATAGTTTTCTTAAATATTAATTGGAGAAAATACATAAAATACTTCTCTGAATTTATTCTAATGGATTTATGTGATGACTTCTGTGTTGGACTACAAAAGACACAAAATACTATAGAAAAGCTATCAAATTATGTCTAACTACCATGTATTTATGACTAATAAATCAAATGTTCTACTTGAATTAAAGTCACACTAACAAACGTTCAATAGATTTCCGGTTTCTTGTCTTTGGTAATAACAGACTTCCTAGGGATTGCGTACTATTGAATAAATAAACAGATGAAAACATAAAACTATTTTGGTTAACAAATGGAAATAAGAGAAGATTTGACAAGTGATAGAACTCTTGTTGCAGTATAGAGAACTTTCACCTCTTTGGTTAAATTTGGTTCTAAGGGTCTTTTATTTTGTAGCTGCTACAAATGGGAATATTTTCTTGATTTCTTTTTCAGACCGTTTGCTATTAGTGTATAGAAATGCTACCAATTTTTGTTTGTTGACTTTGTATACTACAACTTTACTGAATTCATTTATTAGATCTAACCATGTTTGTTGGTGTCTTTAGGGATTTTCTATATATAAGATCATGTCACCTGCCAACAGAGGCAATTTTATTTATTCCTTTCCAACTTGAATGCCTTTTCTTTCCCTATCTTTCCTAATTGCTCTAGGTAGGACTTCCAGTACCATGTTGAATAGAAGTGATGAAAGGGGGCATCATTGTCTTGTTCCATATTTTAGAGGAAAGGCTTTCAACGTTTCCCCATTAAAATATTTGGTTGTGAGTTTGTTATATATGGCCTTGATTGTGTTGAGGTACATTCCTTCTATACCAAATATGTTGAAACCTTTATCATGAAGGGCTGTTGAATTTTATTAAATGCTTTTTCTACATCTATTATGTTGTTGCTTAGGATGATTCATCTGTAATTTCACCAGATTGATTTCTGGCAGTCAATCTGCTAAGACAAACAAGTGAAAAAAAAGTTGGTGTCTAAAATTTATTCATCTTACACAACTGAAACAAGGCAGCTCAATATTGTATACTTAAAAATTTGTTAAAAGGGTACATCTCATTTTAAGTGTTATTACCACCAAAACAAAAAATAAGCCAAGGAACCAAACAAACAGAAAAACCCAAAGAGGAAGGATAACACTATTGGAGGTGACGAATCTGTTCATTACCCTGATTGTAGTGATAGTTTCACAGGTGTATGCCCGTTTCCAAAGTCATTAAATTGTACACATTAAATATGCTCAGTTTTTTGCTATATTAAATGTAACTCAATAAAATTATTTTAAAAAAGTTATCTATCCTGCTAAAATAATGCTGTCAATTATAATTTTACTGGTTTGGTATTTTTTAAAATCCCTGTTTAAACTCTGAGATGCTCTTCGTTATGTAATCACTTTAAAAAGATTGTATTAGGTCAGTGAACAATTAGTTGTGGTTTTTCCCATTGAAAGTAGAGGCAAAAACCACAATTGGCAAAACCCCCAATTAATTTTGCACCCACTTAATAATATTCTACATTTGTACATTACTACAAATAAATTGTCCTAATTCATGGAGTTGAAAAATTGTGTTTCTTTTAAATGATACATGTATTATCCAGATATGAGGAAACATCTAATGGAAAGATAATTATTAGAAATACAAAAAGAGATATAGACCAATGGAACAGAACAGAGCCCTCAGAAATAATGCCGCATATCTACAACTATCTGACCTCTGACAAACCTGACAAAAACAAGAAATGGGGAAATGATTCCCTATTTAATAAATGGTGCTGGGAAAACTGGCTAGCCATATGTAGAAAGCTGAAACTGGATCCCGTCCTTACACCTTATACAAAAATTAATTCAAGATAAACTAAAGACTTAAATGTTAGACCTGAAACCATAAATACCCTAGAAGAAAACCTAGGCAATACCATTCAGGACATAGGCCTGGGCAAGGACTTCATGTCTAAAACACCAAAAGCAATGGCAACAAAAGACAAAATTGACAAATGGGATCTAATTAAACTAAAGAGCTTCTGCACAGCAAAAGAAACTATCATCAGAGTGAATGGGCAACCTACAGAATGGGAGAAAATCTTTGCAATCTACCCATCTGATAAAGGGCTAATAACCCAAATCTACAAAGACTTAAACAAATTTATAAGAAAAAAAGAAACAACCCCATCAAAAAGTGGGCAAAGGATATGAACAGACATTTCTCAAAAGAAGACATTTATGCAGCCAAAAGACACATGAGAAAATTCTCATCATCGCTGGCCATCAGAGAAATGCAAATCAAAACCACAATGAGATACCATCTCACACCAGTTAGAAGGGGATCATTAAAAAGTCAGGAAACAACAGGTGCTGGAGAGGATGTGGAGAAATAGGAACACTTTTACACTGTTGGTGGGACTGTAAACTAGTTCAACCATTGTGGAAATCACTGTGGCGATTCCTCAGGGATCTAGAACTAGAAATACCATTTGACCCAGCCATCCCATTACTGGGTATATACCCAAAGGATTATAAATCATGCTGCTATAAAGACACATGCACACGTATATTTATTGCAGCACTATTCACAATAGCAAAGACTTGGAACCAAGCCACACGTCCAACAATGATAGACTGGATTAAGAAAATGTGGCACATATACACCATGGAATACTATGCAGCCATAAAAAATGATGAGCTCATGTCCTTTGTAGGGACATGGATGAAGCTGGAAACCATCATTCTCAGCAAACTATCGCAAGGACAAAAAACCAAACACTGCATGTTCTCACTCATAGGTGGGAATTGAACAATGAGAACACATGGACACAGGAAGGGGATCATCACACACCAGGGCCTGTTGTGGGGTGGGGGAAGGGGGGAGGGAGAGCATTAAGAGATATACCTAATGTTAAATGACGAGTTAATGGGTGCAGCACACCAACATGGCACATGTATACATATGTAACTAACCTGCACGTTGTATACATGTACCCTAAAACTTAAAGTATAATAATAAAAAAAGAAGAAATACAAAAAAGTGGAAAGAAAACAGCTATGATATTTTGAGAAAGGGTATCTTCCAATTTTCTAAACTTTGAACATAAAGGCAAAAGTCCATGCATGTAGCATGAAAGGACCTAGGCATAGCTGATTCTTTCATTCTGCTCATCCAATAAATGATGAATTTAGAAATAATGAAAATATTGATTATGTAAATGATGAACTATCGATCAGACATAGCACAGCCATATTAGAATGTAAGCACAATTTAAAACTCACATTTCCAGGTGCGGTGGCTCACGCCTGTAATTCTAGCACTTTGGGAGGCTGAGGCAGGTGGATCACCTGAGGTCAGGAGTTCAAGGCCAGGCTGGCCCACATGGCAAAACCCCGTCTCTACTAAAAATACAAAAAAATTAGCCAAGCACGGTGGCAGGCACCTGTAATCCCAGCAACTCTGGAGGCTGAGGCTGGAGAATCACTAGAACCCTGGGGTTGGAGGTTGCAGTGAGCTGAGATGATGCCACCGCACTCCAGCCTGGGCGACAGAGTGAGACTCCGTCTCAAACAAACAAAAAACTCATATATGAGCCATTTAAAATAAAGTATTGTAACATAATGAGACAGGCTTTACTCACCACTGTGGCACTGACACAAGTTTCTTGGCCCGTGACTCTTACAATATTTCTCCCATTATAAAGGTTATTTAAATCTAAGACTGAAAATTTTACATAACAGCAGAGGATGACCACTAGTTTCTTACCTACCACTCTCTATGAAGTATTCATTTCAGTGATGTTAGGAGTTGAATTCACAGCCTCATTTCAGGATGCCTTGAAAAACTTTTATTAAATTTTTTTGATTATAGAATTATCTTAATAACTATCATTTAACCTATTTTCACAACAAATGTATCTGAAATATTACAAGATGACCTCAAATTTCTTCTTTTTATGCATGTGATATGAAATCAAAATTAGACTGTACATCTGTAAGACAATTGCAATTATTTTTTCTGCTTATTTTTTCAATGATTGATCAATCATGTCTTTGCACTATTGGACTCAGTAATTGCATTCTGTGATATATAGCTCACTGAAGTTTCAAATGTGTTATTTTTATCTCTCTGAAGAGTTTACTGTTTTTCTCAAAACAGTAATAAGGTATAGTAAATCCCTGGACACACTGTAAATATTCACTACAGAACTGGTTTACTGACAGTTTTCTGAAGCAATTTTTATTTGGTTGAAAGAACTAGGACAAGTAGTCTCAAAATTTAATTTCCATAATAGTTCTATTTTATTACTTTTTATTTTCAAAGAAAGTAGTGTAAAATCATTATGTCACATGATTGATAAATGCAAACACAAAGGATAGGGATGATTAAAATTTAATAAAAATTACAAATAAACCTGTAAGCTTCTGATCAAATCTCATAGAAAAACAAAAACAAAACACAGTGTCATTTAATAGCTGTTTGATTTATAAATTCTTTATTACTTTAATATCTAAGAAATATTTACTGTGTATCCATTCTCTGCAACCACTGTGCTAGGAGCTATGGAAAAATCTAGAGGTGAATAAAATAAAATACCACAAACTAGTGTCTATAATCTATCAGGATAAATAAGACATCTCTATGAAAACTATTCAAATTATAATGTAAGGATTAAAAATACTTTTATGTTATTTACTTATTTATTCATTTATTTATTTATTTTGACGCGGAGTCTCGCTCTGTCGCCCAGGCTAGAGTGCAGTGGAGGGATCTCGGCTCACTGCAAGCTCCGCCTCCCGGGTTCACGCCATTCTCCTGCCTCAGCCTCCTGAGTAGCTGGGACCACAGGCGCCCGCCACCACGCCCCGCTAATTTTTTTTTTTTTTTTTTGTAGTTTTAGTAGAGACGGGGTTTCACTGAGAACTAAAAATATTTTTAATCCTTGTGGTTTTATAATGTAGGCAAAGAAAGGTTTTAAAAGAAATATACAAAATGATGAGTTAATATTTAAACAAAAATACTTTCTTTATATAATATATGTAAAATAAATAATGTATGTTGTGTAGGTATAATAAAGGAGCTACATATGTTAGTGGAATAATGTACCTTGATGTCTACAAATTATGATGTTGGACTGCACTGAATGAATTTGGGAGGCATTTATGGTACCCTGCTAAATCAAAGAGCAATTTAGAAAGCAGTAGAGGGAAACTCTAACAGCAAACATATAGGATCTATGTGTGTGTGTGTGTGTGTGTGTGTGTGTGTTTGTGTGACAACTGAAAGCTTCTCAGATGTTCCTTAGGAGGCCTAAGCTTCTAAGGGTCACACTGGCTTTTACGATTTAGTTAAAATCGGTTGTCGCTCCCACCTCATCCTCTCATGTGCTTTAATAAGAAATAAGTATTCTTCCTAACATGTCTGGAGAAATGTGTATGTGCTCGCATCTTACCTGGTCATTGCTGCTCTTGCAAATCCCCTGCTTCTCTGCTTTTCTATCTCTGCATGTACGGCCACCTGTTGAACCAATTTTCACCTCTCTCATCTCCAGATATTTCTCGTTTTTCTTCATCATCCCCAAAGAACCCATAAATAAGTCTGCATGAGCTGAATTCTCTGAAAAATATGACACAGTGGGGAGATGCTGCTCCACAACAGAGCACAGCAGAGAGCTTACAATTCAATATTATTCCCCTCCATCTTTCAAAGTCACTTGGGAAATGAGTGGGACACTATCTGTATCTCCCTGGTGTGCCTTCATTTGAAGCTCCGTCTTCTTGCCATCTTGCAGGGTTTCTCTTGCACCTTGTCTTTGGCTGACAATCTGTAAAACAAAAAATCCTTCACTGTCTTCTATGCAGAATAATTCAGCTTTTTCAGATCCTCCCCTATAAACTATAGGGCTTATATTTGTAAATCTTTGAGTGCAGTAATGCTTCTCACATTCTCCAGGATTTGGCAGCACAAAGAAATGTTAACATCCCATTTAAGTGCCCATATATATCATGGGCAATTCAAATTTTGAGCCAGAACTTTTTTTCACCTTAAAATAAATAAGACCACCTTTATTCCATGTAGCATTGTTGGAAGAGAAGAATCAATTACAATGATATGTGCATGTGTGGGTGTGTGTATAGATCTACTAGCATTAATTTTACTTCCTACTATACATAATATGTATAGAACAATAAAAAACTTTGAAAATGCACAAAAAAGTCGGCCATAATGGTATGATTAAGGATAATTTTTCTCAACTGAACTTTTTTTAAATTTTCTAAAATATGCATGATGATTATTGTAGCTGAAAATCAGTAATAAGAAAAAGAAAAAGGGTCAGACTACACACATAAGACAAGAAAATCCTTCATTCAACTTTTAAAAACTAGCTTTCATAGCTTTTTCTTCAATAAATTAAAATTAGAGCTCAATTTTTCATTACTCACAAAAAATCTGGTTTTCAGTGTTAGGTATTATCACGCTTTTCTACATTCTGCCCATTAACACAAACACAACAAAATGTGTTCTAAGGAACAGAATACATAGTGAAATACCAAATAAATAACTAATATCATGTATTTAAAATGTAGAACCAGCAAGAAACACCAAGACAATTTCTCTTACATGTGTCATCAATGATAGTCTGTTGAAAACACAGTTACACTTTGAAAACAAAATATTACTAATCTTAGTGATTGAAACTTTTGACTTGGGTAAAATTTTCAAATCTTTAAAAATATAGAGTACTTTCTAAAACAATTATTATTCTTATTTTTTATTTTTTTATTTTTTTGAGATGGAGGCTCGCTCTGTCACCGAGGCTGGGCTGCAGTGGTACGATTTCGGCTCACTGCAACCTCTGCCTTCAGGTTTCAAGCGATTCTTCTGCCTCGGCATCCCGGGTAGTTGGAACTACAGGCACGTGCCACCACGCCCAGCTAATGTTTGTATTTTTAGTAGAGACGGGGTTTCACCATATTGACCAGGCTGGTCTTGAACTCCTGACCTCTTGATCCACCCGCCTTCGCCTCCCAAAGGTCTGGAATTACAGGTGTCAGCCACCACGCCCAGCCTTATTCACATATTTTTAAGTTAAAAATACATTCAAACTTTCTCTGAAATTTAAGGTAATTAGTTATTTCTTATTTTTGAACCATTAAGTTAGTTTTCACAGTTTTAAGATTTTTCTTACTATTTCAGTCTGTCTACTGGACAGTTTGTTACTTGAGGACAGAAGCTATGCCTAGGTTTATTTGTTTCTGTTTTCTATCACATTGTCTGAACCAGGATAAAGGCTGCATATACCCTGATTGCATTGATACGTGAGTGGAAGGTGCCATACATTCTCTATTACTGTAATGTCCTCTTTTCCTTAATGGTCTCATAGTTGTGAAATTTCCTCAATCTGCTTTCTTAATTTTCAAGTTTCTCATGTTTTCCTCTGAGAAATAGATAGCTCAGTGATTACCTTTTAAATTTGATGAATAATCTTGATTATTGAAAGCAAAAAAATAAGCCTATGCCAGATTTTTCCTGAATTATTATGTCAATTCTTGATTAACTTTGTAAATATTCATTAACCTTACAGGAAAAAATATACATTTTTGATATTTCAGTTCTGTTGAGCTTTGAATAGTAACTATAGCTCACAAATATCTTTCCAGAGATGCCTTCTATAGGAGCTAAATATAACTGAATGAAAAATAGAGACATTGGTTTGTAATCTCAACTTTGAGTTCACAGCCATTGTGCTAAAACCTAAATTCAAATACTCCCAAATATTATCTATCTATGTATCCCTTTCACCATAAAATAAGCAGGCGAAATTATGTTAAATAATAATTATAAATAATGGCTCAAATGTTTAAATTAATGTTAGATGGCATTACTTACTGAGTGTTTTGCAAAATTACTACTGATCACAAGATGAAATCATGGCCTGAATAAGGTCAAGAGTGCAATCCTTGAAGAACTTCTCCTGTTCAGAGGTCTCATAATGCAGTCCAAAATCCAGTCAGCACTAAAGCACAAACAAAAATCATTGACTACATGAGGCACTATGAGAGAATGGCTTTGAATCGATTACCAGTCCAAGAACAGTAAGTGCATACAGTTTGTCTTATTGATATTATGCCATTTCCATGAATGAGTGATAGGTTTTATGTAAAAATCCACTAGGACAACCATTTCTTGCACTGTATTTTAAAGAAGAAAAGCATTGTGTAATTGTTGCCTTGGATTTTGTAAGTAAGCCTTCTAGGTATAGATAAGTACATGTTGCATATATTACTACAATTGTTATAATCAATTATACCACTTTATTTATACATAAGTATACATTTACGTTTAATGTGTAGTGGCACATTAAAAATATGTGTGTATAATATTCATTTATAGAATTCTGTATTAGTTGGGGTTTCTCCGGAGAAACAGAACCAATAGGATATATATATATATATATATATAAAACTCCTGAGATTTATTATGAAGCTTCAGCTGATGCAATTATGGAAGCTGAGAGTCCCACAATTTGCTGTCTGCAAGCTGCAGACCCAGAAAAGCAGGTGATATAGTCTGAAGGCTGAAGAGCAAGGAAGTTGATGAAATAGATTTTATTTCAGACCTAAGGGCAGGAGATGATCGATGTCCTAGCTCAAGCAGTCAGGCCAAGAGAAAGGAAAACCAAACTTTCTCTGCTTTTTTGTTCTACCTAGGCTCTCAATGGGCGGGATGCTGCCCACCTACACTGCAGAGGGCCAGCTGTTTCAATCAGTCCACCTGTTCGAATAATAATCTATTACAGAAACAGACTTACAGGCACATCAAGAATAATGTTTAATAAGAGGTTTAGGTATCCTATGGCTCAATTAAGTTGACACATAAAATTAACCATCACAAAGTCTTTATAGTTTACAAGAAAAAATGGCCATCGTTCAATATCTTTTCATATAAATACTATCATCACCATTTCCTAAATTAGAAAGTCAAAATGTAGAAATTCAACAAACTTACTCCAGATTACCTTGTTGGTAGTAAAGAGAGATGGGTGTTATAACCAGTTCTGCTTTCAAACCAAGTCAAAGTGTGTTTGGTGTGTGTGTGTGTGTGTGTGTGTGTGTGTGTGTGTGTTTAATAAAACTGTGAATTGATGTGTTTATTCAACCAAATAAATACATACACAAAACAACAGTAAAGCTCTCTCCTAGGGGCTTCATGATAATTCCTTATTTTAGCTGATCTAACTTTCTACCTCATAATTTTCTAGTAAGCTAATAAATATCAACCCTATGATACATACTATGATGGATGTGCTTGTGTATATATTAAACGTTTGACTATGTTTTGTAGTTGGTTTATTTTTTGTGAGACTACTCATCAACTTCTGAAGAGTGCTTACCTTACAAGAGTTGGATTAAGATGGGAGAAAAAAGGCAGAGGAAGTTTTTTTTTTAAATAAATAAAAATAAAATTTTACATACATTCATAGTATTTAAATTATCTTATTACAGAACATTATTTTTAATGTAGAAAAATATATATATATGCAAAATAACAGTTACATAAGTAAAAGGACAGTTAGTGTTACTTAGAGAAGCCAAGAAATATGTCATCGAAGATGAATACAGTTTTAAACACGGCCTAGTGGAACTGAGTGCGGTAAATATGAAGAGCGCATTCTAAGATAGTTGAATAATATGTACTAGAAGAGCGTCCTTTCAGCACAAAGGCTAGTGATTATTAATTTTGTTTTATCAGCATTATGAATATTGTCTTTTATATAATGTAATTTTTTTATACAAATAAAAGAATACTTTGTTCAAGTATGCTTGGTTGATTTGATAAATATGTATATATGTATATATATGTGTATGTAGAGAGTGAGAGTTGTTTCCCAAATTAAAACTAGAGATAAACATAGAAAAATAAATTATTTGACACTAGAGAATAATAAAATAAACACAGTAATCTGAGGCCTCATCCATTACTGAGAAAGAAGAGTTTACGAATGATTTGCAAAGATTCGAGGCAAACATAGTTTACAGGGCACTTTCTAGTGGAGTGGAAAGTTCATAGACTAGAGAGCCACATAGTTGTGTATGTATCTCAGTTATTTCTCCATTAGCTATAAAAGTTTGGGCAATTTAACCTCTGTGCCTCAACTTCAACTTTCTCATAAGTAAACTTGGTTTAATAAAAATAGCACTAACTCATAGGGTTCTTGTTAGGCTTAAATATGTTTATACACATAAAGCATCAGCAACTACATCTTGTATATAGTAAGCCCCAAGGAAGTATTTGCTATATTATCACCAAAATCAATAAGTTTATTACTGTTTTTGATGGAACTAGATTCAGAATTTCAACCCATGTTATTTCAACTCTGGTTTAACATATTCGTATATTTGTAAATTTTAACATGTACACATAATTGTTCCATTGTTAGTCTCCATAAAATAAAGCAGATGCCTCTAATACACAGCCATATGAGCTGGAAAAATAGTCTGTGGATCACTTTGTTTCCAGTAATAAATATATTCAAAAATTATTTTCTGCTTTCAGGAAAAAAATCAAAATTAACTATTATAGTTATTATTTCTGGTCCCCCCCCTTTTTTTTAATTTGAGATGGAGTCTCACTCAGTCGCCCAGGCTGGATAGCAGTGGTGTGATCTTGGCTCACTGCAAGCTCCGCTTCCCGGGTTCACGCCATTCTCCTGCCTCAGCCTCCCGAGTAGCTGGGACTACAGGCGCCCGCCACCACGCCCGGCTAATTTTTTTGTATTTTTAGTAGAGACGGGGTTTCACCGTGTTAGCCAGGATGGTCTCGATCTCCTGACCTCGCGATCAGCCTGACTCGGCCTCCCATAGTGTTGGGATTACAGGCATGAGCCACTGAGCCCAGCCTTCTGGTACCTTTTTTAAAGACATTTTTCCTTAAGATTTATTAAGTTAATGACTGGTTTTTCTCAGTGTCTTTCTTTAAATTACTTCAAACAGCTCATGATATCTTTCTAAAATATTTCAAAGAACATACAATTTGTTTTTCTTGTGAGTCTGTAGCATCGGAAAGGAAAATAGTTTTTTAAAGGGAAATATTCTCTTTTGAAGTGGTCGCTAATTAGAAACATGGTAGAAACGATGTTGCCAGGTGGTGTTTTATGACACTGATAGTGTTTACACTACCTCTCAATAATTTTGCTTTTTACTAGGTTGAGAAATATGTAAACCCCTAAATATAGTAGATATGCCATTTATGTGAACAAATTTTATTAAATTTTAATATTCATGACAGAATACTAAATAGCACCACATTCAAATTAGTGTTCATTATTTAAATATTCTATATGATGACTTGAATTGTATTTAGCTTCTTTTACTAAGCTACATTTTTTACATAAATATTTTATTTGTCTGGTTCCTGCTGCATCAGACAGAGAAGAGAATTGATAACTCCAGGAATTATGGCCTGTACCACTTTTACATTTACATTGCAGAATAATTATGGCCACTTTTCTTCGTTCAGTTTTAAAATAAAAGAGAAGACTTACTTCAAAATAATTACCTACAATTTTGACTTGACAAAGATGTCAAAGCTTATTTCCTTACTTACAGCATTGTTTTGTGGTGGTCTGCATTAAAAGTGAAATGTTTTGATATGATACGCACTGTCATTGCATTTCATGTCTTGGATGGTACAATTATGAAAAATAAAGCTTAACATAGAGAAGCAACAAAAAAAAAAAACACCCTTAGTTAGTTTAAGATTCCCTCTTTTAGGAGAAAAATAGGGAAAGATAACAATGTACTTTTCTGTTCATTGGTTAAAATAAGCTGTTCTTTCATAATGCAGATTTGTCAGTCGGGTTCCACAGAGTCATCACACACTTTTTCAATGTAATTATAAACATTCTTCAAACTTCTGCTTTGATGCTGCATATACTACGATAAGTAATTATATATAATTTTTTAAAGATGTAAATAACTTCCTTGATATTTAGGACTGTGGAATCATAAGCAAACTAACTGACGGATTCTTGACAAATGTAATTGGCAAAAGTCAACATCCAGCCATTCTAGCCAATATGTGATCAATATCGTGCATACTGTGTTCGAAATTAAAATGAAATATGTAGGATAACTTTCTAGAAACTTTTCAGATCCCAAAGTCCTAGAACACATACACCAAGGAACTTAAATTTTTACATTTCTGTGTCCATTTCAAACTGAGCTTAATCTAGGTATTGTTACCAGAAGGAGGGCCTTGAGTGTAAGTTGTTCAGGTTCTCGGGTTTTGAACAAAAAAATTGGACAAAACCCACAAACACAGTAACAGAGGAATGATACACAGGCATGAACAGCAAAAGTAGGAATTTATTAAAGTGAGAAAGCACACCACAAGGTGAGAGTGGGCCCGAGCAAGCAGCTCAAGGGCCAGTTACAAAGTTTTCTTGGTTTTAAGTACCTTTATTTTGAGGTTCCTGTCAGTTACTCCTTATCTGGATGAAGGATTTGGTCTGTGGCTAATTAAAGGCTGAGTTAAATGGCTGTCTGTGCAGATGAAGGAATGGTCCCTACTGGGCCCCTGGCCAATCTAAGGCACTCTCCCTTGCCATCTGAGATGTGGTGGAAGGGAGAGAGTTGTAGGAAAGTAGCCTTTGGGTCTTCTTTGTTACTCAGAGTGGGGAGATGGGGTTTAGGTTTAGGAAGTTTGCATGAATTGGCCTCAGATTCCCTGTCCCCAGACCTTGGCGTTTGTCCCCGATTCAGCATGAATTGGCCTTAAGTTCCCTGCCTCCAGACCCCATTCTCCTGGCTCAGTAATATACATAAGGAATAAAGATACATGAAAGGATAACAGATTACATTTAAATAATTCTAAGAAATTTTGAAGTTGTGTCTACTTCTATTATTTGTTATACTTGAATCACTTTATCTAGCTATTAATTACTATAGAATTTATTTTCTGACTAAAATGAATATATAATTATCTTTTTATTTCAGAGTTGTCCAATTTTCCAAGCACCAGTGAGAAGCCAATTCTTATGTTCTCAATATGAAATGTCACATTTATTACATAATAGATTTTTATAGAATTTGGAGTCTATTTCTGAGTTTTATAAACAATATCAATCTTTTGCTTAAGGTTCCAATAATGTCACTAAATAAATTTATATATTTTCATAATATAAATTGTTATCTCAAAGAGCAAGTCTGCTCTCAATTCTCTTATCAATGGTTTCATGCCCATAATTTTTCACTTACTATTTTATTATAAAATGAGTTTATCATCAAGTTTCTAATTAAACTGGGACTTTAATTTGAAGTAAAAATGTGTTAAAATTAATTTTGTGATTAAAATATGTTTATAAATTAAGTGTTTGCATATCTCTATAATTTTTAGTTCCCTTTAATAAAATAGTATAGTTTTATTAATACATTTCCTTTACATTTTGTTTCAAAATAATATGTCTGTATATCTTTTTAACTTTTCTATAATAGTGTCTTAAGAGACAGTTTCTGTGGAGAGATCTATCTGTCTAACTCCTTGATTATCTGCCATTTTCTAAGTATTGTTCTTCAATATTCACATATCCCAGAATTATAACAAAGGTAAGAATAATGGTTACTGAAATTATTAAAGCTTGGAATAGACAGTTTACAGAATAAAGGAATTTTAAGATATTATACATTTTTATTAAGACAAATGTGGGATAGTTGTTCTGGGATAGAACTGGAGGAAAGGAAAAGCATTTATATTAGCTTAAATTTAATAATATTAGGGTTGGCTTACCTGAGATTCTGGATTGAACGTGATAGTAGTTGGGTTTGGTTCTAATTTTGTACTCAGCTGTTGATGGAGAGCTACACTCACTGTAGGACTATGCCTAATATAATTGAGGTGAAATAAATGTTTTGTATATTATTGAAAACAAAAAGTCTGCAGGACATAGAAATTCTGTGGTAGACACATTTTCCCAGGCAGATATAATTTCATTCCTTTGAGTAGGTTCAATTTTCCATATGGTATAATATTCTTTGTGTTTGAAGAATTTCCTTTAATGTTATTTATATTGTAAGAGTTCTAGTAATAAATTATTTCAGATTTTGTCTATGTAATAATTTTAATTTTAGCATTGATTTTTAAAAAAATATTTTAATTTATATACAATTCTAGATTTGAAGCTTTTGTTGAGTTTTTCTTGCAATGCTTGAGAGATGGTGCTCCACCATTTCAGGTTTGAATTGTTTCTGAAAAATGTGTTGTTATGTTTATTTCTCTGCAAATATTTTGTCGTTTTTTCTAGGTGCTTTTAAGATTCTCTCTCTCTCTTTTTTTTGGGGGGGGCCAGTTTGATTAATCTATGCCTTTGTTCAATTTTTGTAATATTTCTTGCGGGTTGAGTTTTTGAGATTTTTGTATTGGTCACTTTATAGTTTACATCAAATTAAAAAAATTTTATTCATCAATGCTTCAAATACGTTGTCATCTCCCCTTTCTTGGGATATATATCTGCACAAAACTGCCACAGTTCCCCAATCCTGTATTCTTTTTATAAAAATTTTATTTCTATCTTTGACATATTTCAGAGTTTCAGTTTTTATGCCCTCAAGCCTACTAATTTTTTTCTACAATGTCTAACATGCTGTTACTCTCATTTAGTATATTTTTCATCACTGACCTTTTAGATTTTCTTTCTAGAATTTTGGTTTTAGTCTCTTTAAACATATCCTTAATGTCTTTACTTGACATAATAAAACTTTTCTGTAGCTTCTCCAACACATGAAATACAGTTATAATAACACCCTTTTATACCAATTTCATCATTTGTGTCATTTGTGAGTCATTTAAAATGATTTTTTTATCTTATTGTTGTTGTAATTTCCTACCCCTCTATGCCTTGTAATTTTTTATTGGAGGCTAAACATGAGAATTTTATCTTGTTAGGTGCAGGATGTTTTTTATGTACTTTAAATATTCTTAAGCTTTTTTTCCCCGACTTTTGTTTCAGATTCAGGGTGTTACATGTGCAGGTTTGTTATATGGGTAAATTCCATGATACAGGGGTTTGGTGCAAAGATTATTTTGCCACCTAGTAGTAAGCATAGTACCCAACAGATAGTTTGTCAATCCTCACCCTCCTCCACCCTCAAGTATGCCCCAGTGTCTATTGATCTCATCTTTGTGTCCATGTGTACTCAATATTTAGCTCCCACTTACAGGTGAGAACAAATTTTTGTATTTCTTACAATTGCTTTTTGAGACCTCATCATTAAACCTTTGACAGGGCCTATGTCTAGAATATTCTTTTCTAGGTTTTCTTCTAGAGTTTTTATAGTTTTTAGATTTTATGTTTAAGTCTTTAACAGATTTTGAGTTGATTTTTGTATATGGTGAAAGGAGAGGGTTCAGTTTTACATGGCCAGCCAGTTATCCCAGGACTATTTGTTGAATAGGGAGTTCTTCCTCATTTTTTTCTTTTTGTTGACTTTGTTAAAGGTCAGATCATTGTAGATGTGCAGCTTTATTTCTGGGTTCTCTAACCTGTTCCATTGGTCTACGTGTCTGTTTTTGTATCAGTAAGAGGTGAAGCCAGCTGGGCTTCTGGGATGGGTAGGGACTTGGAGAACATTTGTGTCTAGCTAAATGATTGAAAACGCACCAATCAGCACTCTGTGTCTAGCTAAAGGTTTGTAAATGCACCAATCAGCACTCTGTCAAAACGGACCAATCAGCTCTCTGTAAAATGGACCAATGAGCTCTCTGTAAAATGGAACAACCAGCTCTCTGTAAAATGGACCAATCAGCAAGATGTGGGTGGGGCCAAATAACGGAATAAAAGCAGGCCACAGGCGCCAGCAGCAGTGGCAACCTGGTTGGGTCTACTTCCATATTGTGGAAGCTTTGTTCTTTGGCTCTTCCCAGTAAATCTTGCTGCTGCTCACTCTTTGGGTCTGCACCACCTTTATGAACTGTAACACTCACCATGAAGGTCTGTAGCTTCACTCTTGAAGCCAGCGAGACCATGAACCCACCGGAAGGAACAAACAGCTCCAGACGCGCCGCCTTTAAGAGCTGTAACACTCACCGCAAAAGTCTGCAGCTTCACCCCTGAAGTCAGTGAGACCAACAACCCACCAGACGGAAGAAGCTCCGGAGACATCTAAACATCTGAAGGAACAAACTCCAGACACACCATCTTTAAGAACTGTAACATTCAACACGAGGGTCCGTGGCTTCATTCTTGAAGTCAGCGAGACTGAGAACCCAGCAATTCTGGACACACCAGTACCATGCTGTTTTGGTTACTGTAGACTTATATTATAGTTTGAAGTAGGGTAGTGTGATTTCTCCAACTTTGTTCTTTTTACTTAGGATTGCTTTGGCTATTTGGGCTCTTTTTTGGTTCCATATGAATTTCAGAATAGTTTTTTTTTTTAATTCTGTGAAAAATGTCATTGGTAGTTTGATAGGAATAAAATTGAATCTGTAAATCGTTGTGGGTAGTATGACCATTTTAACAATATGGATTCTTCCTATCCATGAGCATTGAATGGTTTTCCACTTGTTTGTTCAGTCTCTGTTTTCCTCCAGGAGTGTTTTGTAATTCTCTTTGTAGAGATCCTTAGTAAGCTGTATTCGTGAGTGTGTGTGTGTGTCTATTGCCAATGTTACTGTGTTCTTGATTTGGCTCTCAGCTCGGATATTGTTGGTATATAGAAATGTCACTGATTTTCGTACGTTGATTTTTGTACCCTGAAACTTTGCTGAAGTTGTTTTCAGAGCTGCAGTTTTAGGGCAGAGACTCTGGGATTGGCTAGGTAAAATATGTTGTCTGTAAAAACAGACAATTAAGTAACTTAGAAACAGTTTTATTCTTTTGGGATTTTTATTTTGAGCTTAATGTTTCCCCACTATAGAGGCAAGAATTCTCTGAGTCTAATGGATTGTCCATGAATTGTAAGTTTTTCCCCTTTGGCTAATGAGAACTAATTCTTTCTCTGGCCCTTTGTAAGCTAGGGGCACTAGTCTCTCTACATCTTTTTTCCTGGCCGGGGATAATGTCCTTATACATGCACTGATTTGTGTTCAACTGAATACTTGAGAGGAACACTGGGTAGGCCTCAAAAGTTTTCTTTCTATACAGATCTGTTTTCTCTTTTTTCTGTGAACTAGAGCTGTCTTGGTTTTTTCAGACACTCATATCTGTATCTTCAACTAAAAAAGACTACCAGTCTCTGCCTGAGTTCACCCCTTCCTGCATAATGTCCTGAAAATTTTAGGCTAAAAAAGGAAAAATTGCAAGCTTATTTTGTTTTTGCTTTTTTGTTGTTGTTTTTCCTTTTTCAGCTATAACTGTCCCTTGGCACCTGATGTCCAATGCTTTAAGATATGCTATTTGCATATTTTCATTCAGTTTTTAACTTGTTTCAGTCAAAAGAGTAAATCTGGTCCCTGTTACATCTTGATTAAAAGCAGTAATGATGTGAATGTATCATCTGTGACATTTCTACTCACTACTGATGTCCTAAGATAATCCCCGAGATATTCCTTTACCCATGTCTTAAAAAATCTTTAGTGGAACCCCAAGGTCTTTTCCACACTACAAGCCAGTCTTGATTTCCTGCTGTATGAAAGTCAAGTAATGGTATGTTGTAGCCAATTGGTACTAGCTCACAAATGCTTACTTTTAGTTTCACAAGAATGTTATAAATAAGTAGTTAAACACAGTCATCATTTAAAAAATACACCAATTTACAATTAGACATAATACCTAAATGTAATAAATACTCAATGCTCACTACTTGTTAATTATTTTGTTACTATAAAATTTTACTGTAGTCAATGGTCTTGAGGTAATTGGAGTCTGGTTTATCTGTATGGTGGAAATGCTAATAGTGTGCCACCATGCATTTCCTCCCAATTTTGTGTTCAGTGATACCACATTGGTAGCTTAAAATCAGTTATGATATGAGTACTTAACAGCAAAGAAATCAGCACACACTACAAACAGGGTTCAATCTGTTGTTTAGTTTAAATTGCCTAGACTTCAGAAAGTGATAGAAATGTTAATAATGAAGCTTCAACTTAAAAATATGTCGTATACAGCCAGTAATGGTGAATAGTATGCAAAAACTTAAAGGAAATGATTGAAAAGTGTGAGGTTGGCTTTTGCTTATATTTATGCTTACTCCTGTTAAAGCAGGGGATTTTAATTTATAGCTTCAGGAGTACATTATACAGAAGTATATTTGAAATGTATAACTATTGTTTTTATCTATCAAATTGGTTGCAGCTTTTTCATTCTTTGTATAATTATATAGTTGTTTAATAGCTTGTTTTGATTTCAGAGAAATTATAATATCCATTTAAGCATAAATTTATATTCCCAAAATTTTACTCTATAGTCACTTTTATTTGGTTTTCAAATTCCATGTTATGATACGTAAAACATACTCTCAATTATTTGGCTTAAAACACATAGATACTATTTATCAAATTTATTTACTTGTATTAAGTGTTTACAGTAAATTTTTAATGTGATATTAAAACTCTCATTAAGTAAAAACTTCTGAAATTCATTTACTCTTGTTTAATAATCAGGTAAGCATCTGGATAATTCATTCAGCAATTTAATACAATAGGGTTTATTTTCAATTCAGAAAGGATTTAGAAAAGATGAATTGCTTATGTTGCATTTCTTTGAAAATCTAATAAATGAGTTGTTTTAGGTATTGGAAGACAAAACATGATCATTTCAGACACTGACTATCTTTTGGGATTTGATTTTTCTTGAGTTTTTCTCTAAACTAATATGTGATTTAATTTTTCATAAATTTTAAGATTAGAAATCCATACCTTGAATCTTTTCATAATTAAAAGTATTCATTAATTTTCATGTTTATCAGGTATAATGTGCAAAGTCTTTCACATTGTCAAAGATACGAATGTGACAGATCTTCTTTCAAGGTTCTTACATTCCTATGAAAGGAGATAATTCAATGCAATTGAACAAAGATTAAAATTATATTAGGACCAGTGAAATTTGCAATAGGAACACAGAAAAGGGAACATCAACATTTACCTAAGAAAGTTGCAAAAGAGAATCCACAATATATTTGACAGTTTCTTCCTTAATACCATCTAGTTAACATAGCTAGAGCAAACCTCAGAATCCTCATCTGTGAAGACTCGGGAAAAAAATCAGAAAATATATGGAATGTTTCTTACATTACATAGTTGTAATGACTTACTGCATCCCTCTCACCACAGCAGCTCAGAAAGATTCATTGCACAGAGATCTACTTCCTGGAGAGGGAATGCAGTTGGTAAAACAACACAGACAAAGAATGTTCTGGTGAATGAGAAAGACAGAATTTTCACCCAGTTCATCGTTGTAGGCAGTGGAGATGAATATAATAATGGCACTGCCTAAATATGTTAGGAAGCTACATTTAAGAACTCAATCTATAATAAAATAAAATCCATGTTCTCTAAGATTCCTGTGAATTACAAAGAGACTAGATACAGTAAGAAGAGCATATCCAGAAAAATGGGGCCTGGTGCAGTGGCTCATGCCTTTAACCGCAGCACTTTGGGAGGCTGAGGTGGGAGAATCACTTGAGCCCAGGAGATCAAGGTTCCACTGCGCTCCAGCCTAGATGCCACAGCCATGACCATGTCTCAAAATAAAATAAAATAGAAACATTTTCTTTTATTTTTTTATTTATTTTTTTTTTATTATACTTTAAGCTTTAGGGTACATGTGCAGAACGTGCAGGTTAGTTACATGTGTATACACGTGCCATGTTGGTGTGCTGCACCCATTAACTCGTCATTTAACCTTAGGTATATCTCCTAATGCTATCCCTCCCCCTGCCCCCACCCCCACAACAGGCCCCGGTGTGTGATGTTCCCCTTCCTGTGTCCATGTGTTCTCATTGTTCAATTCCCAAAAGTTTACTTCTAGCCTTCTCCAGAGTTGTGACCCAGAAGTTGCAAGCAAAGTCAAAGCTGCATTGAAAAGCTTGATTCCTACACTGGAAAATACCAAAACCACCAACAAAGAAACAGAAACTCTGCTTGAAAAACTGAGCACATAGGTGGAAGAGTTAAGAGCAAGATGGAATCATTTTTTCTATTCTCTGTTCTGTTTCCCAATGCAGAAAAGAAGGGCTAGAGTCCACCGTACTGGTAATTGGGGTGCTCTGTATATGTGCTTCTTCTTTGTATATGAATCTATTTTTATAAATTTTTTTAAAAATGAAAAAATCAAAAAAGTTTACTTCAGGCAAGTTTTTCTTTTTTAAAAATTTCATAATATATAGCAAACTGAAAGTAATAGATGATGTTTTGGACACAGATCTTGGAATCTAAAAGTGTTCAGATTTTATACATTGTTTAGACATAACACATAGTCCCTGACAATTTTGTAAAACAATGTAAAGGGTGCTTGATATGGTTTGGCTGTGTCCCCACCCAAATCTAATTTTGAATTGTAGTTCCCATAATCACCATGTGTTGTGGGAGGGACCTGGTGGTAGGTAACTGAATCATGAGGATGGTTACACCCATGCTGCTGCTCCCATGATAATGAGTGAGTTCTCATGAGATCTGATGGTTTTATAAGGGGCTTTTCCTCCTTTGTCATGGCACCTCTCCTATTGCCGACATGTGAAGAAGGACGTGTTTGCTTCCCCTTCCACCATGATTGTAGGCTTCCTGAGGCCTCACCTGCCCCACTGAACTGTGAGTCAATTAAACCTCTTTTCTTTATAAATTACCCAGTCTTGGTAGTCCTTTATAGCAGCATGAGAATAGACTATTCCAGTGCTTCTAACTAGATCATCCGGTATGGGTGAATATGGAGAATAAAGATTCAGACTGAATCTTGTAGCTCTCCTGAAAAGCTTTGGTGAGTAAAGGACACAATAAAACTGGTCTGATGAGAAGGCATAATTTTGGACTTGGACAGGACTTGATTGAATTCTCATTTCATCACTTCTAAATGTAAGACTTTATTCATGTGATCCTCATTTGAAAAATGGTGACAGCAACTATTATTCACAAGTGTTTTGAGGATTAAATTATATAGGATTGTGTATAAAGTATTAGCACAATTAATGACTAGCACTAGAACATAATAAAAGCTAATTAAACAGATACATTTATTTTGTTATCTGTATTTTCTATTGATCTTCACTTTAAGATTTTTTTTTATTTCTACCATATTTGACCTCAGAAAATAAGTGATGAAAGTCTAGAAATAGTTGATAATTTGATCTTATTTTAAAGGTATTGGTAAATTAGGATCTAAACTTTTATTATAACCCACATCCTTTTCTGATAACTCCACTATGTCTCATAACACTTACATATCTCTAGCATTTTATTTTTAGAAAATAGTAAGATCTTCATTAATTGTTATAAGCATTAGCCCTATGCATAATAAGCAATCATTATTTAATAATACTGCATTGAAGTTCTACTCTATGCCAGACATTGTGATGAGTGATTTGGGATTTACAATAATTAGGATAAAAATATTACATGTCATCTCAAGTTACTGACATAGTGACCAGAGAGCTGTACACACATCATTGCTAGTGTGTTATAAGGGTTCTAACAGATGTAAAGCATAGAAATGAAGTAGAAAAAACCTAATCACTAAGAGTGTGGGAGGAAAGATAAAATCATAAAACCAAGAATAAAGATACTAAAATCTTATGTTATGATTTGATGGAATTAAATATGAAAAAAGGGACAATGTTTTGGTATCCAAAGAAATAAAAGAAAGATACAGGTGGAGAGATAAGAAAATCTTCTTTTAAGATGTCTCAAATAACATTTAAAAATTTTTGAAATGAGAGTAAAATATATTGTTTTCTTTTCAAAAGTATACTACCTGTGTTCATAAGACCTCAAAAGGTTAAATTCAGTAAACTTTTGCTTATCTTAAGCAAATTATTTTATCAGTACTGATTCAGTTTATGTGGTACTGATTCTATCAGTACTAATTCCATTTTATTTTAATTTTTTCCGTTGATCCATTTGTATACTGGTTACATATATGCTTTATTTCTGAATTTTTGCTTGTTTTACTCCTTCTCTTTTTATAGCTTTTGTTGTATGACATTTATTTTCAATAAAATGTGTAGTTTTCTTCACTGTTGAGCACCTTGGCAGATAATTTACCTTTCCTTTTTACCAAATGGCACATGTGGAAATTGGATTGGTTAAAAAAAATGAGTTCTAGAGAAATGTCAAAGGATATAGTTGCATTTTAAAATAACCTATAGTTCCTAGGGCAATTCATTTGAGTGGGATATTTACACTCATACTTCCACCATTCCTATAAATGCTTTTTTTAACTTAAAAATTATTGCTTTCATACCTGCAGATTCTTTAATTTTTCAGTTGGGATATAATTTTATATATTTATATATGTTTTTTAAAAAATTGTCTCAGCGTATGACATAAAACTGTTTTTTTTTTTTACTCAATAAATCTTATGCCAATGTGGGTCAAGTTTAATAATATCATAAACATGGTTTTTTAAGTTTATTCTATACAAGTAGATGATAACAAATACTTTTTTAAAAATTTGGCAAAATTATGAAAAACCTAGTTTTGTTATTTTTCCATTAGGGTTGAAAGTTATTATAACTTTCTCTAAATTAAATAAAAAGAAAACTTGTAAATCTGATTTTTCTTCCTTCTTTTATTTTGAATTGTTTTTATTAATTTCTTTAACAGGCAGAAAAATGGCCCCCAAGATGTTCATATCATAATCCTGTAAAGCTATAATTATATTTCTTAACAAGCCAAAAGGAGCTTTGCTGATGTAATTATGTTAAGGATCTTGAAATGGGACAAATATCCTGGATGTCCAAGTGGGACTAATGTAACCGCAAGGAACTTCATAAAAGGAGGCTGAAAGGTCAAAGGCAGACGAAATTGCACCTGTGGATTGTGCACAATGAATTGTGTAAGTTCATTTTTGCATTGTTATAAAGAAATACCAAAGGCTTGGTAATTTATAAAGAAAAGAGATTTAATTGGCTCAGGGTTCTACAAGTTGTACAGGAAGCATGGCACCAACATCAACTCAACTTCCAGTGAGGCCTCAGTGAGCTTACAGTCATGGCTAAAGGCAAAGTGGGAGCAGACATGTCACATGGTGAGAGAGGAAGTAAGAGAGAGGGGAGAAGTTCCATGCTCTTTTAAAAAACCAGATTTCACGTGAACCCTGAGGGAGAACTCACTCTTTACCATGAAGAAGATACTAAGTCATTCGTGAGAGATTGACCTCCCAAAACACAATGCCTGCTACTAGGCCCCGCTTCCAACACTGGTGAACACATTTCAACATAAGATTTGGAAGGGTCACACACCCACATCATATGGATAATAGATAACTAATACTGGGTGAAGTTGAAGGAAGTATTCTCTTTTAAATGCTTTTCATGAATCCACCCATTTAGTCTTCACAAATACTGTAACAGGGAAGTAATAATATCGTTTTTCTATTATTGCTGAGGAAATGAAGGGATTAAAAGGGTATTTTGGCCCTTCTCTATATTTATTGAGCTAGGAAATGAATATAGATAATAAGAATACAGAACCCAAAATCTAAAAAAATATATAACATGTTGATTTCCAGGACAGATTAAATAGCTTACCTAAGATCACATAACAACTATATGTTAAAGCTGTGATCTGAACCCAGGATTCCTATAATTTTTTTCCATGTCACATTTTAAGTTTTCTTCCTGAAGTAAATTATGTATACTAGTGATTCAAAGATAAACAGGCAACAATTAATTTATTCATAATTTATTCATTACTCCAGTCATGTACTCAGTTAATATTAAATGAGAAATCTCCTGTGAAATGTAATTAGCTCAATCCTGACAGAAGAAAGATACTTTGTAACTGTTTGGTTAATGGAAAGACAAATTAGCCAATAAATTGATATTTTAAAAATTATGATAGTTTTCCCCGTCTTGGTTTGTATTCTTTAATATTAATTCTTTATTTTACTATATAGATACTTTAAATCAGTATTTGAAAATATAGGCTTTATGATAGCTAATAAATTACCAGAGTATTATTAACATATACTTACCAAACACAGAGCTGTTGACTTTAAAATGTCATCTTTGTTTTCATCTGTCATTGAGTCGAAAATAAAAAATACAAACATAATTATTTTGAAGAGTGACTAGGAATTATTTAGTTTAATAAGATAACTAAAATGATAAAATTATGATCTGTGCCCCTAAGAAAATATAAGCCATAGAGTATCTGTGGCCTGTCTTGTGCAGATGTGAATGTCAACGAAACTTGTTTTATTTTTTTCATGTGTTTTAAATAACATTCTTAACCAAGAAAGCTACTTTCGTGACATTAAAAAAAAGTGACAGAAAATATTCTTATCAATCTTAAACAGATCAAAATTATTTAAGTTAAATCTTAGCTTTTTGGTTATTTGTGTGTGTATGTCCTCAGGAACATGTATAAATCCTTAGTAATTTTCTATACACACATCCATGCAGAAAGATTGGCATTTGTTGTTAATAAACTCTAGAATGGCTTAAATAAATGCTCTTTTCCTTGATGTTAATAACCATGGAAATAGCCCCAGTTCTCTCCAAAGTTATATATAGTCAGACATAGCTTAATCAAAAGCTAAAGAAGATTTTTTTTAAAAATCCCTTCCTTTTGGTTTTCATAATTTTGTCTGGTTTCCTATTCCTGTTTATGATCCCAATAGTTAATAGATTAGTAGCGACCAATTCCAGACTTCCTGATGATTGACATTAAGCCAAAATTTGTTTCTAATTTTATTAAATATTTGTACTAACCAATGAATGTGTGGTCTGATACTTTATTTATTTTAAGAGACAAGGTCTAGCTATGTTGTCTAGGGTAGGGTGCCATGGCTCTTCACAGGTGCAATCATGGTGCATTATAGCCTTGAACTAACTGGCTTAATTGATCCTCCTGCCTCAGCTTCCAGAGTAGCTGGTACTGTAGGCACTCACCACCAGGCCCAGCCTGGGGTCTAACATTTTTAGTTTCAATACTTCACTTCTGTAGTTAGAGTCCTGTAGAATAAGGAAAGGTATAACTTGATCAGAGGACTACAGAGCCCTGTGCCAGTCCATAATCAGACCACAATCCTCTGTGTTGATGTAAGAGTTACAGTTGGCCCCCTATTCACATTCCTTTTTCTAGGAGTGTACTCCATTCTCCACCTACCTTGAATTTTGGGTAGTGACATTCACAGCTGTACTTTTCTCTGCATGCTTCTCCACAAACAGGAGACATCTAGCCTGTTACCGGGAGGTTGATTTCTCAGGTGTGAACCTCTTATTTACCAGCCCACTCCTTCAGTTATCCACAGCTTCACAGATGTAGATCAACCTCTGGGCATTGGCCATCTTTCCCTGGTTAGAGGTGTGTACTTGAGGAAAGAGTCAGGAATTGCCTGGTTCAAATTCCTCTCTCTTGATCAAGCAATGGTGCATTGGTCAGATTGATGGCGAGAGGGGTTTTTAGTAGTTGATAGGTATCACATATATGTCTAGTGATGAACCATGGCCACGAGGCACCATTTACCTGGCACCTAGAGATTATTTGTTTTCAATAGTATGACATTAAATATTAAATGAAAAAAAAATGACACATTGAGATACCATGGAACAATAGTATAACACTGTTTATGTTATGGTTTAACAATTTTCCTACTACTTTGAACAAGGGCTCTGTCTTCCTTACAGTTGACATCTCCTCTGTTTCTTTTCCTTATCTTGATGAAAGGATGGATATTATTAAAGAACTATTCTATGGATTACATTTTTTCATTCCTTTTAATTATGTTGTCTTTTTTTTATTTTTAATTTCTCTTTCCTGCTGATCTTTTACTTACTTGTGGTTTAAAATATCACCTCTGCGTGAGAACGACTACTGTATTAATTTTCTGTGACTGCTGTAACAAATTATCACAAACTTCGTTCTCCAAAACAATGCAAATTAAATGCTTTAAGGCCTGGTAGCAGTAATCTGAAATGAGACCGACTGGATGAAAATCCAGATGCCAGCCGTGCTGTGTTCCTTTTTACAGGTACTAGCAGAGAATCTGTTTGCCTGCCCTTTACAGCTTCTAGAGGTTGCCTGCATTCCTTTCTTTGCTTGTGGCCCCCTCTACCATCTTCAAAGCCAATAACAGCCAGGTCTACTCCTTCCAGCATTATACCACTTGGATAGAAATGAAGCAGCATAGAAGCTCATATACCTTTTGGTACATTGCCCAGAAAATTGCACATCATGTCTCTTTTACATTTATTTTTTACATAATCATGCCTAGATTCAAAGGGACTGGAAACATATTCCTTGGCCTCATCGTTATTTCCCAGGGAAAAACAATTGAACACTATAGTACACCTGGGCCAAAGTCTGAACGTAAGGCCACAAATATTTCTGCATGCTTGTCCTCCCATGCACACAAAAGCCCACATCTGAAAAAGATGCCACTTCATCAGATCTGAATATACACATTTATTTATTACATCTGCATATGCATACCATATCTTAAAAACATGAACTGGCCAGGTGCTGTGGCTCACGCCTGTAATCTCAGCACTTTGGGAGGCCGAGGCAGGCGGATCACAAAGTCAGGAGATTGAGACCATCCTGGCTAACACGGTGAAACCCCGTCTCTACTAAAAATACAAAAAAATTAGCCGGGCCTGGTGGCGGGCGCCTGTAGTCCCAGCTACTCGGGAGGCTGAGGCAGGAGAATGGCGTGAACCCAGGAGGCGGAGCTTGCAGTGAGCTGAGATCGCACCACTGCACTCCAGCCTGGGCGACAGAGTGAGACTCTGTCTCAGTAAATAAATAAATAAATAAATAAATAATCAATAAAATAAAACATATGAACTAAAAATAATTTAGTTAAATCACTCAATATACAACAGTGGTATATGCAACAAAAACTCCCCTTTGGAAATGAAAAGAATAGGAGACACATCTAAGTATCTGAAATGTCACACTGCTTGCAAACTAACAGTTTAGCTTGGCTAGTTTCGTGGCTGCGGGTAGGATATATAAGATTTCTGGATCACAGATGAAGGCGAAAGTCAGTTTAATATTTACAGCACTAGTTGTCAGAATATTAGTATTTTGTATGTGTGTGCCTGTACTATGAGTCAGTTCCCTCAGGGAAACATGAGCACTCTTTGTACTGCCTTCACATGCAATGAGTTGTGTTGCAGGAGAGGAAACATGAGCTGAGGGAATCTGGATCTTTTGTAATGGGAAGTAAATGAACCTGCCATTAATTCTATCTTTCAAGGCTGTGTGTGATACAAATGTGTGATATATAAAAAGTTTTCTATACTAACACCTTTGGAAAGATAGTTTGGAAGAAAGGAACATGACTATCTCACTCATAAGATGTGCAGAAATATGAGAGACCCATGAAGAAGTGTCTCCCAAATTACCTTTTTTTCTGATGATGGCTAAATATATTCATTAGATGCTTATTCTGCTTTCTGGGATAAATTCTTTTATAAGTGTAATTGTGGTCTATTACTACCTTCTGGGTGATTATTCTATAATTATTATCTTTTTAAATGAACTTTTTATTTTAGAATAGTTTTAGATTTATAGAAAATGTTTGAAGATAGGAGAGAGAATTCCTGTATACCCCACATCAAGTTTCTAATATTATTAACGTCTTAATTATTATGGTACACTTGCCAAAATGAGTGAGTCAATATTGATACAATGTTATTAAATTAGCTACATAATTTATTCAGGTTTCATTAATTTTTAGCTAATGTCCTTTTTTTTGTTCCAAGATTCCATACAAGATACTATATTACATTTAGTTGTCATATTTCATTATGTCACATCATACTTCTTGGTTGTGATAGTTTATCAAGCTTTTCTTATTTTTGACAACCTTGACAGTTTTGAGAAATAATAGTGAAGTATTTTGTATAATAACCTTCAACTGGCATTTGCTTGATTTTTTTTTTGCATTATTAGACTGAGAACATGGGTTTCTAGGAAAATTACTAAAATAAAGTACCATTTCATTACTTCATATCAAGAGTACATATTATCATATTTACTTACCACTGTTGATGTTGATATTATCCTCAATCACCTGGTTAAGATAGTGTTTGTCAGTGTATTAGTGTGTTTTCACACTGCTAATAAAGTCATACCCAAGTCTGGGTAATTTATAAAGGAAAGATATTTAATTGATTTACAGTTCCATGTGGCTGGGGAGGCCTCACCATCATGGCAGAAGGCAAGAAGGTGCAAAGTCATGTTCTTACATGGTGGCAGCCAAGACAGCATGTGCAGGGGAACTCTCCTCTATAAAACCATCAGATTTTGTGACACTTATTCACTATCATGAGAAAATCATGGCAAATACCTGCCCCCATGATTCAATTACCTCTCACTGGGTCCCTCCCATGACACGTGGAAATTATGGGAGCTACAATTCAAGATGAGATTTGGGTGGGGACACAGCCAAGCCATATCAGTGAGGTTTCTTCACCATTAAGTTACTATTTTTTTCTGCCTTTCTATTCTATACTTTTTGGAGGTAAGCCACTTATCCACACACTTAAAAAGTGGACATTTACGCTCCAGCTTTTTGAGGGTGAAGTTATCTACATACACCATTTGGAATTCTTCTGCATTTTTATCCATTTGCTTATTTATTTATATTAATATGGGTTCATGGATATTTATTTTTTACTTTGGGTTATAATCTAATACTTTTAAATTTATTTTGTTGCTCAGTGTATTGTAGATTGGACTTTTGGGAATTCTTTCAGTTGGCTTCAGTGTTCTTTTGATATATTCCCTCCGTGTGTGTGGGAGTGACTATGTTGAGTACTTCCTCACTCTCTGATGCCAGAAGATGCTCCAGATTCATCTTGTAGATATTCGGCCTTATGCCTAACATCAGCATTTTTCTAAGGAGCCCTAATTCCTTTTACTATATAACAGAAAAGAATGCTTCGTGCCTATTGCTTAAACACTAAAATAATAAAATATATGCAGGGTGCTGTAGGTGGTATCAATGTTAGTAAACAGGGCAAGGCTAGTTGCAAAAACCCCAAACCTTAGAGAGAGAAAGATTTGGTAACATAACACTTCATTCTTTTTGCAGGTTTTCAGGAGTTACCCTTCCATGTGGTAAGTTAGGAAACAGGGCTTCTCCCATCTTTAATTTCAAACATCCCTGACCCTCTGAGTTCCTGCACTTACAGGAAAAGAAGTTGGAGAAGGTAAATTTGCTTCTTTCTCATCCATCCTAATAATTTTACTGTCATGTCCCCTTGCATGGTTTTAGCTATCTTTAAACTTTTAGCTATCTCTTACAGAAAAGGGATTTAAAACATAAATTCCCTGCCAGACAGCTTCTTCTTAGCTAAAATTTTAAGCTATGGAAAGTGAAGCAAACATTTTTGTAAAGAGAAGATGTTCATTTCTACACACCATAATGCTTAAGTCCAAAGTATTTCTCTCTCCCAGGCCATTACATTAAACTACTCTTACCCCTCTCCTCTATTTCGTGGACCTTTCGTCAGTACTTTTAATTATTTCCAGTAAATTTGTTCTCAAATTCCTTTTATACATATCTGCCAGATTAATAATCTTAAACCTAAGAAATTTTATTAAATTTCCCTACTCAGAAAGTTTTGACAACTCCGTATTATGGCCAATAATTTCTTATAATTTGATCTGATTATTCAAATTTCTCCACAAGCTATATATTGCAGTCTTTTCTCACACTGTTTCTCGATATACGTTAAATGATGCGGCCAATCTGACTCGCTCATCATTCCTAGAACACACCGTGTGGTTTCCCTCCTCACTATTTTAATACCCTCTCGTTGTGCTCAGTTTTTACTTATGTTTAAAACCTGACTTAAATGCTGTCTTCCTCCAAGATGATAGAAGTCTATTTTATTTCTTTGAATTTTGACAGAGTCTTGTACCTTTTGAAGCCATTTTCCAATATTCTTATTTGTGTTATCTGGTTACTATGACCGCTAGAGTATACGGGCCTGGAGAACAGATATTAAAGTCTACTCATCTTTACATCACCTGTAGTGAATGATAAAGTATCTTTCATAAATGTTTCATTTATAAAAGTTTGTTAAGTAATCATGCACAAATAAAATTTAAATTAAAAAAGTAACTTATATTGCATAATCTGTGTAGATAAAATGTTCTTTTATGTTAAATTAAAACCAGTTACATTATATAATTTAAACGTTTAAAATGCAAAATTAATATTTATCTGTTATGTTTTTAAAATTTTTATATCATCTTAATACCAATTAGTAAAGACAAATTAAAAGAGCAGGCAGTTAAATATATAAATTGCCAATTATAATAATGAAAACTCATTTATTAGAGTTTCAGAATTTAAACGTTTTCTCCTATTATGTAAAGATATAGTAATATGAATACCATACATGCATTAGGAAGTATTCATGTGTTCAAGAAGCAAAAATTGAGAAAGCATGCATATTTATATGTATATTTTTACCACATCACTGCAATGTCCTTTTAAACAAGGATTCCACTTTTCTTGTAACTAGCATATCAAATGTCCTGGGAGGAAAAGATAACCAAATAATATTTGTTTCTAAAATCTTTGAAAAGTTTAAGTTAGTACATTTTAATTTGATTAAGAGTCAGAAAAAAAGATATTTGAAAGGTCAACAATTAAATATCTAATCAACTAAGTATCTGTGAATCAAAAAGTGTTTATAAAATGCATTCACTGAAAATATACTTAGAAAACCAACATGGTATAGAGAGCTAAAGTTAGTCTTCTTAAGAAACTAGAAACTAGAAACTACTACAGGTGAGTTGAAATAAACTTTGAAGCAGCACATTCACTTAAGATACTCCATATCAAACATTTAATCATGAATTATAAATTAATGATTGTGTTATGATCATTGTATTACATTAAAATGAATACATTTATCAATATTCAACAAGAAATTATTCATAATAAATGTATGTTCTCAACACATGTGTGATTAATAGGAAAGCTTTTTAAGTGATTTTCATTTACTCGATTAAACCTTGTCGTATAACCTACACTGATGCTCAGCTTTTGAAGAAAGTGGTTAATAACCTGATTCTATGGTCTGTCCTCTAGCTTGGGGAGTCCATGAATATTTGGCTTGATCAGTTCCTCTTGCAACGTATAACTGAAGACATTGTTACTTGTTTATCTAACAACTTGAAACTCTGATGAGGCCAGTTGTACCAGACTAAGCACTAGGACTCGCTTTGGACAGTTTATTAAGTAAAGAGCCACCAGTTGATGGGTTTCTGGTGAGTCCGAAGAATGGTGTTGGTCATGCATTTCTGAAGGGCTTAGATATGGAATCTGATGAATTTTCTGAATTAAGGTTTTCCTCAAATTTTCAGCCTAGTCCTTTGAGTCTATGCAAGTTCCAAGGGCAGAATTACTCAGACATAAAATACTGTACTTAAAATGTTGTGCACGTTGTACGGTTTCTTGTTCAATAATTTTTTGCTTCTTTTTTTAAAGCTCAGTGGCCTTTATTACTTATGAACTGAGGAAGCCTATTGTATCTGATGAGTTTGATTGTCATTCTCAGTCAAGACACTCATGCTAGTTAGAACAAAGTAGGCATTGTCGTACTGCACCCACTCTCCAAAATTTCCCAAGCATCATATATATGCGATATATTAAGTATATGGGAGAGTTTTTCTTCTCATGTAGCTTATTTTTTTATATCATATTGTGTTTCATAAAGTTTTAGTCAATGTTGGTTATCTTTAATTGTATTTTTTAACTGTTAGCATTCAAAGAAGAGCCATAAAAGTTAAAACATAAATACAGAGATTTATTTTTAAATGGTCAATCTGTTATATTAGTCAAAAATTGAGTCACTAACTCAAATATTGAACTTAGATTGATGATAATACCAGCAGGTATTCTAAAAATTTTGAAATTTGGTATATTAAAATTTGTGATATAGCCATTTGAGTTGAGAAGCTGAGAATAAAGATGGTTCGTGGTTCAAAATCTACATGGAATCATTCATTCTGTTTTATTTAACTCCTATAATTTTGTTGTCAGGATATCTAGACTTTTCAGAACATCTCTAATAACTTTGAAGTAATGAAGGGTAAATGTTGAATCAAATATTGCAGTTATCAAATATACCCAACAGCCAGTGGAGGTGGCCGAGGATTGGAATGTTTGGCTTTAGCAGGGAATTTCATAAGTGGTCGCTTGATGACATCTTATCATCAAGGTTATCTACAGTAATTTTTCTCATAAATTGTGTTTATTAAATGTATAATGTATTTATACATTTTGGATAAATGTCTACAAACCAAGTCACTTAAAATAATGATCCATAATTATAACCTAAAATTTTCAGTTGGAGCATCTCAATTGTTACTACTAGAAATTACTTCTAGTCGGGCATGGTGGCTCACGCCTGCAATCCCAGCACTTTGGGAGGCTGAGGCTGGTGGATCACGAGGTCAAGAGATTGAGACCATCCTAGCCAACTTGGTGAAACCCAATCTGTACTAAAAATACAAAGACTAGCTGGGTGTGGTGGTGCATGCCTGTAGTCCCAGCTCTACTCAGGAGGCTGAGGCAGGAGAATCGCTTCAACCCGGGAGGTGGAGGTTGCAGTGAGCCGAGATTGCACCACTGCACTCCAGTCTGGTGAACAAGCCAGACTCCGTCTGAAAAAAAAAATTACTTTTCTATCTTCTATATTTTCTTTCTGGGGAAACATTTCAAAAGCAAGACCGAAGCCATCTGTGTTAGATACCTATCCAACAATATGTTCCCTAAGAGTCATTTTTTGATGACTATACCAATGCTCAAACTTGCAACCTTTTTATTTAAATACTAAATTCAAAATGAATTGGCTTTGTGTCTATGTGCCAGGCACCCTTCTTTGGGGTGATGTTTAAAGTGGCCTGGAACATTCATAAATTTTTATAGCACCTCCAGTCTAGTCTTGTGTCTTAATTATTATTATTACTATTATTTTAAATTATTTGAGACAGTCACTCTGTCTCCCTGGCTGCAGTGCAGTGGCGGGATCTCGGCTCACTGCAACTTCTGCCTCCCTGGTTCAAGAGATTCTCCTGCTTCAGCCTCCAGAGTAGCTGGAATAACAGGCACGTGCCACCACACCCTGATAATTTCTGTATTTTTAGTAGAGACAGGATTTCACCATGTTGGCCAGGCTAGTCTCGAACTCCTGATCTCGAGTGATCCACCGCCTTGGTCTCCCAAAGTTCTGGGATTACAGGAATGAGCCACTGCACCTGGCCTGGGTCTTAATTCTATACAAGGCCTAACTGGGCCCAAAAGAACTGCACGAATGTAGCATAACTTCTTTTCCATTGATGATATTACTGCTGTAATAAAATGGTTCCTTTAATTATTACTCTGTGTTATGCTTATTTGTTTAAAGATATATTTTAGCTGAATAATTACTATAATGTAAAAATCAAAACGTGTTGCATGTATTTTAATGGAAAAGCAAAGTTTCTTAACAGTAATTAGTGCCTGACTTGAGTTAATTTAATACAACATTTTAAAACAACTTTATGTCAGAAACTATGCTAGGAATCGAAGATGTACAGATAATGCCATACAGTGGAAATAATAGAATGAATATCATATAAACTACTGGATGCTTAAATCAATACTGGCAATCTATTAGATATGTTCTAGCAACTGATTTGTTTCAACAAATGTATTTTTGTGTGTTGTGTCACATTGTGGGTTTTAAATATTGACTGGTAACAATTGTCTTTTCAGGTTTTGCTTTTATTTTTCTCCATTGCTCAAAAAGAAAAAGTGTCTTCAAAAACTAAAAACATATATTAAATATTGTTAAGTTTTCAAAAATATGTATTTTTAGCAGGGTAAAAGATGAACTATTTTGGTTGGTCTGATTGGATTGTCTGTAGATTGTGTGGTAAAAACACTAAAATATGACAGCAACGTTTGGTCTGAAACATAGATATATAACAAAGTCATGGAAAAGAAATATATTGCAGGGATTTATTCTCCAATCAATGCACAGTGAAATAAAGTACATAAATCCCCAGATATCAATGGGAAAATAGGTTCAACATTATCTGAGATATACAGCTGAGGAAAAGGAATCCACACAGGCAGAGTGTTGCTTCCTCATTCTTTATGTAGCATTTGGTGATGGTGTGTACATTGTGTACGACAGGAGAAACAAAACATGAATTGGCCTAAAAATTTGCTTTGAAAGCTCAAAAAGACAGGTACCTATTTGAAAAATACATTCCCTAAGAGTCACTTTTTGATGACCATATTAAGGGTCAAACTTGTAACCATGTTATGTAAAAACTAAACTCAAAATAAATTAGTTTTGTATCTAGCCACATTAGGGCTCCCAGAATTGGGAGAAACTAAAGTATTTGGAGGATCTTTTAGATAAGGAAGAGAAGCATGATAAAGAATGCATGACCTGGTGGACAGTACCAACTTTTTAATAATACTTAAACAACTTCCCATTAAAACTGCAGTTTTTCATATGAAATTGTTATTGATTGAAATACATTCTTACTGTAAATTCCTAGGCTAATTTGATCTAGTTATACTTAAATGGATTTAAAATTTTGTATCCCATAGAAATTCTGCCTTTTATCTGAATTTTACTTACGTCTCTAGACATGAATATGTGACTACAAGCTCCTTCACGAGAAAGCTCTATTTTGTGTTTCACTGAAACCCCAGGTCATTAAACCACTGCTGTAAGCAGAGAATATATTTAAGACATATCACAATGCATTAATACGTTTTGTAAAAATTCATAAAGCTCTCCATTGATAAGGAAAGTTAAAAAAAAAACAGCAAATGTTTATTTAGTACCAGGCACTGTTTTGAGTTTTGTTCACATGTTAACTCACCTATAAGGTAGCTATTATGAGATTAGAATAAGTAATTTTAATGGAAAAATTTAAAAAGATTAAAAAGTTAGATGGAAAATTGAGAAAACTGGGGAGAACATCTCATTTATTAGTATTCATCTTTCTATATTTTACTGATAGACTCGTGAGAAGATGTTTTACTTCCATAGTACGCTGACGTGCTAAAAAGTAGCTTCTCTGTGAAGATTAGGAGGAAGATAGAGATTTGGTTACAAATTAGGAATGGAGTTCTCACAGAATCCCTACAAAGACTTTGGCTAGTAAAATCATGTATGCATGCACAAACACAAATGCACACACACACACACACGCAGGAAGAGAAAAATGTGATAAAGAAAAGTAAATATGAAATGGTATTGACAAAAGGCACAAAGTTTATCCAATGTGAGTAGCGAATTTTAAAATACTTTAGTTAACCAGAGACCATCTTAGACAAAGAGTTCTCTCTCCTTTGTTGGAATTCTCAAATAAATGCCCCATTGCAAAGTTACAGGATATTGGTGCACACAAAAAGACAATTAAAGAGATACTTGAAAAAAAACTACAGGGATTAAATTAGAACACAAACACATGCATTACATACATACAGCCATAAATAGGTTATTAAAAAATCTGTATAAATTGGCAGTACTGTATTATGTCTGATCAAATGAGAGAGAGAGAGAGAGAGAGAGAGAGAAAACAAACATATAAAAAATGAAAATGAAAAAGTTCATCCTACCACTATGGATAGAGAAAATAATTTATTTTCCACACCCCCTAAACTTGTATTATTTTTAACATAATTGGGTTCATATTGAATATACATTTTTTGTATTCTGGATATTTACTCCCTTAATGTGACATAGGTATGTTTGCATATTATTACGTACTCTTCATAAAGATAATTCTTAACAACTTCATAATATTCTGACAAGTGTGTGTGTTCCCAGAAGAATAAATATTTTATTAACTTGATATACATTAATTTGATACATATAGACAATTTACCTATCTAAGAATTGTACCAATTTACACCATTATATTGCGATACCATTTTATTGTGTGAAGGTGCCTATTTCATCACATTGTCGGTAACATTGATCTATTCCTGGACTGTTTGTTCCATTTCTTAGATCTCTTTCTCAATTCCTGCTTTACAGTTTAAATAACAAAGCTTTAGAGCATGTTTTGATATTGGACAGGTGAATTTGACTAAAGATATATCTTTTTCCACCAGTGTTCGAAAAACTTTATGCCACTTTCCTTCATATTAACATTGAAATTGCTTCTAAATGCAATCAATAAAAATAATCTTGACATTTTGATTATGCCTTTTTTCATCAAACCCTTCCATAACTTCTGTTTATCTAGTTCGGTGGTGCTCAACCAAGGGTGATTTTATCCCCCAGGAGAAATTGGGCAATGTCTGGAGGCATTTTGGTTGTCACAACTGGAGGGTGGGACTGGGGAAGGCAGAATTAGGGGAGAGTCCTGCTACTGGCATCTAGTGTTTAATGGCCAGGGAAGCTGCTAAACATGGAAGAAAATAATTTTCAAAAATATATCAGGATATCAAGAACAGTAACATTCTAAAAATCTTAAATTTTAAATGAAACAAATTGTATAAAATGCCATCTTTTATTTCAAGAGATTAGAAAAACTGAATAAACTAGTAAAAACTGAAAACGCATTAAAAGGAGTGCTATCCCTAAAATCTTTTTTTCTAGGATTATTTAGGAGTGTTTATTTTTTCCTGGCTTTTCAAAGACTTTGATGTGGAATTCTAGTTCACTTTTTTGATTTGGTACCCCATAATACTTTAGTCCTAGAGTGTTCAGGTTAACTCTATATTAAATATATTTTATTATATTAAATATATTTGATAACTACATTAAATATCTCTATTAAATATATTTAAACTTTTTTTCTGGAAGTATACATAATTATTCAAGAACTATATTATTTCAAGCCTTTTTTCAAGGCTAGTAGCTTACCTAATTTAAATGTATCGTTTCTCTGATCAAAGTTTGTTAAAACATATACAATACTAGTTATTGTTACTTTTGTTACAGAAATTTCACTGTAACAAATTCATTGCCTCTTGTTGCAATGATTTTTAAAATATCAGTTGCCCAAAACTTCCCAGCAACATATTAAGAAATCTTTAATTTTCAAAAACCTTTTATTACTGATTATTTCTCTTAAACTTTTTATATATTCTTGAATTTATTTTAATCTTGCTGCTGTCTATTTAATATTAACTTATCTTTAAGAAAAGTTGTAGAGATGATAAATTCACTTAGATATTTTATATTCTTTATTTTAGAATTTTCTCTTCCTTTTATTTTGTTTGTTCTATTATAACTTCCAATAACAGATGTTGAAATATCAAAGTATGTTCTACACAATTATCATATTCTATTTTAATATACATAGCTGCACTCCAGCCTGGGTGACAGAACAAGACTCCATCTAAAATAAAAATCTAAAGTGGAGGCTGAAGATTAGAGTGAATTGCTGCAATTTCATGATCACCTTTGAAAGGATGAGGAGTTGCTTTTTATGGAGAATAAAAGAAGTGTTTTCTTGAGATGGAAACT
This sequence comes from Homo sapiens, assembly GCF_000001405.40. NCBI lineage: Eukaryota > Metazoa > Chordata > Mammalia > Primates > Hominidae > Homo > Homo sapiens. Next base: position 29,890,142 of record NC_000004.12, on the reverse strand, counting down.
ACTTCTGGTGAAGATACTGTGAACATTGTTGAAATGACAACAAAGGATCGAGAATGTTACATAAGCTTAGTTGATAAAGCTGTGTCAGGATTTGAGAGAATTGGCTCCAATTTTCAAAGTTCTACTGTTCTGGCAGAACAATCATAGTTGTTTTATTTCAAGATATTGGCAAAGCCACCCTAACCTTACATAACCACCACCCTGATCAATTAGAAGCCATCAACATTGAGGCACGACCCTCCAGCAATAAAAAGATGACCCACTGAAGGCTCAGTTGATCGTTAGCATTTTTTAGCTATTTTTTAATTAAAAGATGTTAATTTTAAAGATATAATGCTATTGCACACTAAATAGACTACGATATAGTGTAAACACAACTTTTTTATGTACTAGAAAGCCAAAAGATTTGTGTGCCTCACTTTAATGTGATATTTTCTTTATTCCACTCCTGTTGAACTGCACCCTCAATATCTTTGAGGTATTCCTATATCACATATTGCTGTCATTTTAATTTCCCTTAGGTTTAGGTAATTTGTTTTTATTTTTTTATTTCACTTTTGTGTCCCTGTTTCATAATACTGGCTTTGTTAACTGTTTGATTATTAATCTTTTGAATATTTATTTTTATTTTTAATTTTTTCCATACCTTTTTGAGGTACACGTGGTATTTGGTTACATGAGTAAGTTCTTTAGTGGCAATTTGTGAGATTCTGGCGCATTCATCACCCAAGCAGTAAACAAGCAGTATAGACTGCACCATATTTGTAGTCTTTTATCCCTCACTCATCCCCTCCCACTCTTCCTCCCAAGTCCCCAAAGTCTATTGTATTATTCTTATTCCTTTGTGTCTAATATCTTTGCTCCACATATCAGTGAGAAAATACAATGCTTGGTATTCCATTCCTGAGTTACTTCACTTAGAATAATAGTCTCCAATCTCATCCAGGTCACTGCAAATGCTGTTAATTCATTCCTTTTCATGGCTGAATAGTATGTCATCATGTATATATGAATATACACCTGTGTAGATATACATATTCCATCATATGTGTGTGTGTATATATGTATATAAACATATACATACCACCACCATCACAGCTTCTTTATCCACTTGTTGACTGATAGGCATTTGTGTTGGTTCCACGATTTTTCAATTGTAAATTGTGCTGCTATAAACATGCGTATGCAAGTATCATTTTGTATAATGACTACTTTTCCTCTGGGTACATACCCAGTAGTGGCATTGCTGGATCAAATGGCAGTTCTACTGTTAGTTCTTTAAGGAATCTCCACACTGTTTTCCATAGTGGCAGTACTAATTAACATTCCCCCCAGCAGTGTAGAAATGTTCCATGCTCACCACAGCCATGCCAACATCTACTGTTTTTTGATTTTTTGATTATGGCCATTTTTGCAGGCATAAGGTGGTATCGCATTGTGGTTTTGATTTGCATTTTCCTAGTCATTAGTGATGTTGAGCATTTTTTTTATATGTTTGCTGGCCATTTGTATATCTTCTTTTGCGAATTGTCTATTTGGGTCTTTAGCCCACTTTTTGATAAGATTGTTTGTTCTTTTCTTACTGATTTGTTTGAGTTCATTGTAGGCTCTGGATATTAGTCCTTTGTCAGTTGTACAGATTGTGGAACCATCCCTAATTCATTCTATGAAGCCAGAATCAACCCTAATACCAAAACCAGGAAAGGACACAATCAAAAAAAGAAAACTACAGACCAATATTCTTATGAACATAGATGCTAAAATCGTTAATGAAATTCTAGCTAACTGAATCCAACAGCATATCAAAAAGATAATCTACCATGATCAAGTGGGTTTCATAATATAATATGTTTCTGACCAGAGTTGGTACCTCTAGGTGATGAGCATTCATGTTTAGTGGGCCCCCAGCATGGCTTTCTACAGGAAAATATCAATTGTTTTAGTTGAGTTTGACTTTTCTCAAGTCTTTTAGGTTTTCTGGCAAATTCTTCTACTGTGCTTTATACTTCTATAAATAATTTTGTCTAGTTCTAAAATTCATATTAATTTTGAAATGCTGCGTTTTTGTCCTTAAGTTAATTTATCTTAAACCTGTTTTCCTTTTTATTCCATCACCTTTATAGGGAAAGATAACGTAATCAATTTGTTCAACCCATCATCAAGGATGTTTTATTGTTTCTATGTGGATCGACTTCTTGTATTTTTCTAACTACAATATATTAATCTCTTATGTTGGATGAACTGATTAGAGCTTCATTTACAAGCGTTATCTTATATAATTCTCAATGCAATTAAGACATGTTCCACTATTATATTTGTTTTAATGATAGACAAACAGAAATGGTGAAAATTTGAGACATTTGTTTACTGTTACACTATTTTTAAGAAGGGGATCAAGAGCTCTTCCCTGCATAATTTTTCTATAACGGATAGAATCGTCACTTTCTCTCTCTCTAAACAAGACCGGTTCAAGACTATTTGTGGGAGTGGTAATTACTCTGTTCTGTTGTCTATTTTACTCCTTCTGCTTTTATTTTATTTTATTTATTTATTTAGTTAGTTTTTATTTATTTATGTATTTTCTTTGAGACGGAGTCTCACTCTGTCGCCTGGGCTGGAGTGCAGTGGCGCGATCTCGGCTCACTGCAAGCTCCGCCTCCCGGGTTCACGCCATTCTCCTGCCTCAGCCTGCCGAGTAGGTGGGACTACAGGTGACCGCCACCACGCCCGGCTAATTTTTTTTGTATTTTTAGTAGAGACGGGGTTTCACTGTGTTAGTCAGGATGGTCTCGATCTCCTGACCTCGTGATCCGCCTTCTGCTTTTAAACTTATAACCTAAGAGGCTTTTTCCAAATATTCCCCTCCGCTTTTCTAAACTTATATCTTGGCTTCAAATATCCTGTAAGTTAACTACTGTAACAAGAAGACAGGTGTATCTCCCAAAGATAAGCATCAATATGCACTTTACAAAGAATGTGCTCAGGATATATAATCTGCAGTAATGTAATTCTGCCTACTACAAACATACCTATTTAAAATATTAGTTGAGATTTAACTATCTGGCTATATGTTTTAAAATGCATTTTAGAAGTGGCTCTTTCATTTTCTCAATTAATAGAATGTACATCCAATGATTTTTCTAAACAAAGAAATGTTTTGCACCGTAGGAATAAAGCACCCTAAACTTCTTATACAGATTTGCTTCAAAAGGACTTTGAATAATAAAAGAAAGTTTACAGAAATTTTACATGTATCTACTTGGTATATTTTTATCATGTAATCATTTGTTTTATGTTTTTTATTTGTGATTACACTTTTATATAATACAATTGCAGTTATTGTTTTATGCCTTAATGTAATACGGTTGGAGCTCCAAGAGAAAAATAACTGATTGTGCTCTTTTTTAACTCTATAATCCCAGTTCCTGGCAGAGACACTGGTAGACACTGACTAATCTAATCTCTCTCTTTTTTTTTTTTTTTTTTTGAGGCAGAGTCTCACTCTGTCGTCCAGGCTGGAGTGCAGTGGCACAATCTGGGCTCACTGCAACCTCCAGCTCCCGGGTTCAAGCAATTCTCCTGCCTCAGCCTCACTAGCATCTGGGATTACAGGTGCCTGCCACCACATCCAGCTATTTAAATTATTATTATTTTTTTCTTCAGTAGAGACAGGATTTCACTGTGTTGACCAGGCTGGTCTCAAACTCCTGACCTCAGATGATCTGCCCTCCTTGGCCTCCCAAAGTGCTGGGATCACAGGCATGAGCCACCGCACCCAGCCCTAACCTACTATCTTTTAATCACAGATACTTAAACACATTTATCATTATCTTTTCCATGATCAAAATTTTTTAATATTCCTTTCCTAATGATTAATGACCTCAAATTCAACTCAGTAATTATTAACTGAGCACTTATTTTGAGTCAAATGACTTTAAGTTTTGGGGACGTAGACATGAAGATATTAATTATATCTTTGAAGAGCTTATATTTTGTTGATGATGCTGAAGGTAATCATTTATAATATTCTATGTTAGGTTCTATAAGATCAGACCAGTGCTGCAAGACTATGTTAGATGCATTTTCTAATTTTTTGGGGAAAAAATAGTAGAACAGACAAGACAGAGAAAGAGAGATTTTAAATAGGTTTTAATGGACATGTAAACATTTTGCTGAAATAACGGGATAAGTGGTCTTATCAAAAGGAAATTGCATCGTTCTATTAATTTGTATTGCTTCTGTGACTATATGATAACAAATTCAGTCATTTAAACAACATAAAAATTATTTTACAGTTCTATAGGTCAGAATTTCTACACAGGTCTCACTAGGCTAAAATAAATGTGTTTGCACTGTGTTCTTTCTAAAGGCTATAGCGGAGAATCCATTGTCATGCCTCCTCCAGCTTCTAGAGGTCACATCCACTTCCCTTGGTTAGTGGTCCACTTCCTCCTGCTCTTAACTAGCTGTATTGCATCACTCTGTATCTGTCTTCCATTGCCACATTTCCCTTTGTTTTTCCTCTTCTGCCTCTCCCACTTTATAGAACCCTTGTAATTACATTGGACCCACCTAGATAATCAGAGATGATTATTTTATTTAAGGGCGTTTGATTAACATCCTTTAATTCCTTTTTGCCATGTAACCTGACATATTCACAGATTGCTTACCAGAATGATGTTTTAAGGATCTTGCAATTAATATGACTAAATAGTAGGGCATGGGGAATTATCAGAGAAAGGAGTAAAAAAGTAGCATATTGTTTAGGGATGTATGTGTAATTTTCCAAGGTTTTTGACTTTATCTTATAATAAATTTCCTCCATTTCCATTATTATCAATTCTTTCCCATACTGCATAAATGAGGTAAAATAATATTTATTGATTTCCTATTTCATCTATGTGCCTTATTGACTTACTCTATCCCAAGTTAGCATTTAAAAATATGTAATTACTCAGCTATATTTTTATATAACTGCAATCATTTTATGACGAGCTGACAACAACTAGACTAATGCCTTCTTGCTTATAAATATTTTTAATTACTTAAAATATCAACCACATTTTTAATGACTTATTCTTATATTATCTAGCATAGAGTATTAGTTAAGTAATGGATGTTTAAAGCATACATTGTATACATTGTATACACTGTATTAAAATGAAGGCTGCCTAGTTCTGCATTTATTTAAAAATTGGAATAAGAAATATAGTAGGTCAACAATTTCACATACCAAACTTAGGAAGAGACTCGTGTGATGTGAGAAATAAATGAAAAATTTGTTAAACAGTTAGATTCTAAGTATACATCTGTAAATATTCAGACTTCTTAGGTCTGAAAAGGAGCCTATGAATCATAATTTTAAAGTGTCAGACGACTCTTCTAGGCCACCCATGGTTCTTTTGTTTGTTTTCTCTGTCAATACTATATCTATCTCTATCCTGAAAATCTTTTATCTTGATTTTTTGAAGAAGTATAAGAACAATAGAGCTTTATATCATTGGGTTTTAAAGAGTAGATAATATATCAAGAAGTAATTGTTAAAACTAGTAAAATTATTACAGTAGAATTAGTAGCAGTCTGTAAATGATATTAGACACAGTTAAAACATAGCTTTAATCTGTATATTGCTTCATTTGCATCACAATATATGAGATTGTCTTTAATATGGAGTACAGAATTATGAAATTGTTAACATTTTAACTTTCACTTATCTGCAGCTTTATTGGTCACAATCACTTTCGTATTACTTCAGCAAAATAGCATTTTGGCTATTATCAAGACAAGTTCAGTCTTGATCTGGCAATGTGCTAGTTATATCAGCTTTAAAACATTTTTACTTCTGTTTGATTTGTTTCTCTCTACAATGCTTAAATACTAGTCTAACAACTCTTATTAATTGCTTTGAAAATTAAATACTTCATAAAATATAATGTACAAATGCCAAGAACAAATATTATAGGTGAAATATATACAATGAATAAAATTGATTGGTATTTATAGGGTAGCCAGCATAAGTGTAAGTTCTAATGATACATAAATCAGAAAAAAAATATTCTAATTAGCAAATAAAATAATTCTGCAAATTTAGTAAAAACAACTCTGTTGTATAATATTTGGTTTCTAATTACTTTTAAGTAAGATTCTATTTTATGTAAACAAAATATTAATTATGAACATTTAATATACTCACATTTTACAATTACTTAATACATATACTGATTGTCAGCTCAATTCAATCATATATGCTCTCCCTTACACAATTTACCTTTCATATAAAAGTTTTGAGAATGAGCTCCTTTAGTACTTAACGAAGTTATGAAAATATGATTACTATGTATTTTACTGATAACATTTAAAATCAGTTTTTCCTTAGAAAATGTATTAAATTTTATAAGTTTTCTTAGCACATTATTTTCATATCAAACCACTATATATCTTTAAAAACGCCAAAATGTATTAAATTTTGGAAACAATAATTCAAAATATTCATGTGTAATCCATCGCTGCTTATAAGAAACCTGTAACTAGTGTCCACTGTCTTTCTAAAAGCTTGTTTCTTGCTATTGGTGTTCTGTTGTTGTTTTTTTGTTTTAGTTATAGGTAAATTCATCCTTGATTTTTTGGGGATTTTTTTTCTTGCAGTGTTTCTCTTAAATCTGCTTCTGAAATTTTAATTAAATATAACTTTCACCTTCTCAAGCAATCCTTCGTGTTTCCAAACTCTCTTTTCGCTTATTTTTTTCTATCTCTTCATCTTTCTAATGTGCTTATACAGCAAATGCTTCCTGAGTATTTCATGTGGGAGTTGGAGTACGTCAGGGAGAAAATGTGGAAATTATTTTTCTTTGTGGACTTTATATACTCTCCGTGGGTAATAGGGAATAAACATAAGAACAGTAATCAAGATAGGTAGAAATTCATAAGCAGTATAGAAATAAAGACAGCAGAGATTAGGAGGACTGTACAGCAGCGTCAGTGGTTGAAGTTATAAACAGTAGTGAGCAAAAACTAATTGAGAAGACGCCCATTAAAAAAGGTCTTGAAACATGTAAGGAAATTAGCCATTGGGCATCTAGAAGTAAAATCATTCTAGTCAAAGAAGAAAGCCAGTGCAAGACCTTAAGGTGGTAGAATGCCGGCTCAAGGAACAGCAGTGAGGGCAGTGTACCTGGAATAGTTCAAGAAATGGAGAAGGTAATAGATATAACATCAAAGAGATCAGACTCATGGATGGCTATGTTGGCTATTGTAAGCCTTTGTCTCTCACTTGGAGTTAAGAAGTCATTCATTGGGGCATGGTGGCCCATGCTTGTGATCCCAGCTACTCAGGAGGATAAAGAAGGTGTATTCCTTGAGCCTGGGAGTTCAAGGCAGCAGAGAGTTATGATCATATGTCACAGCACTGCAGCCTGGGTGACAGAGTAAGACTTCATATCTTAAAAAATAAAAAAGAAAATAAGTCATAATTTCGTAGGGAGGGCTGATTAGGCCTGACATATGTTTTAAAAGTGGTTATAAGTGGTCAATGTTTAAAGCAAGGAGACAAGCTGGAGGGCTGTGGTAGTGGTCTATGTAAAAGACAATGATGGCCCTATCAGGATAATCACAGTAGAGGAAAGAGATCATGTTGTTCAAACTAGAGTTGTAACAGGTGAGTTAAAACAAAAGTGATTGTATCTGGAGCGATCTATAAGAAAACAATCAAATTTCCTGATGGAATTCTGGGGTTTACATAAGAAAGGAAGAAACCAAATATGAAATCAAGGTTTTGACAAGTCCAACTCAAAGAATAGATTTGCTATTCACTAAAATGGAGAAACTACACCTGCAGTTGGTTTGAGAAGGAAGATCAGACTACATGGTAAGTTTGAAATATGAGGTAGGCATTCAAATGGAGATTTTGGTTACGCATTTAGACGCATGAGTATAGAATTACAGAGAGGTCTGGAGTGGCAATATAAGTATTATTAAAAGTCATAAAATTGTATTATATAAATAAGTGAGTGAACATAGTTAGTAAAGAAAACATTCACCCAAAATGAGCCCTGAGACTCTTCAATATTAAGAGACTTAGGAAAGTGGAGTAAAAAGCATAGAAAATTGAGAAGTAACAACCGGTAAGAAAGGAGAATAAATATGGTACTTTTGTCTTGGAATCCAAATGAAGAAAGTATACCTAAGAGGAGGGAGAGATGAACTTATATCAAACACAACTAATAGGTCAAATATGAGGAGGAAAGATAATAAAGCACTGTTTTAGTTATACAGATAAAATTTGTGAATTGGACAAGACTGTTTTTGTGTTTTGGGTGAAGATGAAAACTTGAATAAAATAAGTTTCAGAAATAAAGACAGAAAAAAATGTAAATTGAAAATATAAGCAATTATTTTGGGAAATTTCCTGCCCAAAGGAAGAGAGAATTGCAGAGAAAGGTTGTGGAAGAAGTGTATGGGTGGGAGATGCTTTTGCAGTGTGCCCATTTGAAAATGAATAATTGTGTAGGGAAATTCCTGAGAGCTCAGTGAGGAAATTAATAATCAATTTTTAAAAAATTATTTAAAGTTTCCTCTTTTATTTTTATTTATTCACTGCCACTTCTCTGGTTTCTCCAGTTGAGGTTATTTCTAAGTGATTTGCATATATTTTATCTGGTTCATTTTTAATATTTGATCAAATTCTCACATATCTGGATTTCTTTGTGTTGCTTTGTAGCCCTATTGCTAGTACATCTTTTATGCAAGAAAAGAAAATGTCTTCATGTAGCTATGTGATTAGCTTCTTTGAAGTCTGGTTCTTTCAGGTGATTTTGTTTCCTAGTACAATCAATGTTTCTCGAGATTTGATGTCTGTTGCTCCCTTTTAATCTAAATGTATTGCTCATTATACTGACTAAATTAATACCTCACTTCAGAAATATGGATCTAATAGCATCTAGTGCAGAAAATATTCACCATTCCCCAATGAACAGCTGAGGATAGGGTGGAGGATGCTTTCTTGTCCAGATTTCTCAAGTCTCATTTCTTTATATTTAAACATTCCTGTCTTTGTAATACTTATAGCAGTATATTTAGTAAGTGCATATTTAATAATGTCTTGATAAGTGTTATTACTCTGTGCAGGTGGATATAACTTAGAAAGCCTCTATGATAAGGGGAGTTAGAGTAAAACATTTTGATTAAAATAATCTACTTACAATGTAGCTTTGGTTATTTTAAGTAACTTTGGATAATTTGAACACTGCTATCCAAGATGTAGATTCCGGCCATAGACAAAATTTTCTTGGCTAATCACTTTTCAAAAATAAATTATTAAACAACACTTTTTAAAAAGGTTCATTGTGTATGAAATCCAGATATTGAACTTCTCTTGAACAATCAAAATTTTTATCAACCACAGATCTCCATTCTCATATAACTACATCATCTGGAAGCTTCTCTCTAGAAGACCATGAGCCCTTTGCTTCAGTTTCCTACTTACCTAACTTACTGTAACTTATCATATCTACAGGAAGTTATGTTTCTTGCCTTTAGGCAGCCATTTCATACTGAGATTAGAACGCTGCAATACTTAACAAAAATTGTAAACATGTAATAAGGCATATAGTTTAACAAGCAGAGTGAGAAGACAACCAATTTCCAATTAGCTTATTTTAAAAATCACAGATGTTTAAAATGATAACTACCAGAGATACTGCATAGGGTTAGGGTTAGGTAACAGGTAAATACTTATACTTGTAACAGTGTACTAAAGATCACAGATAGTTGATTTTTATGGTTGCTCATGTGAGTTAAGATTTATTTTAGGCAAATTTAGATTAGTGGTTAGTGAAAAAATCTTAGGAAATAGAATCTGCTATGACATCAGCTAAAAAATGTTATGAAGTGATGCCAATAAGAGGAAATAATCCAAGGATATGAAAAGCATCATCAGTTACATATGGAAAATTCATCTCATTCTTGTTTTAGGTTACAGATTGCTCAGTGCAATATAGCCAGAGAGAATCCAGATGAGATGGTGCATTTTTATCACCATGGTCCAAGTACGCATCCAGAGTTCAAGCCAACAATCCTTGGGAAAAAAGGCTTGCAATTTTTCAGTGAAGCAGAAAATAAAGTAGCACCCCAGTCTAAAAAATTTGTGGGAATCATGGGGAACTACAATCCAAAGAGACCCCTGGGAATTAGATACTGAAATGCACCTTAGATCAATGACTTAGGATAACCAGATAACAATGCAGAAACCAGAAACATTAGCTTGGAAAGAGCCTAATAGAATTACCTGGTTATATAGCTTAATATATCAACATATAGCAAAAGTGCTTTGTAACCAAAAATATCTAAATATTTGACATACATGATTACATCCAATCATAATCTAACAAAACATCATGATGAACAAAATTATACATGTTCTGGCTTTGATTTCCTGTGATATTTCATAATATTAATAAATACAGTGATCAGAATCACATAAAAATCTACAAGAATTTTACATAAAGATGTTCTGAGCTGTAAAAACAAACCAGTGTAAAATCACATCATACAATGCATAAAATAAGCTTACCTGTTGAGTCCCTAAATGCCACACCCTGACTTATACTGCCTTTTCCCCATAGCTTTTACTGCTGTAAAATGCTCTGATTAGAAACCAGGTCTAATCTTTTTGATGAGCTTTTAGATGAAGCCACTTTCATTTTTTGAAACTAGATCTGTATATAGGTTTTCCTAGCTATCACACTTGCTTTCATTCTAAGCATATAAAGTATCAGGTTAACATGGCCAAAGCAGTTTTTAGTCGACTGGAACATATTGATTGAAAATATTTTTAATTTGGAATGTTTCTCTCAGATTAATAAATTAGAGTAATAAAATTATATTGAAAATACCTGCCTATGGAAAAGAGGCCATACAAAAATCAGTGGGGAGGAAAATATGTAGGATACACACTGTAAATTTTCTGAATGAAAATTAGTTTGATATAAGCAGTGTTTGATTATTAAGATTCTTTTATGACAAGATAAGATGATGCAATATTGTTTATCTATACATTGATCTTGTTTACATGTTACTGCTAAGAGTACAATGCAAATGCTTTCATGGAGAGAAAAGTCTGCCCAATAAAATTTGATCAGTTCTCAAAATACCAAAAAATAATACATTTCAGATTAGGTATATTTCAAACTGAGATAATGTAAGGGTCAGTATCTGGTGTCATGGACATAGTAGAGTTTTGAAATGGAAAAAAAAATTGATTCAGTTTTCTACTAATTTCAAATAGCAATGGGATTTTGAACTATGTAAAATGATAGAATAATTTCACATTCCTGGATAGACAGATGACATATAAAATTGATTGATCTATTAAAATTTATCATGAAATGAAATAAAATGAAATTTTAAAATCTTGAAAGATAGAGAACACCTCTTTGTGATTTCTACTTAACTTATTTTTAAACACAGTCTAACACAGACTTCACTGGGTCATAAACTTAGAACCTTCTTACTTTGACAGTAATAAAATATAAATTGTCTCATATTGAAATTATGTCTTACTTTACACTTTGGGAGAGAAAGAGAGGCAGAGAAAGAGAGGAGTTTCAAAGACTGAGCTTTGGATCTCTCTATATACATTTCTAAAGACAACTAATTTATTATTTTTAAGCTTCTACTCTTGTGAAAAAATCCTTTAAAACAATATAATTCTTTTATATAATCACAGTAAACTAATATTGATGACACTCCTATAGATGGGTTTACTAGCTTCTGGATAAGGTTATTTTGTTTTCATGTTTGTTTTACAGTCAGCTTTATTCCTCCATTTCTGCTCCTTTCTGTGGTGACTTAAGGGAGAAAAAAAAAAGATTAATGTGAAATTTAATTGTAGAAGAAAATATTCTAATTTACTTTGTATAATCATTCCATTATTGCTAGTATATTGCCAAATATATGCTTTTATTTTTGTTGTTGTTTTCATAATAGTTGATTTTTTTTTTTTTTTTTTTTTTTTTTTTTTTTTTTTTTTTGAGATGGAGTCTTGCTCTGTCACCCCAGGCTGGAGTGCAGTGGCGCGATCTCAGCTCACTGCAAGCTCTGCCTCACAGGTTTAAGCCATTCTCCTGCCTCAGTCTCCCAAGTAGCTGGGACTACAGGAGCCCGCCACCATGCCCGGCTAATTTTTTGTATTTTTGGTAGAGATGGGGTTTCACCATGTTAGCCAGGATGGTCTCCATCTCCTGACCTCGTGATCCGCCCGCCTCAGCCTCCCAAAGTGCTGGGATTACAGGCGTGAGCCACCGTGCCAGGCCATGATTGTTGATTTTTAAACCAAGTTTGTAAACATTTATTTATAAAAACCGTAAACTCACTGTTTCTAAGGTCTTCTATAGGACGTCTATGATAATGCATCTAGTTGTGCCAAATTTAACTTGAGTAGATCGTTAGGGAACCAATATCTCAGTCTATGTTCTTGATTGTATCAAAAAGAAATAACAGTAATTCCTTTGAGAAATATTTGGGAATAAAAATTAAATCATAAAATGACATGTAGTAAAACTTGTGACTCATACTTTAGAAAGGTCTAAATAGGAAAATAAAACAAATATTTCTATCTAGTTCATAACTTAAGGCCCTAAACAATGTACAGCCACTTTTAAAACTCTGCTATGTGTCAAGAACAATGCTAGGAACTAAGGTAAAGCTTAAGAAATATGACTTCCTCTCAGACCACAATGGAATAAAATTGGAAATCAACTCTAAAAGGTTGCCGTCAAAACAGCACTAATACATGAAAATTAAATAATCTCCTCCTGAATGATCTTTGTGAAAATAATAAAATCAAGATGGAAATATAAAAATTCTTTAAACTGAACAAAAATAGTGAAACAACCTATGTAAATCTCTGGGATACAGCACAAATGATGCTAAGAGGAAAGTTCATAGCATTAAATGCCTACATCAAAAATTCTGAAAGAACACAAGTAGACAATCTAAGCTCACACCCAATGAACTAGAGAAACAAGAACAAACCAGACACAATCCCAGCAGAAGAAAAGAAATAACAAAGAGCAGAAAAGAAATAAATAAAATTAAAACAACAAAAAAATACAAAGGATAAATGAAACAAAAAACTGGTTATTTGAAAACACAAACAAAATTGATAGACCATTAGAGAGATTAAGCAAAGAACAAAGAGAGGATCCAAATAAGCTCAATTAGAAATGAAATGAGAGATATTACAACTGATACCACAGAAATACAAAAGATCATTCAAGGCTACTATGAACACCTTTACACAAACTAGAAAACCTAAAGGAGATGGGTATATTCCTGGAAATATACAACTTTCCTAGGTTAAACCAAGATGATATAGAAACTCTGAACAGACCAATAACAAGCAGTGAGACTGAAATGATAATTTTTAAAAATTGCCAACAAAAAAAGTCCAGGACCAGATGGATTCACAGCTGAATTCTATCAGACATTCAAAGAGGAATTGTCACCAATCTTACTGAAACTATTCTAAATATAGAGAAAAAGGAAATTCTCCCTAAATCATTCTATGAAGCCAGTATCACCTTAATACCCAAACCAGGAAAAGACATAACAAAAGAATAAAACTACAGACCAATATCCTTGATGAACATAGATGCAAAAATCCTCAACAAAATACTAGCAAATCAAATCCAACATCATATCAAAAAGATAATTCACCATGATCAAGTGGTTTCATACTAGGGATTCAGGGAGGGTTTAACATACTCAAATAAATAAATGTGATACATCACATAAGCAGAATTAAAAGCCAAAAAACATGATCATCTCAATAGATGCAGGAAAAGTATTTGACAAAATCCAGCATCCCTTTATGATTAAAATCTTCAGCAAAATCGGCATAGAAGGTAATAAAAGCTGTCTACCACAAACCCACAATCAACATTATACTGATTAGAGACAATTGAAAGCATTCTCCTGGAGAACTGGAACAAAACTAGGATGCACTTTTTCACCAATTCTATTCAACATAGTACCGGAAGACCTAGCCAGATCAATCAGACAAGAGAAAGAAAAAAAGGACATCCAAATTGATAAAGAGGAAGTCAAACTCTCGCTGTTCACTGATGACATAATCGTATAATCATATACCTAGAAAACCCCAAAATCTCAGCCAAAAAGCTTCTAGATCTGATAAAGAATTCAGTAAGGTCTCAGGATACAAAACCAAGGTACACAAATCAGTAGCATTGCTATACACTGACAGCGATCAAGTTGAAAATCATATCAAATACTCAACCCCTTTTAAAACAGCTAAAAGAAATTCTCAAGAATATACCTAACCAAAGATGTGAAAGATCTTTACAAGTAAAACTACAAAACACTGCTGAAAGAAATCATAGTTAACACAAATATATGGAAACACACCCCATGCTTATGGATGGGTAATATCAATATTGTCAAAATGACCATACTGCCGAAGGCAATTTATAAATTCAATGCAATTCTGATGAAAATATAGTCACCATTTTTCACAGAATTGGAAACAACAATCCTCAAATTCATATAGAACCAAAAAAGAGCCTGCATAGCCAAAGCAAATCTAAGCAAAAATAACAAATCCAGAAGCATCACACTTTCCGACTTCAAACTATGTTACAAGGCTATAGTTACCAAAACAGCATGGTACTGATATAAAAATAGGCACATAGACAAATGAGACAGAATAGAGAAACCAGAAATAAAGCCAAATTCTTACATGCAACTGATCTTCAACAAAATGAACAAAAATATAAAATGAGGAAAGGACACCCTATTCAACAAATGGTGCTGGGATAATTGGCAAGCCACATGTAGGAGAATGAAACTGGTCATCTCTCACCTTATACAAAAATCAAATCAAGATGGAACAAAGAATTAAATCTAAGACCTGACACCATAAAAATTCTAGATGATAACATCAGAAAAACTCTTCTAGACACCTGGTTTAGGCAAAGAGTTCATGACAAAGAACCCAAAAGCAAATGCAACAAAAACAAAGATAAAGATAAATAGATGGGACATAATTAAGCTAAAACACTTCTGCACAGCAGCACAGCAAAATAAATAATCGGCAGAGTAAACAAACAACTCACAGAATGGGAGAAAATGTTAACAAACTATGCATTTGACAAAGGACTAATATCCAGATTCTAAAAGGAACTCAAACAAATCAGGAAGAAAAAAAAATCTGTTTAAAAAGTGGGCTAAGATAGACCAATAACAGGCTCTGAATTGAGGAAATAATTAATAGCTTACCAACCAAAAAAAGTCCAGGACCAGATGGATTCACAGCCGAATTCTACCAGAGGTACAAGAAGGAGCTGGTACCATTCCTTCTGAAACTATTCCAATCAATAGTAAAAGAGAGAATCCTCCCTAACTCATTTTATGAGGCCAGCATCATCTTGATACCAAAGCCTGGCAGAGTCACAACAAAAAAAGAGAATTTTAGACCAATATCTTTGATGAACATTGATGCAAAAATCCTTAATAAAATACTGGCAAACCGAATCCAGCAGCACATCAAAAAGCTTATCCACCATGATCAAGTGGGCTTCATTCCTAGGATGCAAGGCTGGTTCAACATACAAAAATCAATAAACGTAATCCAGCATATAAACAGAACCAAAGACAAAAACCACATAATTATCTCAATAGATGCAGAAAAGGCCTTTGACAAAATTCAACAACCCTTCATGCTAAAAACTCTCAATAAATTAGGTATTGATGGGACGTATCTCAAAATAATAAGAGCTATCTATGACAAACCCACAGCCAATATCATACTGAATGGGCAGAAACTGGAAGCATTCCCTTTGAAAACTGGCACAAGACAGGGATGCCCTCTCTCACCACTCCTATTCAACATAGTGTTGGAAATTCTGGCCAGGGCAATCAGGCAGGAGAAGGAACTAAAGGGTATTCAATTAGGAAAAGAGGAAGTCAAATTGTCCCTGTTTGCTGATGACATCATTGTGTATCTAGAAAACCCCATGTTCTCAGCCCAAAATCTCCTTAAGCTGATGAGCAACTTCAGCAAAGTCTCAGTATACAAAATCAATGTGCAAAAATCACAAGCATTCTTATACACCAATAACAAACAGAGAGCCAAATGATGAGTGAACTCCCATTCACAATTGCTTCAAAGACAATAAAATACCTAGGAATCCAACTTACAAGGGACGTGAAGGACCTCTTCAAGGAGAACTACAAACCACTGCTCAATGAAATAAAAGAGGATACAAACAAATGGAAGAACATTTCATGCTCATGGGTAGGAAGAA
Organism: Homo sapiens; assembly: GCF_000001405.40. NCBI lineage: Eukaryota > Metazoa > Chordata > Mammalia > Primates > Hominidae > Homo > Homo sapiens. The sequence continues at coordinate 29,873,823 of NC_000004.12, read as the reverse complement.
TCAATGTCGTGAAAATGGCCACACTGCCCAAGGTAATTTATAGATTCAATGCCATCCCCACCAAGCTACCAATGACTTTCTTCACAGAATTGGGAAAACTACTTTAAAGTTCATATGGAACCAAAAAAGAGCCTGCATTGCCAAGTCAATCCTAAGCCAAAAGAACAAAGCTGGAGGCATCACGCTACCTGACTTCAAACTATACTACAAGGCTACTGTAACCAAAACAGCATGGCACTGGTACCAAAACAGAGATATAGACCAATGGAACACAACAGAGCCCTCAGAAATAATGCCGCATATCTACAACTATCTGATCTTTGACAAACCTGACAAAAGAAGAAATGGGGAAAAGATTCCCTATTTAATAAATGGTGCTGGGAAAACTGGCTAGCCATATGTAGAAAGCTGAAACTGGATCCCTTCCTTACACCTTATACAAAAATTAATTCAAGATGGATTAAAGGCTTACATGTTAGACCTAAAACCATAAAAACCCTAGAAGAAAACCTAGGCAATACCATTCAGGACATAGGCATGGGAAGGACTTCATGTCTAAAACACCAAAAGTAATGGCAACAAAAGACAAAATTGACAAATGGGATCTAATTAAACTAAAGAGCTTCTGCACAGCTAAAGAAACCACCATCAGAGTGAACAGGCAACCTACAGAATGGGAGAAAATTTTTGCAATCTACTCATCTGACAAAGGGCTAATATCCAGAATGTACAATGAACTCAAACAAATTTACAAGAAAAAAACAAACAACCCCATCCAAAAGTGGTCAAAGGATGTGAACAGACACTTCTCAAAAGAAGAGATATATGCAGCCAAAAAACAAATGAAAAAATGCTCATCATCACTGGCCATCAGAGAAATGCAAATTGAAACCAAAATGAGATACCATCTCACACCAGTTAGAATGGCGATCATTAAAAAGTCAGGAAACAACAGGTGCTGGAGAGGATATGGAGAAATAGGAACACTTTTACACTGTTGGTGGGACTGTAAACTAGTTCAACCATTGTAGAAGTCGGTGTGTAGATTCCTCAGGGATCTAGAACTAGAAATACCATTTGAACCAGCCATCCCACTACTGGGTATATACCCAAAGGATTATAAATCACGCTGCTATAAAGACACATGCACACGTATGTTTATTGCGGCACTATTCACAATAGCAAAGACTTGGAACCATCCCAAATGTCCAACAATGATAGACTGGATTAAGAAAATGTGGCACATATACACCATGGAATACTATGCAGCCATAAAAAATGATGAGTTCGTGTCCTTTGTAGGGACATGGATGAAGCTGGAAACCATCATTCCCAGCAAACTATCGCAAGGGCAAAAAACCAAACACCTGCATGTTCTCACTCATAGGTGGGAACTGAACAATGAGAACACATTGACACAGGAAGGGGAACATCACACACTGGGGACTTTTGTGGGTTGCGGGGAGGTGGGGAGGGATAGCATTAGGAGATATACCTAATGCTAAATGATGAGTTAATGGGTGCAGCACACCAACATGGCACATGTATATGTATGTAACAAAGCTGCACGTTGTGCACAGGTACCCTAAAACTTAAAGTATAATAATAAAAAAAAATTTGGTCTAAGGACATTAATAGACGATTCTCAAAAGAAGTTACACAAATGACCAGCAAACATATGGAAAACTGCTCAACATCACTAATTATCAGGGAAATTCAATTTAAAACCATAAAGAGATAACACCTTACTCCTTACTTCTGCAAGAATGGCCATAATTTTTTTTTAAAAAAAGGTGTTGGTGTAGATGTGGTGAAAAGTGATCACTTTTATGCCACTGGTGAGAATGCAAACTGGTACAACCACTATGAAAAACAGTATGGAAATTCCTAAAAGAACTAAAGTAGAACTACCATTTTATCTAGCAATCCCACTTCTGGGTATCCACCCAGAGGAAAAGAAGACTATGAAAAAGAATATGAAAACGGCACTTGCACTCACATGTTTATAGCAGTACAATTTGCAGCTGCAAAAATATGGAACTGGCCTAAATGCCTATCAACCAACAAGTGGATAAAGAATATGTGGTATCTCTATACCATGGAATACTACTCAGCCATAAAAATGGAAAGAAACAATGGCATTCACAGCAACCTAGATGTAGTTGGAGACCATTATTCTAAGTTAAGTAAGTCAATATAGAAAACCAAGCATTATATTTTCTCACTTGTAAGTGAGAACTAAGTTTTGAGGATGCAAAGGCATAAGAATGATCTAATGGACTTTGGGGACTCAGGAGGAAGGGTGAGAGGGGGTGAGGGATGAAAGACTACACGTTGGGCACAGTGTACACTGTTCAGGTGACAGGTGCACCAAAATCTCAGAAATCACCACTGAAGAACTTATCTATGTAACCAAAAACCACCTGTTTCCCAAAAACTATTGAACTAAAAATAAATAACTGAAAATAAATATGACTTAGTACCTAAGAACCAAGTTATTTTGCCTGATCGTGCCATTTGTAAAAATAATTTTGTCTTAGTGTCACGAGAAATTTTGTGATGAAATGAACAGCCTCTAGAATCTGATTGATAGGGTTCAAGTTCTGGCTCCATTACTGACTCAGTTAAGATGGTATTTAACTATTATCAATCTGAGTTTCTTTATCTAAGTGGTAATGATGTATTTGTATATCTCTATATACAAAATATCACAGGGAATATTTGAAAATTTGATGCAAGCATACAATGTGTAATGATCAAGCTAAAGTAAACTTTCAAATTATGTGTTACTAGAATATTTACTCAATTGGAAAATTATGCTAATAATACTGTAAATGATAATATAGAAAGAAGCAAATTATATTTTATATATATATATATTTGTATTTCTGCCTCCTGGGTTGTAAGACTGTGGTCAACTGTGAAAATGTCTAGATTTCCAATTAAGTACTACATTTTTTCACATTATATAATAAAAAGTTAGATATAGAAATAGACCTGAAAGACATAGCCACATTTGCAATTTTCTGATAAGAGATGACCATGCACCCAACAAAGGCAGCAAATATGTAATTAGCCAGATGAGTTTCAAGCAATTAAAATCTCTTTTTTCCCCCTATATTCACTGAATGAACTCTATTAGGCAATGAATTGGGATATCATGGATAGGCAAGGCCTCTTCCGTTGAAAAGACAAACTAAAAAAAGAAAAAAATAAAATAATAGCAGTATAAAGCTAGAATGGTAAATTTTACATGTCAAATTAATTTGGCAAAAAGATACCCAGATGGCTGATAAAATACATCTGAGTGTGTCTGAGAGGGTATTTCTAAAGGGAATAGCAATTTGAATCAGTAGACTGAGTAAAGAAGAGCACCCTTATTAATGTGGGCAGGCATCATCCAATCTGTTGAGGGCTTGAATAGAACAAAAAAGTAGAGGAAGGGTGAATTTGATCTCTGCTTGAGCTGGGACATTCATTGTCTTCTACCCTCCCACATCATTGTATTTTAGGTCTTTAAAACGCGATTGGAACTTCTACCATTGGTTCCTGGTTCTCAGTCCTTTGGAGTCAGATTGAATTATGTCATTGACTTTCCAGTTTGCAGATGGCTGATCATGGGACTCTTGGCCTTTATAACTCTGTGAGCCAACTCAAATAATAAATCTACTTTCATGTATATGTATAGAGGTTGAGCTCCTCAAGTCTGAAAATCTGAAATCTGAAACATTTCAATACCCCAGTTTCTTTGAGCACCAATATATCTCAAAGTAAATGCTCATTAGATTATTTTAAATTTTGGATTTTCAGATTTAGGATGCTTAATGCATGTAGTATATATATTTCAAAATCTGAAATACTTCTCGTCTTAGGCATTTAAAATAAGGGACATTCAACATACACATAATAACTATGTATGTATGTATATATATATATGTGTGTGTGTATACGTATCTGTGTATAAATATAATATCTATCATATTAGTTCTGTTGTTTTTCTGGAAAACCCTGTATAATACAAAGAATGAAAAAGTACAGAAGTCATAGAAGAGATCAAAAAATAAAATTGATGGGTGCTAGATTAGTTTTAGAAAAGGTCTAATAAAGGACTCTTGAAATTCACGCACACACGCACACACAGAAACAGGAGTAGAATGACAAGCTCAAGCTAAGTGGAGATTAATAGCATGAGAAAAAACTATAAACACAAATTTTTTTCTGAAAATTAGTGTTTTTGCTTATTTGGATTTCTTTTCTATGATGTGTTTTATTTTAGTAGGTAGGATGTCAAAGAAAACACAAATTCTGGTTCCAATAATGATAGGCATTGTGCTGGGTGGTGTAAAAAATGTAAAATGAGTCAGGTATAAATCCCATGTTCATATAAGCTGTACACTACCATGACTCATGTCTGCAGTTGTGAATGGTCAGGAGGTGATCGAAGGAGAGGGAGGACACCAGTCATCAGCCTTCCTGGAGGGGAAGGGTCCCCCCTTCCCGACCGCCGGCTAGGGAAAATCTAAGAGATCATTAGAAGCAGAGTTTGATAGGACCATGTTAGAGATGGAAGAGCAAGAGTAAGAGACACTAATTTAGGGCTCATTAAATGAGCTGTGCAGGCATGAGATCTTTTTTTTTTTTAAATCTCTTTCTCTGTTTTTTTTTTGTTTTTGTTTTTGTTTTCTGAGACAAGGTATCATTCTGTATCCCAGGGTGGAGTGAAGTGGTGCAATATCAGCTGGTCTTTCCTGGCTACTTAAATTTTTTTTTTTAGAGATGGGGACTCACTATGTTGCTCAGGCTGGTCTTGAACACCTGGGTTCAAGAAATCCTCCTGCCTCAGCCTCTCAAAGTTCTGGGATTACAGGCATGAGCCACTATGCCAAGCCAAGATCCTCTGAAAAACAATTGTACTATTAGACATGGTTATGAAGGATTGGTTATATGTGAAATAATAAAGTCCAAATTACTCTGTTCCAAGATGGCCAAATAGGAACAGCTCTGATCTGCAGCTCCCAGCGTGATCGATGCAGAAGATGGGTGATTTCTGCATTTCCAACTGAGCCTCCACTGGTGATACCCAGGCAAACAGGGTCTGGAGTGGACCTCTAGCAAACTCCAACAGACCTGCAGCTGAGGGACCTGACCGTTAGAAGGAAAACTAACAAACAGAAAGGAATAGCATCAACATCAACAAAAAGAACATCCACACCAAAACCCCATCTGTAGGTCACCAACCTGAAAGACCAAAGGTAGATAAAACCACAAAGATGGGGAGAAACCGGAGAAGAAAAGCTGAAAATTCTAAGAAAATCCAAATTAAAATCATTAAGAATCACTCATTAATTAAATAGAAGAACTAAAATACATGCAAAGGCCAGAGAACACACATTTTACATTTTAGAAAATGTCGTGTTCTGCAAATATATAGGAAAATTATAAAGTAATGCAATTTCCTGAGCTAAGTTTTGGTCATAACGAGCATAAAACAAGGCAACACTCCCTGGTAGAATTGACTTGTGGAGACTTCTTGTTCAAGAAGAGCTTTAAAAAGTGTACAAAAGCCTTGACAGTGTATTATTTTTCTCCTGCTACATTTGACCAAGTAGGAGTGACTTCTGGAAACGACTATTCTATGGAGTAGAACAAGCTCTTGACTCATTACTGAGCCATGGAAGTAGTGTCATGTAGGTCTCAGTGAAAAACAAAATCCATTAGGAACAAATCAGAAGACAGTTTCACATAGACATGCTGTGTAGTTATGGCCCTATTGTTAAAAACATTCCAAAAATAACTACATCTTGAAAGTCACCAAAGAATAAATAATGTTGAATGTTTTTCATGTTTAAAACTAATTCTTTTTACTCTCTAATAATGTTTATTGCTGATATCTGTGGAGATTTGCAAAAAAAAAAAAATAGGATGTTTAATGTCTACTTGTCAAATGTAATGTTCTCTCTGTCCTTCAATAGTTTTCTAAGAAGATGCTTGCTTTCATTTATCTTTTGAAATGATTATTTTTTCGTGGCAGTTATTCTAAACACATGAAAAAAAGTCAACACAAATCATGGATTGTTTTGAAGTGTTCCCTGGCCCACTGGAGGAAAAATAATTCAAGTAACATTTTCAGAGCCAATATCTGTTAAAATATAATTAACTTGCAGTATTTGAAGACCTCTCCATGCTTACTCAGTAGCTAAGGGAGGACATGACCCTGCTGGCAGTGTGGTGTCCTGCAGGCTGTGACAGGTATGAGGCTGCCTTTTATTTATTTATATTTAAACTTTTTTATTTTGAAATATGTTTAGATTTATAGGAAAGCTGCAGTATAATACAGAGAGTTTATTTAACCCTCTCACCAAGTTTCCTCCATTGCTGGAATCTTACATTCCCTTGGTACATTTTTCAAAACTAAGAGGCTGGCATTGGTACATTACTATCAATTAAACTCCAGACATTATTTGGACTTCATTATTTTTTTAACTGATGGTTTGTGTTAGTCCATTTGCATTGCTGTAAAGGAATACCTAAGGCTGGGTAATTTATAAAGAAAAGAGATTTATTTGGTTCACGGTTCCACAGGATGCACATGAAGCCTGGTGTTGGTATCTGTTTCTGGTGAGGGTCTCAGAACCTCACAAACATGGCAGAAGGTAAAGGGGAGCCAATGGGTCACATGGTAAGAAAGAAAGAAAGAGAGAGAGGCAAAGGGTGCCAGGATCTGTCAAACAACCAGATCGTGCGTGAACTCATGGTATGAGAACTCATTACCATGAGGACAGCACTAAGCCATTCATGACGGATTCATCCCCGTGACCAAAACACCTCCCACTAGGCCCACCTCCAACATGGGAGACACATTTCAACATGAGATTTGGAGGGGACAAAATATCCAAACCATATCATATTCCTTATAATGTTCCTTGATGTAACCCAGAACACATATTTTATTTGTGATCATGTGTCCTCACACCCATCTGGTCTGTGACAGTTTCTCAGTCTTTCCTTATTTGTTATGCCCTTGGCACAGAAGTACTTTACAGTCTTGAATAGTATCCTGTAGAATAACCCTAAAGCTGGGTTTGTGTGTTTCTTTTTTTTTTTTTTTCCATTATTAGACTTGGGTTATGAGATTTTGAAAAGAATACCAAAGTTGTTGTGTCCTTGTTGTCACATTATATGTGGAAATACTTGATATCCACTTAACATCACTAATGATGCTCACCTTTATCATTAGTTTAGGGTAGTATCTGGCAGGTTTACCACAGCATGAAAACTGGTTTTCCCTTTTCCTATTTTGTACTTTGAAAGCTAGACACCAAGTCTAGTGCTTCCCTCGGTGCAATGGGGGTTCAGTAGAGGGATAAACATTTCTTGGAGACAGCATCTACATATGTATATTTTTGCACTTCTGTAAGAAAATTGATCTCCTCCATTTATTTGTTTATTGAATCATTTATTTATATCATGATGGATTCTTGTTTTTATATCAGTTATGATCCAACAATACTTTTCTTGCTCAGATTTCTCAAATTTTAGTCATTGAGAAGTCTTTCAATTTTGCTCCTATGTCCCTTTGACATGCACTTTTTTTAACATACTTTTAAAAACTATTTTTAAAAATTTAGTATAAAGAAATAACACTTGTCCCTGTAAGAATTTTAAGTGTGCAATTTAGTAGCATTAATTATATTCATAATGTTGTGCAACCATCATTAAGTAAAGGATTCACCCCATGACCAAAATACCTCCCACTAGGCCCACCTCCAACTCTCCATTTCCAAAATTTTTCATCACCTCAAATATTACTGCTTTTTAAAAATTTTCAAGTATATGATGTTTTGTTATTTTATATTTACTATGATGCACAATTAGATCTCTTGAATTTATTCCCCTTATCAGACTGAAATATTATATTCTTCAATCAATATCTTCCCAATCCCTCCGCCCTTAAGCTTCTGGTAAGTATCATTCTGCACTCTGCTTTTATGAGTTCAGTTTTTTAAGATTCCACATATAAATAAGATCAGGCATTATTTGTCTTTCTGTGCCTGGCTTATTGTCCTTAACATAATGTCTTTCGTGTATATTCATGTTGTTGAAAATGAAAAGGTTTTCCTCTTTTTGAAGGCTGAATAATATCCTATTGTGTATACATAACACGTTTTTTATCTATTCATCCATTGATTGATACTTAGGTTAATTTCATGTCTTGGCTATTGTGACGAACCATGAAATAAATATGGGAGTACAGATATCTCTATGACATACTAATTTCATATCATGTAGATATATACTCAGTAGTGGAATTGCTGGATCATATGATAGTTTTATTTTTCTATTTTGAGATAACTCCATAGTGTTTTCCATAGTGGTTGCATCAATTTACACTCCCACTAACAATATACAAGTTGCAGACCCCAAATATCTAAGACAGGTTTCAGTTTATCTAGAAAGGGTATTTTGCCAATGTTGAGGATGCATACTTATGATAGAGCCTCAGGAGGTCCTGACAACGTATGTCCAAGGTGGTCAGGGCACAGCTTGGTTCTATAAATTTTAAGGAGACATGAGACATCAATCAGTGTATGTAAGATGGACATTAGTTTCATCCAGAAAGAACAATTCGAAGCAGGGAGGGTGCTTCCAGGTCACAGGTAGGTAAGAGACAAATGGTTGCATTCTTTTGATTCTGATTAGACTTTCCAATGGAGGTAGTCAGATATGCATTTATGTCAGTGAACAGAGGGAAGACTTTGAATAAAATGGGAGACAGGTATGCCTTAAGCAGTTCCCAGCTTAACTTTTCCTTTTAGTTTAGTGATTAAGGGGCCCCAAGATTTATTTTTCCTTTCACATTTCCCACTTTTCTTTTTAAAATATTTTGGAGAAAGCATTTTAGAAGAAAATGATTCTTTGGTTCAGGTTTCATCTGATCTTTCCTGGCTAGGATGGTTTATTCTTAGATGGGTAGGTCCCAAGTTATTAGGAAAGCTCATTTTTAGCAGGTTGTGAAGTCTCATGTCCTATGAAGGTAAAATAAGGAGAGGAAGTGAGAAATACAACAACAAACAGAAGAACAATCCTGGAAAATGTATGTAGGCCACATTACTCTGAAGTCCATACATCAGTAGGCAGGTATGAAAGTGGCTTATGTACGTAAATAGGTTGCTGTTATTTTCTTCTGAAGTTTAAGTTGTTTAGCTTCAGTTTGCAGGGCTTTAAGAAAGCCCAGCTTAGTTTTCAGTAATTTCAAATTAGAAAAAAATGGGCAAAAAGGAAAAGAAAGAAGAAAAAATTGAAAATACTATTTTGGAGACTTGTAGCCAGGAAATATTAGAATTCACACCAAACTGTAGAAAATAATAAAAATTGAAAAACATCAGCCAAGACTAGTATCTAACATTAGGAGTACTATAGTTTTTGAAACAATTCTCTCTTCAGTTTCCCATTTTTACTAAAGACAAATCATGGTAGAAGAGATTTGCTTTATTATACTTGGCCAGATTATTTGTATAAAGTGAAGAAAGAATAATTATTTTTTCACATAGGCTTTTAAAATTGGCTTTGATGGTACTTTGTTCCATAGAAAGAATCTCAGATAAGGCTTTTTAAAAGCCAATCCCTGGGCCGGGCATGGTGGTTCATGCCTGTAATCCCAGCACTTTGGGAGGCTGAGGTGGGCAGATCACCTGAGGTTAGGAGTTCAAGATCAACCTGGCCAACATGGTGAAACCCTGTCTCTACTAAAAATACAAAAATTATCTGAGGGTGGTGGTGAGTGCCTGTAATCCCAGCTACTTGGGAGGCTGAGACAGGAGAATTGCTTGAACGCAGGAGGCAGTGGTTGCAGTGAGCCAAGATCTCATCTCTGCACTCCAGCCTGGGCAACAGAGCAGGACTCTGTCTCAAAAAAAAAAAAAAAAAAAAAAAAAAGCCAAGCCGTGCCAAGGGTTTGTATCCTCTGACACCTGAGTTGGGTGAATTCCTCCCCTCTTGAGGTACAAAAACAATTTGGGGTTCCTGGCTCTGTCAGAAAGTGAGACATTCTTTACTTGCCACAGGTCAGAAACCTTGTACAAAAACTGTGTGGACAAGGTAGGAAGCCAGTTTTCCCAAGGGGCTTTTATTGGCTCTATAAGTCAAGTTTGATTCCTTAAAGGAAAGCACACCATTCTAGTCAAAGCCTTAGTAGAATAACCAGCTTATCCAATTGTGTCCTGTTACATGTGAAAACAGGTTTTTATTACACTTATGCAAATAAATATATTGCCATAAGTTAATAATACTCAAAAGTTCCCAAATTTTGTAGAAATCAGGTAGAGAGAAACAAATATGCCCCAAAGTTTGTTCATAGGAGTTACTTAATTGTTAAAAGCTGTCAGTGCCTCAAAAGAAAAGTTTCCTTGACTCTGGAAAATAAAACAAAGGATCAGCAACATTTTATGCAAAAAGACAAAAAGATTACTTCAGTCTTATATTATTAGTTAAGTCCATACAGTTAACTCCTATTCTGTTTGATATTCATGAACATTTTGGCTTTCCGTGAGTGCTGAAAATTTTTCCTATATTTTGATGTCACAATCTCCAAAGTTTTCAGAAACCTGCATTCAAGAGCACCTGTTAAAGTTTTATAGCTGATTATAAAACTACCTTTTAAAGACGACCAAAACAAGACAACAATTATCCATCGATGACAAAAAGTTTTAGGGAAGCCATAGTCAAAGACATAGTTGGCAAGGAACTTTGTTACTTCTGTGGCACATGACAATTTAACATAACAATTATAATTATTACTGATAATGTACACTAAGTCATATCAGAATTATATGTTTTCCATAATTTTGGAACACATGTTAATAGCTAATTTATACAAATATAGCCCAAAGAAAGCCAAATACCATTTCATATTTGACAATGCTTCCTGTATAGTTTTTATACCAAATAAGCCAAATATGTCATTTTTGGACTTTAGGGAATCTAATAGCTTAAAGGATTAATTAGGTCAGAAGAAGACATAATTTATAATTTGATTTGGGACAGTTTCCAATATCAAATGTTCAAAACACTTGATATCACAAAATAGGACCACAGGTTATTGTCAAATAATTCATTAATTTAACCAAAGTGAGAACTCAAGGATTTCAAAAAAGGCAAAAACCTTCATTCTTTGAGAGGTGAGACTTAATTTTCCAAGCAATACATTCTAATAAAAACAGCATGAAGCCAATTACATTTGTTTTTGAAAATTTTATAAAGAATATGTACAAATTTAGTCTTGACCATAAGATATAATTCCCATAAGCCTTCTATAATCTTTATAACCTTTAAGAAGGAGTCAGTTAATGCTTCAAGAAAACCTTGTTAATCTGACAAAAGGGCCATATGTTGATTTTGCATCAGTGTGCCTTTGATATTCATGGTTAATTTATAGAGAAACTGAACTTATTTTATCTCTCAAAATTAGTCCTTACACTCTAATATACCCACCTCTTCTGCAGTAGTCCATTGGCCTTGAGGAGTTGAATAGCTTTAATTTCTGGCCCTGTTTCTCATGAACACAGTTTATTTTGATTGGCATCTTCTACCAGGCCTGAGGATGAGGCTTTAATTGTTGTCAGAGTTTAGGACTTAACAGAACTTGGTGTCCCTTTTTAGATCCAGGAGTCAAAGCCCTGTAACTCAATGTCACAAAGACTTTAAAAGCACATACAGAAAAATACACAGATGGAATAATCTTAATTAAAAAATTACCCTCATTTTTTCTAAGCAAACCAATGTTTAATAATAAAGGCATAGAAATTATTTCAATAAACATAAAATCTGTTAGGCCAGGTACCAAAAGGCCAAAGAAAAGACTTTCTGCAGTGCACAGAGTATTGTTAGAAGAAAACATTTCCTTTAGAACTTTAAGGAAGCATTGTTAGTATCAGGCCACAGCAAACAGAACCCAAGAGAAAAAACAAAAACAAAAACAAAAAAACCCTAATATGAGCTGAAAATGAGTTAAAGGAGAGCATTACTATTTTGCTTCTTTTAAAAGGGGAGATAAAACTGAGAACTGTAAGATGTAATAAAAGTTGAAATTTGGGTTAAAAAAATTAAAATATTTTATAATTTATTAAGAGTAAATCAATCCCTTAAGAAAATTTCATTGTTGTTATAAATTCTTTAGTGTATAAGTGTTGTTTGTTTGTTTTAACATCAAACCCAATCTCTAGAAAGACCATTATAATTTCCCTTTACTCACAGGCAGCTTGATCATATAAAAGTTTTTGGTTTTAAAATTTTTTTAAATGAATTCCTTATTGTGACTTACACAGACCATTCATGACATGCTTGGACTTTCTGGTTTGTCCTGAACATTTCTCTTCCTTAAACAAGTAGTCATTTTATTCTAGGACTAAATTTACCATACAACATTCTTTCTCGTATAAAAGTGTTTCTTTTATAAAATTATTTCTTTTTAAGCTTTCTTACAAAAAAAAAAAACTGTTCATTCCTATAACTTTCTTTACATCTCTCTTATTTCCTGGTTCCCTTTACCTTGTTTTATACATAAGCTTTAAATAAGCTTTGAATTAGACAAAATTATTTACCTTTTTGAAAAGATACTTCATTTAGAAAGAATGTTTTCCTACAATATATTTTTATTGGAAAATCCCCAAATAATGAAATATCTATTATTTAATTTAATATAACTTTAAATTCTAAATTATGATACATTTTTCTACAAATATTTATCCCATTACATTTACCTAATTATTTTATTTTAGTCTAAGATTATTTATGAAAACTGCAGTAGTCCTTATTTAAAGTCATGAAACCATCATTGCAAAATTATAACTGAGACAACAAAAATGATCTGTCCTAACTGACTTCATATTGCTTCTAACTTCCAAACTATCATTGTTGATTCCTGGGCATAAGTTGAACTAACCTTTGGAGAAACTTAGTTTATAGGTCAGCTTTGAAACAAAGATGATAACAGTTCTTTTGCAAAACAAACCTCCTTCCTGCCTGTAGACTTGACTGACAAAAGCCACAAGATTAGAAGTTATGGAAATTTTACTAAATAACTTAAGATGTACCTATTTTCATTAAACCAATACCAATGTCTTATTTGTTAACAATTATACAAGCAAAGATCATTTTGTTTTGGGCTGGGTTTATGGTTTTGTGATCCCATGCCAAATTTTGACACCTTATATTATTTGGCAGGGATAAGTATGAAATTGCTTGATCAATAAATGCAAACAAATACGTATGTTGGCAATTCTTAAGACATTTCTAATATTACTTTACCAATAATTTCAAGGCTAGCTCTTTTATTAAAGATTCTGCTTAATCATGTAAACTTGAAAAAACATTTGACTAGTCTTTTTTTCTGGTAAAGTATTTCATTTGAGGGATTTTATTTTTCCTTAAGCCAATTAATTAGATTTCTTTTCTACATCTTCAGTAGTGAAACATTGTGTACACATTATATGAATACATAGACATATTAAGCATACCTATAGAAATACATCTTATAGATTTATAAGACCTCCTTTTTTCCCTATCTTAAACTTGAAAATGTTTGATAGCCTTTTTCATTACCCAGGCAGCTATCAGCTAAGTAGCCCTAAATCTGCATATTGAAGGAAACAACTCTTAGGAGAAAAATCAGATAGCAAAATTCACATCTCAAGGTACAGAGAGAAAATATCTGGTGGTGCTAGAGAGGGATTAAAGATGGATGCCAAATGAAGCATAAAATTATAGAAATCTATCATAGGATTTTATAAGGAGACCAATTTCATTTAGATGGGGACTACCTATTTTCTGAGTTCTGGGGAGAGCCCACACTAACTCCTAGGTCTTCAAAAAGGGAGAATTATTATGAAGCTACACCATGTGATGCTTTTACCATGTACTTAAAAAAAAATTTTTTTAAACAAAGACATTTCTAAGTGTCTAAACTATACTCCTTCTTAAAAACCCAAGAGTAGCCTCTGTTGCAATAACTATTTTAGTCAAAAAATCAGGTAACACAATACAAAAGCACGTAGTTTAAGAGCTGAGACAAACTTGTCTAATTACACTCTTGGGGTTCCAAAAGGAAAAACAGAGGTTTCTCCCCAAAAGAGAGTCTGAAAACTTCTTCATTTTCTTTAAGAAACCTTAGGCTATTACAAACTATTATAGACCCCCCATGCAGCAGAAGATGCAAGCGAAAGGAGAGACATCAGAATTAAATGAAGAAAACAGATTTCAGTCAACTGGGAAGAAAAAAAAATTTGCTCAAAAAAGACAAAAATCCTTGGAGAGGGAGAAAAAAAACCACCATGAAATCCTTTTAAATATAAACACACATACACATAAACAGACACACACACACACACATATCTTGGATGTCAGCTTCTAATTAAGCTGAGTTTTAACCATTGAGCTCCTTTAATTTTTTTTAATCTCATTACCATATTTCAGCTAGGACAAATTGCTACTCTTTCAGAAGTACCAAGTATCAAACCAGAAAGGGCTTGATTTAGGAAACAAACTCAGGCTGTTGTGGTGAAAAAAAGAAGACAGAACCTTAACTATGGAACTGCAGCATGGGGTGACAACCATTGCTCTTTCAATTTGGCCTGGCTAGAAAAAAGGTGACCTTGTTATGTAAATAAAGCCCCGTACATAGTCAAAATCTTTTTTTTTTTTTTTTCCTTTTGCTGGTCATTTTTCTCCCCAGACCATACCACCTTTCCTGTGTGTGGTGCAAGGGGTTGGGAGGTAAGGGGGACAGAATTTAGCCACTTCAGAGGCCTTGTTCCCCATAATTTGGAACTTTCTTTCAGATTTGATAGTCTGATAGCGTTGGTCAAACCCAATGGGAAAAGACTGAAATAACAACAAAAACAGAAACAGACAATCACAACAACAAAAACAATTAAGCAAATCAAACACATGATCGTACAACTTATGTGATTACTGAGTGCTCTAATGCTAAGGAGAAATTAAGACCAGCTGGTTGTTAATCTTAACTTCAGGCAAGACAAACCCCAATTCAGTTACTTACCTAGGGATGGGTCTCAGACTGAAGACTGCTCTCTATCATCCTAGAAGCAGAAAAAAACTCAAACTCATGTTCCCTGTTGGAAGTGAGCTCAAACACCATAGAGAAATTACCTGCCTTCCATCATCATGGAAGCAGGAAAACTTGCCTTCCTTGTGTTGGCAGCAAGTAAAACTCCAGAAAAAGGAGTTGTACTGTAATAAACTTTTTAAATCATGACCACATTTTGGGAGATTAGGGATTCTCTCAAGGGGGTGCTTCCAGGCCTCAGCAAATTTTCCTATTGATTTGAGCCATAAAGATAGCTCAAGTTGATAGCAAGCACAGATAGGCGATTTGTTCAAGGTCAGGGGCACCTCCTCTCAGAATCCCTTTATGGTTACCAAAATGTGAAACCCGAATATCTGAGGCAGGTCTCAGTTAATTTAGAAAGGTTGTTTAGCCAAGGCTGATGATGCATGCCGGTGACACAGCCTCAGGAGGGCCTCACAGCATGCACCCAAGGTGGTCGGGCACAGCTTGGTTTTATATGTTTTAGGGAAATGTGAGGCATCAATCAATATATGTAAGATGTGCATTGGTTACATCCAGAAGGCAGGACAACTGGAAGCAGGAATGGAAGCACTTTCAGGTCAATGGAAGCAACTGGAAGCACTTTCAGGTCACGGATAGGTGAGAGCCAAATGGTTTCATTCTTTTGAGTTTCTGATTAGCCTTTCCAAAGGAGGTAATCAGATACGCATTTATCTCAGTGAGCAGAGGGATGACTTTGAATAGAATGGGAGGCAGGCTTGCTCTAAACAATTTCCAGCTTGACTTTTTTTCTTTACCTTAGTGATATAGGGGCCCAAGATTTATTTTCCTTTCACAATGTTCTCTTTCCTCTGCATCCTTTCCAACACTTACTATCTTTCATGTTTTTGATAATAGTCATTCTAACAAGTGTGAGATGATATATTGTTGTGATTTCAATTTGTATTTCCTTGATGATTAGTGATGTTGAACTTTTAAAATATTCTTGTCCATTAGTATGTCTTCTTTTGAAAAATGTCTATTGACATTCTCTGTCCATGTTTTAATCAGACTATTTGCTTCCTTAGTGGTGTATTTATGATGATCTGAGTTCTCTATATATTTTGGATACTAACCTCTTATCATATGTATGGTTTGCAGATATATTCGTCCATTCCTAGGTTGTCTCTTCACTCTATTGAGTGTTCCTTTGATTGTGTAGAGGCTTTTTAGTTTGATGTAATCCCATTGTCTATTTTTGCTTTTGTTGCCTGTGCTTTAGGGTTCACATCCAAAAAATCATTCCCCAGCTCAATGTCATGGAGCTTTACCTTAATGTATAATGTTGTTGGAAATGTAATTAGGCACGTCACGCGACTCTATGTTTACTTAAAATTCTCACAATTCTGTGGCTTTCCATTATCTTGAAGAAAAGACTGAATTCCTTACTATGGCTTGGAAAAGAACCCTGGCTAATCTAAACTTGCTTGTCTCTGAAGCCTCATTGGCAATTTTTTCTCATATTTTGCCTCTTAATTCAAGCCACCCTTGTGTTTTCAAACTCCTTGACTACACTATTATTTCCTGTATTGAAACTTCACACGTGTTTTAAATCTCTTCCAGAGTGTGTGACTAGGCATGCTTTTATGTTTTTTTTTCTTTTTTTACTGCTGTATTCACAATGCCAAAAAAGCTTCCTGACCCAAAACATGGTAGAAATAAATACGTCAAATTAATGGTTAAATAAATGTTTTTTCTGTTTCTGATATTTCTCTATTTTCTCCCTTTCACTTCAATGTTAACTTGCTAAATCCCACTCATCATGCAATTCTATACTTTCTCTTCTTCAGAAAATCTTTCCCAAACCATGCCTAAAGACATTAGGTTAGTTTTTCTTATTACTAGGTTGGTGCAAAAGTAATTGCAGTTTTTGCAATTATTTAAGGAAAACACAGACTCTTTGGAATCACAGCCTGTGTTTTCCTTCGGATCACTCATTGTGATTACAATGTTAACAGTTTCTTGTCTCTCTTTTCACATCAGATGGACATGTAGCTTCAGAATTCTGTTTCCCTCTTTGCTTCTTTGCTGTCTTGGTCCCCAGTGCCTGCTGTACAGTTTGTCCACTCTAGGATCCCAGAAGTTATTTGTTGAATGAAGGAAAGAATGAATTGAAGACAGAAAAGATTAGATATGGGACGTGTGTAGGCAATGGAGCAGCTCCTGAGATTAAGGGTAATTTCTCCATGGACTCCTTATCTGGTACCTTCAGCTGCAGGCAAAGGCACCCTGGGGTACTTCAAGAAACAGGATGTAAATTGTCTGTGAAAGTGTCATAAACTCTTTGAGGCAGTGAGAATGCCATTTGAAGACGTAATCTTGAGGTTTTAGAGCTCAGATTTTTAAAAAAATTTTCAGTAGAAGATTGGAACAGACCTGGGAAAACTTTTGAAAACATAGACATGAGCTGATTCTGTGGTGGAAAATAATAACCCTTACCTGTTTTAAGTTTGTAAGAGTGTGTGCTTTTTTATTTTAATTTTTTCACTTATTTCTCTCAAATGTTAATCCTCTGAAAATTTTGACATCTAATTCTACAGGAGATGCTGTCTTTGTTAATGTGATGTTACTATTCTGTGCTCTTCATTATCATGACCTTATTGCTCTGAAAGACTCTTGTCCAGGAAAACAAAAGTCCTAGACAACTTTATTATTCATTTTAGGAACTGCATGAAAGGCCTATCAACTCTTCAATTAAAAATATCAAGGGGTTACATCTCAAAACTATGAACTCCTTGTCTCAAATTTCTCACCTTACTATAAACCACCAATCCTAAACAATCACATCATGATCCCTCAGGAAACTCACACACAAAAACAACTTCTCCCATTGACCCAGTTACTTCCAATTTGTATTAACCAAAACATTGAAGATACATAATTACATTTTGGTTTTATAGGTGAAAATAAAAATGCATGTAAATAACCAAGACTATTTTTAGTACCCTTCAGCTAACAACTTGACGATTATAAAGTCATTCACTTATTAAATTTTTTTGAGAAAAGCATAATGTAATAGTAAATATCAAATCATGCTAATCAGAATGTCATGGCCATTTGCCCTTAACCAGTGTAAAATGGGTTTTCATTTGATTATGATGTCAAAAAATATTTTCAGTGTCAACATATTATTACTGAAAGCCTTTGAAAACATTGTTTTACTGTACTTTTAAAAAGTTAATATTTTAAATTATTAAAAGTTAATGTATTTTAAATCATATTCAAGTGGAATAAGAGAGGAAAGTATACTTCCTAATTGTGGCTATGTGGCCATTCATAATGCTGATTATTGAAACATAATTTTCACTTCCCTTTGTGTAGTATTCTAGTAATTAGGCAAGAGACAAATTAAATTTTTATTGCACAAAATTAAATGACTGTCAGTTAATAAATGTTAACTGTGAAATAAATGAATGGAGCAGCAAACTACATATTAACTGCCTAATGCATTGCAACAACAAAGTAAATGCCACTGTCCCTGCTTTCAGAAAAATGTGTGGTATAAATAATGCATCATGATTCCCCTCTCAAGCCCATCATCATTTTCTTACCTTATATACAAGGTATATAAACATAAACAAGAGGTCTAAGACCTTGGATTTTATTCCTATTCTGTCTTTAACTTTCCCCCCAAATTTGAAAAAGTAAATTCACTGTTCAGCCTCCGTGTGTGAAATGAAAAGGTTGGATTAGATAGTTGATTTTCCAGTTGTTTTCTACAGACATTTCAAGGGTACTTTGATATGAGCAGGAATGTGTCTATTAAGAGGAAACTTTTACTACCCACTGCCTCAAATAGAGAAGTTCTGATATTTCTTGTTTTTTTTTAAAAAAATTATTATATTGTACTTCTAAGCTAGCTTTTATTTAACAAAAACATCAGTACATTAAACAAAAACAAACAAAAAAGTATCATCCCATTTTTCTCAAATGCATAGTTTGAAATGTGGCAAAAACAATACACCTCCTATAAGTTCTGTAGTTAAAATAGTTCTCAATAATAATAATAATGACTATAATGTGTTTGTTCAATCTTTATAATGTTTCAGGCAAGTAACTGATTTCATTTTGACAAGAATCCTGAAAGGCAAGTATTATGATATTTTTTTAAAAAAGAAGGAAATTGAATACTAGAGATATTGATTTCCGATTCTCTGTTCCCTGGCATTTTTTAAAAGCTTACTTGTACCAGGCAATCTGCTAGATGTGTTTTGGTGCTATGCTTACAATAGCCCATGTAGCTGTGTACATAGTAAAGCCACAGAACTGGTCCTGGAGTCCAGAGTAGCTGACAGCAAAGCCAACGTTTACCAATGAGAATGATGATAGTAAAACTGCTGCCCCAAGAATAATGAGATAGCTGACCTTGACTTGGAGGGACACTCTTGCAAACACTGCATATGCATACTGTTATGTAAGTTTCACAACAGTATGAGGTAGACTTTTCAATTATCCCTATTTTAAACATAAGGAAGTTGAAGTTTAAATATGTTAAGGAGTTTTCCTCAGAACGTATTAAAAAAAAAGAAAAACAAGACCTAGTGGTAGACATAAGGGCACGCACTAGAAAAAAAAAAAAGTCACCTTAGAGCTGTCATATTGTGTCTCAGGGCCTCTTTGTGGCTTACTCAAAGGAGCAGGAAGCCCCTGCCAGGCCTTATTTGCTGTTCCCAGCAGGTGCTTACAACATGGCAGAGTTTGTGAGCACTTGGTGGGGACAGAGTGTATGGCCTGTCTCCAGCAGATCATAAGCTAATTGCACACAATCATTCCCCTGGACCAGGCCCATTGTGCACTGTTAGAATTCTCCTCTTACAGATTTTCTTAACAAATTGTATTTATATTGATCTTTACCCTGATGACTACTACTAATATGACTTAAAACAAAACAACTGGAGCCTAATAAACTGACTATATCCTACACTTATACATGTTCCATAAAATCTATGGTAGAAAGGCATTCATTCCCATGTCTAATACTTGCCTGTATTTTGAGATTTGACTACATTGTCTTCTGCAATTTGAATTTTCTAGATCCCCTGGGTAAAAATACTTTCGCCTATTACTCTTTCTAATCATATCTATTGTTTGACTTCTTCACATTTTATATATAGTTTGGGTTATTATGGTCTAAACTACCATTTTTTCTCAGGAAACTGTATCTTATATGATACATCAGTAATGAGTTTGGAGACCCAAAATGACTAGACTAACAGTTGAATGAGAAGCATTAAACCCCAAGTGGATTTTACAGGCAAAAATATGTTCTGTTCCTCATTAGTTCTCTACATTTATCAAACCACATTTGCTTTGAATATATTCATAATGCCATGGCACATTTTGTTTTTCTTCTCTGAAATTGGGAGCCAAAACTAAAATTTGCAAGAAAGTATAAAAAAAAATTGTTGAAAAAAATTCGAGTTAGCAAATCTCTGTTACAACAAATACATGCGATTTTTTCTCCGAGTAACACATGGTTTAGACAGGTGTTAGTATTAATAATGACAAGAAATTTGCATATTTTATAAACAAGTTTACATATGTACCACAATACCTAACACTCCATACATAAATTTCCACAGATGCATCCCTCTTGTTAAAATATGTAGAAAACTTTCTAGCAAGTATGCAAAAACATTTCAGCAAGAATGCTTACTGCAGCAAAAGCAGGGGTACCTATTCTCAAGACCTAAAATGCATTGTGAGTTAAACTTCACCTCAGGATCCAAAAGGTCATTGAAAAAAATATTTTTGGGAAATAGAAATTTTTAAAATCTTAAAATATAATACATTGAAAGCAAAATTGGCACACTTTTACTGAAAAAAAAAAAGCTGCTTCAGTGCTGCAGTGATTAAAATCTCATATATCTGTTGTGTTGGGGAGGCATGGATGCAACAACACACTTATATTTCCTTTGTTTGTTTTTGGCCAGCAGCCAGTTAAGGCTGAAACTGTAGCCTGTGGAAATTGGTTGAGTAAATGCAGACAATGAACCAGGTGCAATGGATGAAGATTACAAAGGCCAAAATTATAGAGTTAGTGAGGTGTGCTTCCATTGTTTCAGAAGTAGCATCAATTCCTACTGCAGGAAGGTGGGATGTGAAAAGAAACACCACATCAATCAGGAAGGTGGGATGTGAAAAGAAACACCACATCAATCAAAATAAATTTCCCATATATATGTGTTTTAGAAATATATGCATATTTCCCTTATATATGTGTGTATATCCAGTGCCTATCCATATATCAAGTTTATAGCTGTATTAACAACCACTTAAAGTTTTTTTAATCAAAGGTTTTCGCATTTGTCTTTCATTTTTCTTTTACCACATCTTGCCTACTGATGAATAGATTTTACAAAATATTTTGAAGCCTTCTATAGTGAAACAAAATCAGAAAAGCATACATAAATTTAAACTCTGGGTCACTTAATAAAAGTCTGTCAGTGGAGTCATACACATTTCCTACATCATTACCTACTCTTCTTGTGCATAGTATGAAAATTATCTCTAGATGATGTGATTGACTGAAGATAACATGTATTTTGTCCTCTGAAATTACAACATACTTCAAAAATGGTAGCTTAAATGACCTTTACAAGCAAAATATTGGCATTAACATGGTCTCAAGTGTTCTACAGAAGCAGTGGCTATTTTTGGTTTATGATCTCCTTTTCCCCATCTCTCTGATTATTTATAAAATTTCTGACACTGAGTAAGCAACCCGATACATATTTCCCTGAAAAATGGAAATGATGTGGGTGGGTATTCCTTGACACTAAGGAATGAATATCTTTAAACACTTTCCAAAAAAAATCTCATGTTTCAATACAAATCAATGAAAGGAAAACATAAGGTCAAGTTACTTAGAAATTAATACATTCAAGAAAAGTAATTCTGCATGTTTTGCATGCATATATTGATGTAATAAGCCATTGCTAAAGACCTATTAGCAATTATCAAACCTAACTCGTTCTAATACACCTTCTATTTTGAAAGGTTTTCCAATCACCAAAGGTTTTGCCAGTGATGGTTCTTATAGCCAATACTGACCATCACACTCTGCCACACTTAACAGAGTGGACAAGGAATATTCTCCTACTTTGTTTTAAATTATTGTTTTGAATGTGTGCTTCCACTAGACATAGACTTAGTGGTTTACCTATATTTCAAATGCAAGAATTTCCATGAAATTAAGATTTGCCTTGAACTCAGAGTGACCACAAAGGTGTCAAATGCTCAATGTATATTTTAAACTTCTTAAAATACCACCAACCTCTTTGTTTAATTTGCCATTTCAATGAGCCATTTTTTAAGTTGAGAGATTGGTGGTTTTAGTATTGTAACTAAAAACATGCACCTGCAATGGACTGTGGGTATGTGAATATGCATATCATATACTTAAATTGTAAAACTTAATAAAAATGAGGAAGAAAGGAAAAAAAGTAAGAGTGCATACTGGAATGCTAAATATGGTAAGCAGGAATTCATCCACCTTCCTCCAAGCCATAATGACTATTGCACGCTTCAGGCCCTAAATATCTAGAATTATGTAAAGTCCCTCAGAATTATGTAAAATCCAAGTTATTATGTAAAATTATACCTCCATAATTTCTCTTTACTGCCAGCCATCTCCTCTCCCTACTTCTGGAGTTTTCAGTTATCTGCACCAGCCTCTTGTGCTTAAACTCTATTAATAGATCAAATTCAAGCCTTCCCTTTTATCTACACCACCCCCATAATAGGTGTCCTAAATAAAAATTATCTTTCAAAGGGAGTATCTGAAAAGCAATACATTGTGAACTCCTTTTGGAGAAGAGCACTTGAAACTTCTAAGTGTAGAGTAAGAATGAAGTGCACATGAAAAATAACCTCATTTTTTTCAAGTCTCCGACATTGGAAAACCTGGAAAGAAATGACTGACTCAAAAGAGTACCCTGTCGAAAGTATATGGTCCATCATGTCTAGAAGTATTATTTGTATTTATTTTTCAAAAAAATATTATCTGTTGGCACCACTCTATTCCTGACATATTCATTTAGGATACTGAAATTATGGCAGACTTCATTAATTTTTCTTGTTGTCCTTCAAATACTTCTTAATTAATTCTTCCTCACATTTAAAGGATAATTTCTCTAACTGTGTTAGTCCATTCTTGCATTATTATAATGAAATACCTGAGGTTGGGTAATTTATAAAGAAAAGAAGTTTAATTGTCTCAAGGTTCTGCAGGGTGTACATGGCATGGTACCGACATCTGATTAGCTTCTTCTGAGAGCCTCAGGAAGTTTACAATCATAGCAGAACGTGAAGGGGTAAGCCAGTATATCACATGGTGAGAAAGGTGGAAAGAGAGAGAGAGAAGAGAGAGGAGGCATCACACTCTTTTCAACCACCAGATCTTATGTGACCTCAGAGAGAGAACTCACTCATTTTCATGAGGATGGCACCAAGCTATCTGATATGGTTTGACTCTGTGTCCCCACCCAAATCTCATCTTAAATTATAATCCAAATTGTAATCCCCACATGTTGGAGAAGGTACTTCATGGGAGGTGATTAGATCATGGGAGTGTTCCCCCCCATCAATGCTGTTCTCATTAGTGAGTGAGTGTTCATGAGATCTCGGCCGGGCACAGTGGCTCACACCTGTAATCCCAGCAATTTGGGAGGCTGAGGCAGGCAGATCACCTCAGGTCAGGAGTTTGAGACCAGCCTCAACATGGAGAAACTCCGTCTCTACTAAAAATACAAAATTAGCTGGTCATGATGGTGCATGCCTGTAATCCCAGCTACTTGGGAGGCTGAGGCAGAAGAATTGCTTGAACCTGTGAGGCGGAGGTTGAGGTGAGCCGAGATCACGCCATTGCACTCCAGCCTGGGCAACAAGAGCAAAACTCTGTCTCAAAAAAAAAAAATATATATATATATCAAAATATTGAATTTCTAAATTGCCACTGACTTCTTAGAGTACTCAATCTAGAAAAGCACATTTTAATGAATGTCCTCCCAAATCTCCCAACAGGTGCTCCAAATTCTATAAGTTCCCTTAATATCTCTTATTGGTAATGTACCACGTTTTCCATTATTTTCTGCCTCCTTTAATAAACCAAGCTTAATTAAATTTAACTTTGGACATAGATGTATTCCATATGGTCTTTATCTGATGGGCATTTACAGAGGAATGATTCATATTTCTGCACTATGTATGCTTGGGCACCAAGGTGGTACTCCAGAGACTTCAACAGTAAAGCCCCAGGGCAGAAAGCAAGAGTGCAGCATCAAGAACATGAGGCAAGGGCCTGTCAGGTGTACTTGCATGAATGTTTCTACAGCTCATAAAAAGCACGTCATCACAAGTGTCAGAATGTACCAGGGATTGGGGCAAATAGAAATTCAATGTGAAGTAAGGAATATGAAGTATATCATAAAAGAAGCATCCAAACAAAGCAGGACAAAGCTTAATTCGGAGTACAATGTGAAATGTATTCCTTTAGTCTATAGGAATGTATGTTTCTCAATATATTTTAGAAATATACTAATATTAGTTATTATTGCACAGTGACCATTTCCAAATTACTAGTATTATTATTATCATTATCATTATTATTATTATTAAGATGGAATCTCGCTCTGTCACCCAGGCTGGAGTGCAGTGGTGCGATCTCAGATCACTGCAGCCTCCTTCTACTGGATTCATGTGATTCTCCTGTCTCAGCCTCCCCAGTAGCTGGAATTACAGGTGCGGCCACCACATCTGGCTAATTGTTTTGCATTTTTAGTAGAGATGGGGTTTTGCGATGTTGGCCAGGCTGGTCTGACCTCCTGGACTGAAATGATCCAACCGCCCCGGACTCCCTGTGCTGGGATTACAGGCCTGAGCCACCGTGCCTAGCCTCAAAATTATCAGTATTATTTTTGAATAGCTTGTGAACAAGTTAGGGACACGTGTCAAGTACCATTTATGCACCATTTCTGTATTAAAAATTTACTTAGAAGTAAAGGTAGATATATATCTAGAACCGACTGATCTAGTCTCTGAAACAATCTCTTCATATTGCAAAAATAAATGGAGTTTGATCTGTAAAAAAATGGTCTCTGATTCACTATAATAGCCAGGATGATTCTCAGGAGAAGAGGTGAACATTGAGGTAACTCTTCAGGGCTTTATAAATGATAGTAAATAACAGAGATTGTTCTCCAATGAAACTGGTTGCTAAAGTACTCTGTTAAGATTTGTGTAACACTGTTGTTATGTGAGCTCCAGATATTTCACATTTCCCTTCCATATGTTTCCCTTGAGATGCGTTATGATATTTAAACAAAATAGCCGTCCAGGGATATTGCTCTTTCCTAGCAAAAAAGTAAAATAAAATCATTTTATCCATGATCTTTATGCCCAGGTGGCCATTTTAAAAAAAGTCTCCCCCTATGTCACCATGAACAAAATCATTTCCTATTTCTATTTCAATAAACAGTATTTTTCCTTTTTAATTTTTATCTGCTATAAAATGTTGCAAAACCGGTACAGCCACCAACTCTACGTTTTTTGTTAATATAATATACTTTTTATTAATTTTGAAAGACAGATTTTCTTCAGGTTATATAACATGTAATTGAAGTAAAGATCACATTTAATAATCTCAGATTTGTAAGATCTTTTACTGTCTTCATTCATTCATTCATATTTCCCTTTACTCACTCAGCAAATATTTATTGAACATTTCTGTGCCAGGCACCATGCCAGGTACTTAAAAATAGTCGTAAACATGATACACTCAACCCTTGTTCTCATGAGGTGTATAATTTAATACCATTATGCTTAAGAATCTCATGGTAAATATGAAGAAGGCTTTTAATATTGGGATTGACCTCTAGAAGAAATTGGAAAGCAATTTCAATATTGTCTGGAAGTTCCCATGCATTTTCTTATGCAGATTTACAGAGGTAGGCTGCTATGTTAGGCAAAGCAGGTATTTTCCTTAGATGAAAATCGTAATTTTGTAATAGATACTTCAAAATGATGTTTCGCTACAAGTACTTTGTTTTTTTTTTCACTTGCCAGACACTGAAAAACAAGAGTATATGCAGTTGGAATGCATCTGAAAATAACATGGACATTTCTGGCCAGGCGCGGTGACCCATGCCTGTAATCCCGGCACTTTGGAAGGCTTACGGAGGCAGATCACTTGAGCTCAGGACTTTAAGACCAGCCTGGGTAGCATGGTGAAAACCCGTCTCTACAAAAAATACAAAAATTAGCGAGGGGTAGTGCCGCGCACCTGTAGTCCCATCTACCGGGGAGGCTGAGGCAGGAGAATCGCTTGAGCCTGAAAGGCAGAGGTTGCAGTGAGCAGAGATCGTGCCACTGTACTCTAGCTTGGGAAACAGGGTGAGAGTCTGTTTCAAAAGAAAAAAAGAAAGAAAGAAAATAACATGGAAAGTTCTAATTTTTAATTTTACAACACTCAGTCACTTAATAGTTCATCATGCCCAGAACTTCTTTATGTAAATACTAGCATCACTGTTGTAAGGATACCAGCATTTGATGGAAGCTGATAAGTATGCTGGAGATAAAAGTACCCTCAATATATTTAATACCAAGGTCTGCAAAGAAGAGGCTACTTTTGCCTTTCTTACATTTATGCAAATCCTAATATTGTTAATAAGTACAAACAACAATATTAAGGATATTTTCCATTTGTAATTGTTTTGAAGCAAAATTCTCCAAGTAATTAGTACAATGATTCTGAAAATAGAGACTGTACTTTGAGAAGCAAAGTGATACATACACAAAATGTGGTAGTGTATTTACTGGGGAAATTATTAGATAATTTACAGAAGGAAGGATAGGTAACAAGATACCTCAAATCTATTAATAAATGAAATCCTCAATGTGTATGGTTTTAAATCATATAATGATGAAAGACAAAATAAAGTATTTCAATAATTACTCTGTTTTCCTATGAAGTTCGAGTCATAGCAAATTTTTTGCGCAAGTTTACTTACTGTTGTTTGTTGTGACAGATTCTCTCTTTGACTATAATTTACTCAGGATTTCCTGAGCCTTTTTTTCAACTAGGCCTGACTTTTGGATTTCTGTTATCTGTGTCTGCATTGTCAGATTTTAGCAAGAATCTTGCTAAGTCAGTTCAGCCATCTGAGATATTTGATCACCTTCAATAGCTGATAGGATTCCTCATCCTTCACCATCCCAAAGGTGATGTCTGATCCCCTGGGCCTGCTTCCACAAGAATCCTATTAGGTCTGTTTAGCAAGAATTCCCCATTATCTCTGATGTTTCTTTTTAGCAACTTTCCATCTACTGACCCCCTCCCTGCTCCTTGGCTATAAATTTCAACACCCCCATGTTGTATTCAGGGGCAAGTCCAGTCTCTCATCTCATTACAAGAGCACTTTGCAGTGTTCCCTATACCTATATCAGTGGTCCCCTCTGAATAAAATCTTTCTTAACCTCATTAACAAGCATCATAAATAATTTTTTATTTAACTGTTGTCATTATAGTTCTAAATAAAAATGAAAAAACAAACCCAAAGCATGTTTTCCATATTTCTCTGAAATTTAATGCTTTATAGTATAGAGACAGTAACAGTCTCTAATGTGGTAATCACCATTTTAAAAAATTCATTATTTATGTAGATGTATTTCTTCACATATCTAAGCCTTGTTAAAGTCATTTTATGGTGACAATTTTATTACAAATGTGATAATGATGTATAGAGAAACACACAAGCTGTTAAGTTCCCAAATTTGTTATAATATTTCACTTATAAATTTTTGTCCACACTAATAGTTGCCACATAGCTATATTTTCTTTTGAAAAGTAATACAGAACACTATCAAATGCATTCACATGA
Organism: Homo sapiens; assembly: GCF_000001405.40. Classification (NCBI taxonomy): domain Eukaryota; kingdom Metazoa; phylum Chordata; class Mammalia; order Primates; family Hominidae; genus Homo; species Homo sapiens. Next base: position 29,845,821 of record NC_000004.12, on the reverse strand, counting down.
TAATAGTAGGACATGTAATGATATATATCTTTAATAGAAAACAGAGCAGTGATTTCCAGGTGTCAAAAGTGACAGGAGGTTTTGACTATAAAGGAGCATCATTAGATAACTTTTTGGGTGAAGTAATTGTTTTGTATCCTACTGTGGTGATTATTACTGATTTATTTTTTTTTTTTTTGAGATGGTGTCTTCCTCTGTCACCCAGGCTGGAGTCAATGGTGCGATCTCGGCTCACTGCAACCTCAGCCTCCCAGGTTCAAGCAATTCTCCTGCCTCAGCCTCTTGAATACCTGGAATTACAGGTGCCCGCCGCCATGCCTGGCCATTTTTGTATTTTTAGTAGCGACAGCGTTTTATCATGTTGGCCTAGCTGGTCTCGAACTCCTGACCTCAGGTGATCCGCCTGCCTTGGCCTCCCAAAGCGCTGAGATCACAGGCGTAAGCCATTGCAGCCAGCCTGATTACATAATTCTATGTATTTCTCAGAACTCCCCAAACTGTGAATTCCAAAATGCAAATGTTGCTATATGTAAAATAAAATATAAAATAGATTTAACTGGGCTTATTCTATAGGCCATTCATGTATATGAAAGATTTTTTACCTGAAAAAAATTCATTTTCTACAGTCTACTGTTTATATGTTTTGAAGAGTTTTATTTTTATATTTCAGATTGTGTTTAGTTTGTGGGAAATTTTTAAAAATTATAATTTAAGAATACTTTTCTTATTTGTTTTCTGAGAAATTGGTAACATTTCTAAAGAATTCAATAGAATAATTCAGTAGGAGAATTAACAAAGTTGACTAATTTTTATGTCTCCAGAAGCTCCAATAGCCTTCTATTTGTAAATTTGGACAGGCTGTTCTATAAAATAGAATTTTCCAGCATTTGATATAGTGTTTTGCTTCTTCTTCTTTTCTTTTTTTTTTGAGACGGAGTCTGGCTTTGTCGCCCAGGCTGGAGAGCAGTGGCGCGATCTCTGCTCACTGCGAGCTCCGCCTCCCGGGTTCATGCCATTCTCCTGCCTCAGCCTCCTGAGTAGCTGGGACTACAGGCGCCCGCCACCACGCCCGGCTAATTTATTTGTATTTTTAGGAGAGACGGGGTTTCACTGTGTTAGCCAGGACGGTCTCGATCTCCTGACCCTGTGATCCGCCCACCTCGGCCTCCCAAAGTGCTGGGATTACAGGCTTGAGCCACCGTGCCCGGCCGTATTTTTTAGTGGAGACGGGGTTTCAAGGTGTTAGCCAGGATGGTCTCCATCTCCTGACCTCATGATCAGCCCGCCTGGGCCTCCTAAAGTGCTGGGATTACAGGCCACGCCGGGCCACTTCTTCTTTTCTTAAATTCCCTGACTGCAAAAACACCGCTAATTTAGACAAGAAATAAAACGCCATCAAGATTTCCTCACTCTAATAGCATTTTCAGTGACATTCCAAGTTTTAACTCCTACTTTTTTCCTGTAACTTTTATTCAATAATGACTCATCACTGATTTGCCAGTCATTCTGCCTGGTGATAAGGAAATTAAAAGCTTACTAAGAGATGGTCCCAGCTCTTAAGCAGCTTACAGTTTAGAGGAGAGAATTCTGAAAAATAAAATCACCGAATCTTAATGCTTATGGGCCGTAATAGTTGTTTTATAAAAGCAGGTGATAAGCAGAGGTACACCTAATAATTTTTGAACTTTTATATTGACTCTGAAAGGATCATCAAGAGGAAAAGGTTTAAACTCCAATATCATTACATTGTTGGATAAAACCAAAAGGTCTCAAATCTGAGTGTGGTTGGATTTGTCACCACACATTCTCAGGGAAAAGATTTTTTCCTCTCCCAACACTTAAAGTGACTTTCTTCCATAGTGGAAAGATGGTTTGGCTGGTTTATTCCTTTTTCTCCCCACTGTTTTTGGAAGTATCAAACCCTAGGGCCCTGCTCTGTGGCAACATCTTCAACTCAACATCTACTTGTGTAGGTACTATTCTTTGCTTTCTCTTTTATTACCACAAAAGGCAGTCAAACTGAAGATCTTTATTTCATTTTGTGATGAGTGGTTTTAAGTCCCATTTAAAAAATCTTTGCCTACTCAAATATTTTAGTTTTCTCCCAGAAGATTTTTCATTTCTTCTCAAAGCTTTGAAATTGAAGAAGCTTTTACTTTTCAATTAGCTTTATGATTTAAAACCTTTGTGTTTTTGGCTTAAAACTTATGTGTTTTTGTTTTTGCTGTAACAAAACCAGATTGATCTAGCACATCTGTCTAGCACAATTTATTAAAAACGAAAACAAAAACATTCTCCTCTCATGAAATTGCACTGATGTGTTTTTCACATAGCAAGTTTATACATATGTGTATTTATACTCATTGACTCTTTATTGTGTATTACTGGTGTGTTTGCTTTCATTATTCCCATAACAGTGTCATGAAATTACATTGTAATACATTTTAAAACGCAATGCATGACCTCCAAATTTGTTCTTTTTCTTCCAGATTATCTTGATTAATATATATCCTATTTGTTTTCATATGAATTTTAGATACCCATTTTAAATTTCTACTAAAATATTTTGAGTTCTTGATTAGGATTCTATCAATTGTATGAAGGATTTTGCCAAGAATTGGCATCTTGACAATATTGAGTCTTCATATTAATGAACATGGTATATCTCTCTATTAATCTAGGTCATCTTTAATTTCTCTAAGTAATATGTTCTACTTTCATTGTAGTTATTCCATATTTTTCTTAGACTTTGTTTCTACTTATTCATTGTTTTGGGTACTATTGAAAGTGGTATTTTTAAAATTCCATTTTCAATATTTGTTTATTGCAAGTATTTGTAGGTTAAATTGGTACTTATCTGTTGATCTTTTAACAAATGACATTGTTAAATATACATATTAATTGTTATAGTGTGTTTGTATAATGCACTAAATTTTCCATATAGACAGTTACACAATTAATGAGTAAAGAGAGTTCTACCACTTTCATCGAATGTCTTTATTTGAAGGAGGAGGAGAGTGGGGAAGTTGTCTTATTGTATTGTATCAAATTTTTAGTACTATGTTGAATACCTGTGGTGGGAGTGCAAATGCTTCTCTTATTTCCAAATTTAGTTGAAATAACTAAATACTTAACTGTAAATACAATAATTATATGTTAATTTTTGTAGATATCTTTACTTTGATTAAGAAATTACCATTCTCTGTGTATTTGTTGAGTGTTTTTTGCCAAGAAGACATATCAAATTTTAACAAAATCTTTTGTCTCCATTATTCTGTTAATGTAGTGAATTAAAGTGATTTATTTTTGAATGTTAAACTAGTCTTAGATCACTGGAATAAATTTGCCATGGTTGTGAAATACTAATCTTTTTATTATATTGCTATTTCGCCCCTAATTTCTAAGATCTTGCTTAGTCTTTATGTATCTAAGTTTATGCGAATTCCTTATAATACCTTAGTACTTACATTACAGTTTTCTTGAAACTCTCAGAGCCTTGACATAAAACGACCACAAAAGAATATCTTTAATTCTTTTCTTATTTTGTTGTATGGCCTAGAATTTAAAGGAAAAAAAGGAAAAAACAAAGGAGATGATGAGTATAATTACTCACCAACTTAAGGTGTTACGTTTAATTAGGTCTTTTTGGCAGTACATAAGGAGAAACTCATCTCCTGCAGTCTGTGAGCAGAAAACATGTAAAACTTACTCATAAGCATGTCCTAGCTCTATAAATGTTTACATTCAAAACCCAAGAAACTCTGATATACCAAGGTTGGAGACCTTTTTGAGAAGGGTTGCCGAGACTGGAAATTTGGACATCTGGATAGATGCACATAAATACTTTAAAATTTCAGATTCCTCTGAAGCCTGTGGCTTCGCATTTTTCTTCTTAAAGGATAACCATCTCCCCTTCACTGAGGGTGATGTAGAAGGCTCTGACATTTTTACTCAAATTTTGTTTTAAGTTTAGGGGTACATGTGCAGGTTTGTTATATAGGTAAACTCACGTCATGGGAATTTGTTGTACAGATTACTTTATTATCCAGGTATTAGGACTAGTATCCATTATTTATTCGTCCTGATTTTCTCTCTCTCCTCCTACCCACCACCCTCAGGTAGGCCCCAGTTATCTGTTGTTCCCCTTTATGTTTCCAAGTGTTCTCATCATTCAGCTCTCACTTGTAAGTGAGAACATGCAGTTTTTGGTTTTCTGTTCCTGTGTTAGTTTTCTAAGGATAATAATGTCTCTGATTTTTAAGGGAAGCCTACACTGAAAATTATGTTCATGTATCCTCCTGGAAATGAAACCAATACTAGGGTCAAGTCATAAATCAACCCAGTTATTTATATGCTGGGTTATATATGAAAGGAGCTACAGGACCTAGCAGAGAGAAGCTGGACAAATAAGCGTGATTCTTTTTTCTGAGTGTGCTGAATCAAAAGTGGACTGGGAAACATAAAGTTTGATAAAGATGAATTAGAAATAATGGAACTCTGTCTCCTCTGTCAAATTTAACAGCTTGGTGAAAACTCTGAGACACCTTGTTAAAGTATTGCTAATATATACTTGGAATTTTGGAGAAAGCAAAGAATGTGTGAGTGAGGTTAAATACAAGGACTGCTATCAAAGAAGGTAACAGGGAACAAAAGCTTTGGATAACTGGCTATATGATATGAAAGGTATAAATATCCTTCAGCTGTCTGTATTCAGTGGAAGGGACCAGACAGAAGTGAAATGAAATGCACTGCTTGAGAGAGAGGTCAGCATTAATGAGACAGTGGTGGTTCTCCCCTGTTGGCCAGGGCTGATGGTAGGAAACACCATTACAAATCTGGGCTCCTAATAGCATTGGAGCTAATAGGATCCTAAACTAATGAAGTCCAGGTGGTGGCAATTAACCACAATTACACAACTTTTTTAATAAACAGAAAGATTGAATTTGCGGCCAAAGAGTCCTAACCTGCAAAGAGACTTGGAGATGGTAAACAGAACACAATATAACTAGATGCCAAATGAATAGGCAGCCAACAAAGGCTGATTAAAAAGAATCACAACATATCAAGGATGAATTATAAGGATGATGAAGAAAAGGCGTCCTATTACACGTTAAAATATATTGTCCAGTTCCCAGAATTGATCTGGTTATCAGTCTCAGAATCCATCGACTGAAGAAGAAATCAGCTCTCCAAGAAAATCCCTGAATTGCCCAAATATATGTATACCTGGATGATTTCCCCAGTCTACTTAAAAAAAGTCTATAGCCATTTATTAAGGTAACCAAATGCAGGGTAAAGAGCAATGCCCAGATAGTTTGAGGAAATGGGGTCTGAGTTATTGATATCAGGGTATTTAAAGTGTCATTATGACTCTCATGTTAGATTGGGGTGGGTAGTGGGAGAGGAGGAGGTGCTGGTAAGGTAATAAACAAATACCCACCAACATTTGGCTTGCAACAGATCCTCTGGGTCAATGGCCAATATGGCAAGATTTTCTTTATTCTGAATATTTGAATGGGTATATTTGGTACTTGGTAGAAAATTTCCATTAGTTTCTTGGCCTGTGATGTAAAAAGTATTGTAGTAAGACAGGCTCTAGAATTGTCCTCTCCCACTCCAGCTGCAATAGCAAATAAAATTGATTTGTGTTGTATCTCACAAAGATTATACACTAGTCTATGTTTTGCTGAGATGTTCAAATCTGTCCTTCACCCTCATTGCTGGAGATGCTGGGAGCATCCTTTGGATATCAAAGGATGGCTTACAGTTTAATCTTCCTCTAGGAATTGTTCCTAGCAAAAGGGATTTTCCTTTGTTAGGTGTAGCATACAGACAATGGCTGTTCAATGAATCTGGATCTTTAGGTCAGTCAGGGTGATTATAAAGGTCTATGTTCCTTTTGAGATTAGCTGAGGCCTTTGCTACAAATGAATCTCAGTTTAACCTCCTATTTGCCAAATACATTCCCCTCTTTCTCACATGTAATAATCTGCAAAGTTCTCCCTAAGAAACTTTCCATATGCCACTCTTCATCTCAGATTCCCTTCCTTTTGAGATTAGCTGAGGCCTTTGCTACAAATGAATCTCAGTTTCACCTCCCATTTGCCAAATACATTCCCCTCTTTCTCACATGTAATAATCTGCAAAGTTCTCCCTAAGAAACTTTCCATATGCCACTCTTCATCTCAGATTCCCTTCCTCGTCTTCTGTGAATCCATTTTCAGATAGGCTGGGCAATATTATTTTGCATAACTTTTATTTTTTTTTCTGTTCTTTTATTATATTCTTATCTATGCTTCTGGTTGGGTGTTTTTAATTTACCTGCCTGTGAGGTCACAACCCTGTACTTTACTATGTCTGTCTGTTGTTAAACCTATTGAAGGAATTCTTAATTTTAAAAATTACAGTTTTTATCTTCTTCAATGTCCATTTTATTATTTCATGTTAAATTATAATCTCCATTGAATTTGTTTCACCACTTATTTCATTATTATCTCTATATTTTCTTTATTATTTTTACAGTTATTTTGAAGTTTTCTGCTAACCTCAACATCTGTATTATAAGTTGACCTGCTCCAGGCCGGGTGCGGTGGCTCATGCCTGTAGTCCCAGCACTTTGGGAGGACAAGGCAGGTGGATCTCAAGGTCAGGAGATCGAGACCATCCCAGCTAACACGGTGAAACTCCGTCTCTACTAAATATACAAAAAATTAGCCGGGCGTGATGGCGGGCGCCTGTAGTCCCAGCTACTCGGGAGGCTGAGGCAGGAGAACGGCGTAAACCTATGAGGCAGAGCTTGCAGTGAGCTGAGATCGTGCCACTGCACTCCAGCCTGGGTGACAGAGCAAGACCCCGTCTCAAAAAAAAAAAAAAAAAGGAAACTATAATCCATTCTCAAGAGAAAGAAGAAAGAACAATAGTCACCCAATAGTCACCCTATATTGACTTAACTGTTGGGATTGGCAGACAAATAATTTTGGTGCATTTGTTATAGCTATATTCAATGACATACAAAAATATAATCATAATGAAAAAATAGAAAATTTCATCAGTGGAGTACAAATGCTAAAACATAATCACATGTAAATTTTAAAACTGAAAATATAATATCAGACATTAAAGAAAACTACTAGATAGATTAAAAGCAGGACTGACATGAAAGAGGAGAGTCAATTAACTTAAAAATAGTTATCTTCATAGTATCTAATCTGAAGAATTAAGAAGAAAAGATGAGAAAAAATAAAGATAAACACAGAAATTCATGTCTCTATCAAAATATCTAGCATATGTTTAACTGGAGTCCTAAAAATAAAGGATACAGAAAACAGGCAATAGAAATATTTCTAATAATAGTTGTCACAATTTCTCCCAAGTTGATAAGATATATAAATGTATAGATTTATGAAGAAAAGCAAACCTCAAGCAGGATAAATAAGAGAAAATCATGGCTAGGTACCTTGTCAACAAGTTACCAATAAAAAAGGTTAAAGGAAAATTGAAAGCAACCAAAGCAAGCAAACCAAACAATCAATGAATCAACCGCTAAAATAGAAAGAAAACTGACTACTAATCAGAAAAATTAAAGCTTTAGGCCATAAAATAGTTAAACATCTTCAAACAGCTAAAATAATTATTCAAACAGCTGAAACTTTTATTACAGAATAAATAAAAACATTTTCAAAATGAAATGGAACAAAATAAAAACATTTAGACAAAATAACATATACACATTTTCAGATAAAAGAAAACTGAGAGTTCTTTGCCAAAAGACACGCACTACAACAAATGGCAAATGAATTTCTTCAAGCTGAAGGGAAATACTAGCAGTTTAAAACTCACGTCTTCAGGAAGAAATCTAAATATTGGAAATAATAAATATCTCTGCTATGGTTTGACTGTATTTTCCAAAATGCTTGTATTTGAACTTAGTAAAAATATGATAACATTAAAAGATGTGGCTTTTAAGAAATGATTAAGTCAAGAAGGTTGACCTCTTCTGGATGGGATTAGGGGCCTTATAAAATGACTTGAGAGAGGGGATTCTCTAACTTCTACTCTTATACCATGTGAGAACACAGCTTTCTTCCCATTTTCCTTTCCCTTCTATTTCTTTCACCTTATGATAATGTAGAAAAAGGCCTTCACTAGACGTGAAACCTGCTCACACCTTGACCTTGGATTTTCAGCTTCCATAACCATGAGAAATACATGTCTATTGTTCACAAATTACATAGTCTGTGGTACTCTGACACAGCAGACCAAATGAACCCACACAATCTGGATACATCTAAAATGTTTTCTAGCTCTAAATCTCTAAAAATTCCTATGATTGTTTAAAGGAAAGCTATAGTGCTGTCTCGTGTAATTTTATACATAGACGATTTTAGCATAAAAGATTGAGAATGGATTAATGGGCATACTAAATTGTAAGCTTTCATGATGCTATCTAAAGTGGTACAACATCTTTATACAGACTATGGAATACTGTTACTGTAATATCTATAATAATCACTAAATAAAATGCAAAGAGGTACAGCAAAAATAAAACAATAGATTTATGTATGGGTTTTCTGTTCTGTTCCATAGGTCTGTGTGTTTGTTTTTATGCCAGTTCCATGCTATTTTTGTTATTATCACTTGGTAGTATAAAGTAATGCATAGCTTAGCGACTGGAAAAAAATCTGATAAGTGTATCATTGGCAAATTCATTGTTGTGCAAACATCAGAGAGTGTTAAACATAGATACTATAGTCTAGCATACTCCTGGGGTATATGGCATAGCTCATTTGCTCCTAGGCTATAAACCTGTACAGCATGTTACTGTAGTGAATACTGTAGGAGATTATAACACATGGTATTTGTGTATCTAAACATTTAAGTGGTACAGTAAAAATACGATATCATAATATTATGGAACCGTAATCATATATGCAGTCCATCATTGACTGAAACATGTTTATATAATGTATGATTGCCAGTGCATGCAATGCATGGCTGTCTACTGTTTTTGGTATGAGAAGAAAAAGGATAGGGGGAGAATTACTGATGGCATGTAAGCCATATGGTTGTTTATTAATTTATTTATTCTCTGATTAAAGGTAGTGTTTAAGTTTCCTATATTCTGGTCAAAAATCCCAAAAGGAGGGAGGATATTCCAGGCAACAGTAGTTATCTTGGCACTAAAATGTTTTCTCCATTCGCTGAGTTCTCAGTTCACAGTCAGGTACTCAGAAGACATTTTCACAAGCTCCATGTTTTTGGTCTGCACACCGAATTTAGGGATTTCAATGGAAAAGCAAAGAAAATATATATATATATATTTAAATGTATATTTATATATGTATATATATTTTATGTATATTTATATATACAAGTATATATATTACATGTAATAGAAAGATCATCAAAAGTCTTTTTGGAACCATTCCACTCTCTACTTGTATGAGTTTAACTTTTTTAGATTTGACATTTAAGTGAGATTATGTGGTATTTGTTTTTCTGTGCCTGGTTTCTGTCACTTAACATAATGCCCTCCAGGTTCATCTATGTCGTTCATGTTGGCACAGGAATACATCAAACTACGAAGCTTCTGCACAGCCAAGAAAAATAACAACAGAGTGAAGTGAAAACATAAGGAATGGGAAAATATATTTGCATACTATACATCTGATAAAGAGTTAATCTGAAAAATATGTAAGGAACGCAAACAACTCATTATTTAAAAAATCTAGTTAAAACCTGGGCAGAGAATTTGAATAAACATTTTTCAAAAGAAGACATACAATTTTCTCCCATTTTGTAGGTTGCCTGTTCACTCTGATGGTAGTTTCTTTTGCTGTGCAGAAGCTCTTTAGTTTAATTAGATCCCATTTGTCAATTTTGGCTTTTGTTGCCATTGCTTTTGGTGTTTTAGACATGAAGTCCTTGCCCATGCCTATGTCCTGAATGGTAATGCCTAGGTTTTCTTCTAGGGTTTTTATGGTTTTAGGCATCTGACAAAGGGCTAATATCCAGAATCTACAGTGAATTCAAACAAATTTACAAGAAAAAAACAAACAACCCCATCAAAAACTGGGCGAAGGACATGAACAGACACTTCTCAAGACATTTATGCAGTCAAAAAACACATGAAAAAATGCTCACCATCACGGGCCATCAGAGAAATGCAAATCAATACCACAATGAGATACCATCTCACACCAGTTAGAATGGCAATCATTAAAAAGTCAGGAAACAACAAGTGCTGGAGAGGATGTGGAGAATTAGGAACACTTTTACACTGTTGGTGGGACTGTAAACTAGTTCAACCATTGTGGAAGTCAGTGTGGCGATTCCTCAGGGTTCTAGAAATAGAAACACCATTTGACCCAGCCATCCCATTACTGGGTATATACCCAAAGGACTATAAATCATGCTGCTATAAAGACACATGCACACGTATGTTTATTGTGGCTCTATTCACAATAGCAAAGACTTGGAACCAACCCAAATGTCCAACAATGATAGACTGGATTAAGAAAATGTGGCACATATAAACCATGGAATATTATGCAGCCATAAAAAATGATGAATTCATGTCCGTTGTAGGGACATGGATGAAATTGGAAATCATCATTCTCACTAAACTATCGTAAGAACAAAAAACCAAACACCGCATATTCTCACTCATAGGTGGGAATTGAACAGTGAGAACACATGGACACAGGAAGGGGAATATCACACTCTGGGGACTGTTGTGGGGTGGGGGGAGGGGGGAGGGATATCATTAGGAGATATACCTAATGCTAAATGACCAGTTAATGGGTGCAGCACACCAGCATGGCACATGTATACATATGTAACTAACCTGCACATTGTGCACATGTACCCTAAAACTTAAAGTATAATAATAATAAAATAAAATAAAATGAAATAATAATAAAATAAAAAAAGAAGACATATAAATGGCCAGAAAGTGTATGTAAAAATGCTCACTTTCACTAATTATCAGGGAAGTTCAAATTAAAACCACAATGAAATATCACCTAACACGTGTTGGAATGGCTATTACTAAAAAGACAAAACATAAGTGTTGGAAAGGATATGGAGAAAAGGGGACCATTACATACTGTTGATAGGAATATAAATTAGTACAGCCACTATGGAAAGCACTCAAAAAATAAATGTAAAACTACCATATGATTTAGCAATCCCATTGCTGGGTATATATCCAGAGGAAATGAAATCAGTATGTCTAAGAGATATCTGCACACCCATGCTCATTGCAGCATTATTTACAGTAGCTAAAATATGGGCTCAATCAAATTGTCCATCAACTGATGAATTCATAAATAAAATATGGCATATACACAATGAAATACCATTCAGTCTTTAAAAAGAGGAAAATTCTGTTAATTATGCTAACATGAACAATATGGATAAACTTTGAGGGCATTATGTTAAGTGATAGAAACCAGGCATAGTAAATAAATATCACATAATCTCACTTATATGTCAAATATCAAAAAGTTTAAGTCATACAAGTGGAGAGTAGAATGGTTCCAAAAAGACTTTTGATGATTTTCCTATTATATGTAATGCAAGTAACTTACTGGAGCACTGTAAATGTATTTTAATACTAATTTATAGTTTTTTGACCAATCTTATAAATCTTCTAATAAACTCTATTATATAAAAAACTTATTACACTAAAAGCCCAGACTCCACCACTAGGGAATATATTCATGTAATAAAACTGTACTTGTAGTCTCTAAATTGATACAAATTTTTAAAAGAACCCTGCTATTCAAACTAACAATATTTCAGAAGTAAAATAGACAGAAGTATAAAGAAAAACATCAAAGATGATTGAATTGATAGAATATACCAAAAAACTATTAATGAGTTTTCCACTCTTTTAAGTTGCTAGAATCTCTATATTTTGTCAACACACATATTAATAAAATTAAAATAATCATTTTGGGTAAATAGGGTGATATCATCTTTAAATGAAGAAGATGAAGGTAAACATTTGTTGGAAAAGTGAATGTTTTTGCCAGAATATCTTTTAGTTAATATATAGCTCTCAAGACAACCATATCTAAGCCTTCCTTGCAGAAATACTTTTTATTAGTTATTATTTATTTTTAATTGTTTTAGGTACACAGTAAGTGTATATATTTATAGAGTCCATGAGATATTTTGATACAAGCATACAGTGTGTAATAATCACATCAGGGTAAATGAGTTTCCATCAACTCAACCATTTATCCTTTGTGTTACAAACAATCTAATTATACTATTTTAGCTATTTTTAAAAGAACAATAAATTATTGCTGACTGTACCCATCCTCTGTGCTATCAAATAATATATCTTATTTATTACATCTAATTGTATGTTAGTATCCCTTAGCTAATCCAACTCCCCACCCCCAATTCCCTTCTCAGCCTCTGATAATCCTCATTCTCCTTTTATCTCTATGAATTCAATTGTATAATTTTGAGCTCCCACACATAAGTGAGAACATGTAAAGTTTGCCTTTCTGTACTGGCTTATTTCACTTAACATAATTACCTCCAGTTTCACCCTTGTTGTTGCAAATAACAGAATCTCATTCTCTTTATGGCTCAGGAGTACTCCATTGTGCATATGTACCACATTTTCTTTATCCATTTGTCTGATGATGGACACTTAAGTGTCTTTCAAATCTTGGCTATGGTGAACAGTGCTGAAGTAAATATGAGAGTGCAGATATCTCTTCAATAATCTGAATTGTATTCTTTGGGCATATACCTAGCAATGGGATTGCTGGATCATATGGTAATTCTATTTTTGCTTTTTTGAAGAACCTCCAAACTGTTGTCCGTAGTGGCTTTAACAGTTTACATTCCCACTAAAAGTGTGCAATTGTTGCCTTTTCTTCATGCATTCACCAGCATTTGTTATTGTCTAACTTTTGGATAAAAGCCATTTTAATTTGGGTGAGATAATACTTAATTTTAGTTTTGATTTGCATTTCTCTGATGACCAATAATGTGACTACCTTTTCATATGCCTGTTTGGCATTCATATATCTTCTTTTGAGAAACATTTATTCAAATCAATTGCCCATTTTTCGACAGAATGATTAGACTTTTCCTATAGAATCCTTTGAGCTCCTTATATATTTTGGTTACGAATCCCTTGTCATGTGGGTAGTTTGCAAATATTTTCTCCCATTCTGTGAGTTGACTGTCTCCTCTGTTGATTGTTTCTGACGCTGTGCAGAAGCTTTTTAACGTGAAGTGATCCCATTTTTCCATTTTTGCTTTGTTGCCTGTGCTTTTGGGGTATTACGCAAGTAATCTTTGTCCCGTCCAATGTCCTGGAGATTTTTCTCAAAGTATTTTTTTTAGTAGTTTCATAGTTTGATGTCTTAGATGTAAGTCTTTTATCTATTTTGACTAGATTTTTGTATATGAAAAGAGACAGAGATCTAGTTTCATTCTTTTGCATAGGGGCACCCAGTTTTTCCAGCACCATTTATTGAAGACACTGTTCTTTCTCCAATGTGTGTTCTTGGAACCTTTATTAAAAATAAGTTCACATTAGACATATGGTTTTTTTGTGGTTTCTTCTTTTTATTCAACTGGTCTGTGTCTGTTTTTATGCCAATAACATGCTGTTTTTGTTACTAGAGCCCTGTAGTAAATTTGAAGTCAGGTAATGAAATTCCTCTAGTTTTGCCCTTTTTGCTCAGGATAGCTTTGGCCATTCTGGGTTTCTTGCGACTCCATATAAATTTTAGAATGTTTTTTCTATTTCTGTGAATGATATTATTGGTATTTTTATAAGGATTACATTGACAATGTAGATTGTTTTGGGTAGTATTGACATTTTAACAATCTTGATTTTTCCAATCTGTAACCATGACCGATCTTTCCATTTTTTGGTGTCCTCTTCAATTTATTTCATTGAGGTTTTATAGTTTCCATTGTAGAGATCTTTCATTTCTTTGGTTAATTACTAGGCATTTTATTTTACTTGTACCTATTGTGAATAGGATTACTTTTAAACTTTTTTGCAGATTGTCCACTGTTGGCATATAGAAATGCTACTAATTGTGTAGGTTAATTTAGAATCCTGCAACTTTGCTGAATGTATTAATTAGTTCTAATAGTTTTTCGATCAAGTCTTTAGGTTTTTCAAAATATAAGATCATATCATCTGCAAACAAGAATAATTTTACTGTTTCATTTTCAATGGATTCCCTTTATTTCTTTTTTTTCTATCTGATTGCTTTAGCTAGCACTTCTAGTTCTATGTCAAATAACAGTGGTGAAAGTTGGAATCCTTATTGTGTTTCAGATATTAGAGGAAAGGCTTTCAGGTTTTCTCCTTTCATTCTGATATTAGCTGTTGGTCTGTTGCATTTGGCTTTTATTGTGCTGAGGTATCTTCCTTCTATACCCTATTTTTAAATGAGTTTTTAAATCATGAAGGGATGTTGAATTTTATCAAATGTATTTTTAGCATCTGAAAAGCAAGAGAAGTTTTGGAAACTATACAGTGATTTTGAAACTGTACCGTGGTTTGTTCTTGATTTTCTAATTCTTTAAAATCAATTGAAATGATCACAAGGTTTTTGTTCTTCATTCTGTTGCTATCACATTGATTTGCTTGCATATGTTGAATCATCCTTGTATCCCTGAGATAAATTCCACTTGGTCATGATGAGTGAACTTTCTAATGTGTTGTTGAATTCCATTTGCTAATATTTTGTTAACAATTTTACCAACAATGTTCATCAGGGATATTGGCCTGTAGTTTTCTTTTCTTTTCTTTCTTTATTTTCTTTTTTTTTTTTTTTTTTTTGATATATCTTTGTCTGGTTTTAGTATCAGAGTAATACTGGCCTTGTAGAATGAATTTGGAAGTATTTCCTCATTTATTTTTTGGTAATACTTTGAGTAGGATTGGTATTAGTTCTTCTTTCAATGTTTGGTAAAATTCAGCCGTGAAGCCATGGGGTCCACGGCTTTATTTTTTTGCTGCAGGACTTCTTACTATGCTTTCAATCTCATTACTTGTTATTGGTCTGTTAAGGTTTTGTGTTTCCTCATAGTTCAATCTTAGTCAGTTTCTATGTGTCAAGGAATTTATTTATTCTAGGTTTTCCAATTTATTGGCATATAGTTTCTCATGGTAACCTTTAATGGTCTTTTGAATTTCCATGGTATCAATTGTAATGTATCATTTTTCATGTCTGACTTTATGTAATTCAAATGTCTCTATTAATTTTTATTTTTAGTTAGTCTGGCTAAAAGTTTTTCTATTTTGTTTATCTTTGCTTCATTGATATTTTGTATTGTTTTCTTTGTTTTAATTTCATTTATTTCTGCTCTGATCTTTATTATTTGTTTTCTTCTACTAATTTTGGGTTTAGTTTGTTCTTGCTTTTCTAATTCTTTAAAATGCATCATAAAGTTGTTCAATTGAAGTTTTTCTACTTTTTTTGATATAGGCGCTTATAGCTATAAACTTTACTCTTAGTTCTGCCTTCACTGTATCCCATAGGTGTAGGTGTGTTTTGTTTCCATTATCATTTGTTCAAAATATAATTTCCTTCTCAGTTTTTTTATTGACCCACTGGTTATTCATGAGCCTATTGTTTAATTTCCATGTGTTTGCATATTTTCCAAAATTCCTCTTGTTACTGATTTCTAATTTTATTCCGTTGTAGTCAGAGAAGATAGCTGATATTATTTGAATCTTTTGCAGGTTTTAAGACTTGTTTTGTGGCCTAACATATGATTCATTTGGTGAGGAGACAGATGTGTATTCTGTATGTTTTAGATGAAATGTTCCATAAATGTCTATTAGGTCCATTTGGTCTATAGTGCAGATTAAGTCTGTCTCTTCTGTTGATTTTCTTTCAGTGTGAATTTTTTACAATACTGAAAATGAGGCATCGAATTTTCCAGTTATTATTGTATTGGGGTCTACCTCTCTCTTGAGCTCTAATAGTATTTGCTTTATATATCTGGGTGCTCCAGTGTTAGGTGCATATATATATTTATAATTGTTACATCCTCTTGCTGAATTGACACCTTTATCGTTGTTTAATGACCTTTGCCTCTTCTTGTAATGTTTGTCTTGAAATCTATGTAGTCTCATGTAAGTATAGCTACTCTGCTTCCTTTTTTTTTTCTTGGTTTCCATTTCCATGAAATATATTTTTCCATCTCTTTATTTTCCATGTATATATGTTTTTATACTTCAGGTCTGTTTCTTGTAGGCAATGTATTGTTGGGTGTTTCTTTTTAATCCATTCTGTCACTCTATATCTTTTGATTGGAGAGTTCAGTCCATTTATATTCAACATTATTGATAAGTAAGGACTTATTTTTGCCATTTTAAAATTTGTTGTCTTTTCTATCTTTTGTCCTTCCTATCAGTGAAGATGATTTTCTCTGATGGTATGCTTTAATTTCTTGTCTTTTATTATTTGTTTATCTGTTGTATGCTTTTTGAGGCTTGCAAATAATATGTTATTAACTCATTATTTTAAACTGATGACATCCTAACACTGATTGCGTAAGCAAGCAAACTAACAAGTGTAAACTAACAATACTTTAACTTCATCCCCTGACTTTTTATTTTTATATGTATTTATTTATTTATTTAGTTTGTTTATTTATTTTTGAGATGAAGTCTTGCTCTGTTGCCCAGGTTGCTGTGAAGTGGCACAATGTGGGCTCCCAGGTCCGAGTGATTCTGCTACCTCACCCTCTCAAGTAGCTGGGATTATAGCCATGTGCCACCACACCCAGCTAATTTTTTTTTTTTTTTGTATTCTTAGTAGAGATGAGGTTTCATTATTTTGATCAGGCTTGTCTCAAACTCCTGGCCTCAGGTGATCTAGGGATTATAGGCTTGAGCCACGATGCCTGTCTAATCCCCCCACCTTTTAACTTTTCACTATTCTATTTATATCTTATTGTCCTGTCTATATCTTGGCAACATAAAGTAGTTATTTTTTATCGGTTCATCTTTTAGTCTTTCTAATAAAGTTGTAAGTAGTTTATATATCACTATTACTGTGTTATAATATTCTGAGTTTTTCTGTGTACTTACTATTACCGGTGAGTTTTGTACCTTCTGATGGTTTCATATTGCTTAATAACATTATTTTCTTTCAGATCAAAGAACTTCCTATAGTATTTCTTGTAGGACAGATCTGGTCTTGATGAAATCCCTCAGTTTTTGTTTATCTGGAAAAATCTTTATTTCTCCTTCATGTTTGAAGTTTATTTTTGCTGGATATATTAATACTATTCTATTATACAAGTTACTTTTTCTTCAGTACTTCAATGTGTCATTTCATTATTTCCTGGCCTGTAAGGACTTCACTGAGAAGTCTGAGGCCAAATGCATTGGAGCCTCATTGGATGTTATTTTTTTTTCTTTTGCTGTTTTTAGGATCCTTTCTTTATCCTTGATCTTTGTGAGTCTGATTATTAAATGTCTTGAGGTAGTCTTGTTTGGGTTAAATTCACCTGATAGTCCATTATTCTTGTACTTCGGATGTAGGTTTGGGAGGTACTCTATCATCATTGCTTTAAACAAACTTTCTACACTCTCTCTCTCCTCTTTAAGGCCAATAACTAATAATTATTAGATTTGCCCTTCTGAGGCTATTTTATAGATTTTGTAGGCATGCTTTATTCATTTTTATTTTTTTCTTTTGTCTCCTCTGACTGTGTGTTTTCTAATAGCCTGTCTTCAAGCACACTAATTTGTTCCTCTGCTTGTTGAATTCTGCTGTTGAATCTCTGATGCATTCTTCAGTAAGACAATTGCATTTTTCAACTCCAGAATTTCTGCCTGATCCTTTTTAATTATTTCAATATCTTTTATTTATCTGATAGGATTCGGAATTCCTTTTCTGTGTTATTGTAAATTTCTTCAAAACAATCATTTTGGATTGTGTCTCTGAAATGTCTCTCCAAATATTTGGAATGATATTTCCATCTCTCCAGAATTAGTCACTGGTACCTTATTTAGTTCATTTGGTGAGGTCATGTTTTCCCAGAAGGTCTTGATGCTGTGGATGTTCATCACTGTCTGGGCATTGAAGAGTTAGGTATTCATTGTAAGCCTTCACAGTCTGGCTTTTTTTGTATCTATCTTTCTTGGGACTGTTTTTCAGGTATTCAAAGGGACTTAGGTGTTGTGATTTAAGTTTTTGGTCACTACAGCCATATCTGCTTTAAGGGACACTTCAAACCCAGTAATGTCGTGACTCCTGCAGAGTTATAGAGGTACTACCTTGGATAAGATCCCGAAGAATTATCTGTATTACCAAACAGAGACTCTTGCTTTTTCCTTTACTTTCTTCCAAACAAATGGAGTCTCTCTGTGCTGAGCTGCCTGAAGCTGGGGGAGAGGAGACAGAAGCAACTTTGTGACCACCACAACTGGGAGTATGCTGGGTCAGACTTGAAGCCAGCACAGCACTGGATCTCATCCAAGTCCTGTGGTAACTACTGCCCAGCTACCTCAAATGTTTTGTCAAGTCCTTAGGGCTTTACAACCAGCCGATGGTGAAACCAGCCAGGCTTATGTCCTTGTCTTCAGCGTGATGAGATTCCCTTGTCCTTGCCAGGTTTCAAGATGCCATCCAGGAGGTATGGGCTGGAGTCAGAAATCTTAGGAATCTACATGGTACTCTATTCTCCTGTGGCTGAGCTTGTGCCCAAGCCACAAAGTCTTTCCCACTCTTCCTCACCCTTTCTACAAGCAGAAGAGTCTCTCTCCATGTCCACCACACCCCCACTCCAGATCCTTGGCAAGTATTTCTTGGGTACTGCTGATACTCACTCAAGGTCTAAGAACTCTTCAGCTTGTGGTGAATTCTGGAAGGCTTGGAACTCTCCCTTCAGTGCAGTGTGCTACCCTCTGGGCCAGGGCATGTCCAGAAATGCCATCTAAGAGCTAAAGCCTTGAAATCAAGGACCCCAAGATCTCACTGTGGCTAAGCTAGTACCTAAGCTGATAATTTGGTGTTTATGAAAGAGCTTTTTTTGTGTGGATAGTTGTTCAATTTGGTGTTCCTATAGGGAGAATGATCAGTGGAGGCTTTTATTTGGCCATCCTGCTTTCCCTCCTCTTGAGATATTTTTTCATTAACACTCTAGACTTGTTAAAATACCTTGTGCTTTTCCCCACAGAGGTGAAAGACCTTCTTGATGAGCCAATAATCATTGCTTGCATGTCAAATACCATGATTGTAAAAATTTGCATATTTTCTCTTTCTCTCTAGCACCATATTATTATGAGGTAGCTATCTGAGGAAGTGAATCTGACGATGCAATGTTTGTTTAAATAATCAATTCTTCAGGTCAGACAGGAGGACTAAGGAATCAGCATGATTATTTTGGCTTTCATGTTAAGTGATGTTATTTTGTCTAGCTTTTATCTGTGATAAAATCAATTTTTCACCTGTTGTCTGACTCTTTTGTCTAAATTTTCAATTTGTTCACAGCAGGTATGTAAAAGGAATGCTATTTATTGTGCTTTCTGAAAATTTTAATGATGTACATTCTGCTTTTTATAACAAATTCAGATAGAAAAATTACCCATAATTAACTATAAAAACATTGTTATTAATGTTGCCCAGTGTAACATAGAAAATCTAGTTCAATTAGAATTTCAGATAAATAAGACTTTTTAGCACAATTGTGTCACATAACATATAGAACATCTGCTAATAAAGTACCTTTACTGAAATTTAAATTTAATTGTGTACCATATATTTTTATCTGCAAAACTGCCAATCCAAATTATCTTATATGCTATAATGATTGCTATAATTTTTGATTTCCTCAGAAAAAACAAAATCTGAAAAAAACTCTGAAAACTCTTTGGTACATTAAACTAATGAATATTATTCCTGTTACACTCTTGCTCAAAGAGAATATAAAAGTTGAACTTTTATGAACAAAATAAACATTTTTTGAAGACAAACTTATCAAAATTAATATGACTTATCTGAAATGCACTTTGCAGAAAAGTTAGTTTAAAAAAGATAATAGAAATATATACTTTGATAAAATACATATCAATCATATAATTATAAAAGTTATGAGACAATATGTTAAAGTGAGTAGCAAAAAACAGGTAGAGCTATAAGCTGACAATAGCGAAAAGCGAGAAGCAAAAAACCTGTAAGTTGTCACTAATGGAATAGAGTGAAAAAAATTGTCAAAAGCTTAGATGATTCTAGTTTTCTTCATCAGATTTTCAAAGCTTTTCTCTCTTTAAAATAGCATTAAAACAGACAAAAACTATGGCCAGACGCGGTGGCTCACACCTGTAATCCTAACACTTTGGGAGGCCAAGGTGAGTAGATCATGAGGTCAAGAGATCGAGACCATCCTGGCCAACATGGTGAAACCTGTCTCTACTAAAAATATAAGGCATGCTGGCGGACACCTGTAGTCCTAGCTACTCGGGAGGCTGAGGCAGAAGAATAACTTGAAGCCAGGAGGCAGAGGTTGCAGTGAGCTCTGATCATGCCACTGCACACCAGCATGGTGACAGAGCGAGACTCCATCTCAAAACAAACAAAACAAACAAACAAAAAACTTTAAAATCTGACCAAGAAAATTAAAAATCAGAAAACAAAATTATAATACAGTTATGAAAGAGAAAATGAAATGTCTAAAAGACAAATAATATTAAAGACTAGTATTTGCAACTTAATTATAATACAATACTTTCCCTTTATTTGTGGGGGGGTCTACATTTTAAGACCCTCAATGAATGCTGAAAGCACAGATAGTACCAAACCCTATATATACTATGTTTTCTCCTGTACATGCATATCCATGTTAAAATTTAATTTATAAGTTAGGCAAACTAAAAGACTAACAGCAATATCTTATAGTAAAATAGAATATTAATAATTATGAAAATATACCAGCATCACTATTCTTGCACTTTGAAGTCAGATTAAGTAAAAAAAAAAGTGTTACTTGAACACAGGCAATAAGATATTGCAACAGTGGATTTGATAACTGGTAAGACTACTAAGTGACTAACGGCAAAAGGGACAATTCATGTCCCAAGCAGAATGGAGTGAAACAGCACAAGATTTCATCATGCTACTCAGAATGGAGTGCATTTTAAAACTTATGAATTGTTTATTTGGAATTTTCCACTTAATATATTTAGACTGCAGTTGACTATGGGTAACTGAAATCATGAAAAAGAGGGGATGACTGAATAATGCTGAAAACCTAATGACCACATACATTTCTCAGGCAATCCACGATGCCAGGATTTTCCTGAAGAGCGTTAGAAAACTTTAACAGAATATTCACTCAGAGATGAATACTTCAATTAATTAAAAGACACTGTATTCACATCATTTTATATCTGACTTTTATCAAAACATTTTATGTTGTATGGTTTCTATGTTATTTTGGTATTACAGGCCATGGAAGTCCTTCCCTCAAATATATGAATCTAACTTCCCAAAGTTGTTAAGCAAATTAACAACAAATACCACATTCAATTATGTAAATCTTGTATTAAAATGAAAATATTTGTCGAAGAAATTTGAAACACATTATCAGCAATTATTTGCAATATTAAAACTGAGAAAATGACTTTAGCATTATGCAGGAAACAGAAGAAGAAAACAAGGACAAGAAACACGAAAAAGAAATGTTCAATGGACGTTTCAGGAAATCCTTATATTTGTTCTCTGAGACTGAGTTCTGGACGTGGCTCATGAAAGTGATAAAAGTGACAGAGACTTCTGGAAATTTGAGATGCATGCATCTTTTCCCCTTTGGAGCCCTTGGTGGTAACAAGTCTCATGGAGTTAACTGAGCCACCACAGAATGGCAGAAGCTCTCCAGGAGTGGTACTGGGGTGTGGAGAGACCATTTGAGAGAGACTGTCACAATCCTTCACAATTTCAAAAGATCCAGAACAGTGGGAAGAGCACCTAAATGTTTTTCTAATCTGTCCCTCTAGCCGGAAGAAAGGTAGAAAACTCAGCTGAGAGAGAGCCAATAGATCTGTAGCCCTGGAGATGAGGAGGATGCAGAGGGTCTGTGTGGAACTCAGATATTTATGCTGACTCTGAGGACAAGATTTTACTCCTTACTGAGTCTTTCCTAATGAGTAAATTCACAGCTACTGAAATTTATTAAGATTTGCTCCATCTGACTGGGGACTTAAAAAAAAGGCTAAGTTCAGTATCTAAAAGCAGAGAAACTAGGGGATATCACCACTGATCCCATAGAAATACAAAGTACCATCAGAGAATACTATAAACAATTCTACACAAATAAACTAGAAAATCTAGAAGAAATGGATAAATTCCTGGACACATACACCCTCCCAAGTCTAAACCAGGAAGAAGTTGAATCCCTGAATAAACCAATAACAGCCTCTGAAATTGAGGCAGTAATTAATAGCCTACCCAGATGGATTCACAGCCAAATTCTACCAGAGGTACAAAGAGGAGCTGATACCATTCCTTCTGAAACTATACCAAACAATAGAAAAAAGAGGGAATCCTCCCTAACTAATTTTATGAGGCCAGTATCATCCTGATAGCAAAACCTGGCAGAGACACAACAAAAAAAGAAAATTTCAAATCAATATCCTTGATGAACATCGATGAGAAAATCCTCAATAAAATACTAGCAAACCAAATGTAGCAGAACATCAAAAAGCTTATTCACCACGGTCATACCTGGGATGCAAGACTGGTTCAACATACATAAATCAATAAATGTAATCCATCACATAAACAGAACCAATCACAAAAACCACATTATTATCTCAATAGATGCAGAAAAGTCATTTGACAAAATTTAACAACACTTCATGCTAAAAACTCTCAAAAAATTAGGTATTGATGGGATGTATCTCAAAATAATAAGAGCTATCTATGAAAAACCCACAGCCAATATCATACTGAATGGGCAAAAACTGGAAGTATTCCTTTTGAAAACTGGCACAAGACAAAGGTGACTTCTCTCTCCACTCCTAGTCAACATAGTATTGGAAGTTCAAGCCTAGGCAATCAGACAAGAGAAAGAAATAAAGCGTATTCAAATAAGAAGAGAGGAAGTCAAATTGTCTGTGTTTGCAGATAACATGATTGTATATTTGGAAAACCCCATTGTCTCAGCCCAAAATCTCTTTAAGCTGATAAGCAACTTCAGCAAATTCTCAGGATACAAAATCAATGTGCAAAAATCACAAGCATTACTATACACCAATAATAGACAGAGACACAAATCATGAGAGAACTCCCATTCACAGTTGCTACAAAGAAAGTAAAATACCTAGGAATACAATTTACAAGGGTTGTGAAGGATATTTTCAAGGAGAACAACAAACCACTGCTCAAGAAAATAAGAGAGGACACAAACAAATGGAAAACCATTCCATGCTCATGGATAGGAAGAATCTATATGGTGAAAATGGCCATACTGCCCAAAGTAATTTATACATTCAATGCTATCCCCATCAAGCTACCACTGACTTTCTTCATAGATTGGAAAAAGCTACTTTAAACTTCATATGGAACCAAAAAAGAGCCCACATAGCCAAGTCAATCCTAAGCAAAAAGAACAAAGCTGGAGGCATCACGCTACTAGACTTCAAACTACACTGCAAGGCTACAGTAACTAAAACAGCATGATACTGGTACCAAAACAGATATATATATGCCAATGGAACACAACAGAGGCCTCAGAAATAATACCACACATCTACAACCATCTGATCTTTGACAAACCTGACACAAAAAAGCAATGGGGAAAAGATTCCCTATTTAATAACCATATGAAGAAAACTGAAACCAGACCCCTTCCTTACACCTTATACAAAAGTCAACTCAAGATGGACCAAAGGCTTAAATGTAAGACCTAGGACCATAAAAATCCTAGAAGAAAACCTGGGCAATACCATTCAGAACATAGGCATGGGCAAAGACTTCATGTCTAAAACACCAAAAGCAATGCAAAACAAAAGCCAAAATTGACAAATGGGATCTAATTAAACCAAAGAGCTTCTGCACAGCAAAAAAAAAAAAAAAAAAAGAAAATGAAAAAAAAGAAAAAAAAACTTTCATCAGAGTGAAAAGGCAACCTACAGAATGGGAGAAAATGTTTGCAATCTATTCATCTGATAAAGTCTGAATATCCAGATTCTACAAAGAACTTAAGCAAATTTACAAGAAAAAATCAAACAACCCTCTCAAAAAGTGGGCAAAGGATATGAACAGACTCTTCTCAAAAGAAGACATTTATACAGCCAACAGACATATGAAAAAATTCTCGTTATCACTGGTCATTAGAGAAATGCAAATCAAAACCACAATGAGATACCATCTCATGCCAGTTAGAATGGTGATCATTAAAAAGTCAGGAAACAACAGATGCTGGAGAGGATGTGGAGAAATAGGAACGCTTTTACACTGTTGGTGGGAGTGTAAATTAGTTCAACCATTGTGGAAGACAGTGTAGTGACTCCTCAAGGATCTAGAAGTAGAAATACCACTTCACTCAGCAATCCCATTACTGGGTTTATACCCAAAGAATTATAAATCATTCTGCTGTAAAGACACAGGCACATGTATGTTTATTGCAGCACTGTTCACAATAGCAAAGACTTGGAACAACCCAAATGTCCATTAATAATAGACTGGATAAAGGAAATGTGGCACATCTACACCATGGAATACTATGCAGCCATAAAAAAGAATGAGTTCATGTCCTTTGCAGGGACATGGATGAAGCTGGAAACCATCATTCTCAGCAAACTATCACAAGAACAGAAAACCAAACCCCACGTGTTCTCACTTATAAGTGGGAGTTGAACAATGAGAACTCATGGACATAGGGAGAGGAACATCACACACTGATGCCTGTTGGAGGTTGGGGGAGTAGGGGAAGGATAACATTAGGAGAAATACCTAATGTAGGTGATGGGTTGATGGGTGCAGCAAACCACCATGGCACATGTATACCTATGTAACAAAACTGCACGTTCTGCACATGTACCCCAGATCTTAGAGTATAATAAAAACAAAAAATAAAAAAACAGAGAAACTTACACATTGACACATTTTCTTTTATATTTATAGATATAATTTACAAAATTAAAACTAAGTAAATAAATATGTATTGTCTCATACAACTTGTAATTTTCTAATTGGTACACCTCTGTTTTGTTTGGTTTTCTTTTTTCCTACAAGGTACTATGCTTTCTACAATGACATTTAAATGCTTGCTTAAAAAGCCTTTTTTCTTCAGCAAACATATTATCATAATTTGTACTAGGATTGTATCCATTTATCAAAAGTTTCCTAAGCTCCAAATGTGGCTTAACTATCTTCACATACAATGTTCATTATCACACATTAGAAAAGTAAACACTGCTAGTGATAATGAAAGAAATTCATGAATTAAATCAACAACAAAACAATGCTCTAAAAGCAAAATGTCTTATCATTTGTAGATTCTCATTTCGATGGTAAAGGATACATTCACTGAGTATGTATAGGTTTACATTTTCAGTTATTTTAAATGTTAGATATATATATATATATATATATATATATATATACACACACACACAAACACACCCATAATAATTGGGAGCCGTGTGTGTGTGTGTGTGTTCGTGTGTATCTTTTTTGCAAACCGAGCTATGCAAGATAGTGATGCATATTCCAAGGCACGTTTTTATGTACGTAAAGAACTACCTGTTATCCAGTTCATTATTAGGTTTCCCTTTGACGTTAAACTAACAACACATAGTTGAATCTTACCAAACATATAATTACATCACTCAGTGAGGTAGCTAGCCCTCTCTTTTCAAACCTCATCTTCCAGAATTATAAGGTATGTGCAGAGAAGTAAAATGTATTGATTTCCCATTTTTTTCCAGGAACTGATACTTCTTATATATTTGTGGGAAAAATTCCTCTGTATAAATACGGTACAATACTTGGGTAGCTAGATTTGATTACAAAGTATGTATTTATTGATAAAGTCTTTATTTTTTCATTTTCTTCAAATATATTTTATTTATATCATTTATTATAGACTTCTTGCATTTTCACTGAATAAAGAAAACAGTACAGGAAACTGCATACCAACAGAGAGAGAGTTGCTTGGAATATTTTCATTGCTTTTCCATATATCTTCTGAAATATCATCAATATGGGGCACTAAATATGTTTATGTATATATCTCAAAAGGTAATCATGTATATACGTATTGATATATGTAGAATATATATATGAGATATGTGTGCATATATGTAAGATTCATAAGATAACTCTTACTGTATTGCTTTAATGAAAATAATAAAAATGCTTCAGAAGCAACTTGCTACAGTTTCATACTCAATAAAGATGAAATACTTGCCTTTGGGCTACATGGTACTCCCCACTCTGACAATCAGTTTCATTCTCCCATGAGAAAACAGAGAGAGTAAAGGAGAATGCCCCAAAGTTTCAAAATTCACAAGATAGAAAGGACAACTGGTAAAGCAAAAATTATAGCAAAGGGCTTGACTTGAAAAGTAATTTTAAAAAGTAAGAATTGCCCTGTATCCCTTGGCTCTTTAATGATAGATTCAAATGCTCTATTTCTGCACTGTCTCATCTGACAGGAAGCTTCTGCATTTATAGACATTATCCTAAAACTTTCTGAAAGACCTAGACCTGACCTAGTCCTCGCCATCTGAATAGTAAAACATGCCAACTTTGTGTCCCCTTTTTTCAGATCAGGCAATGTAATTAAAAATGAGTCACACTTTGGGAAACACAGAAAGACACCTTTTCTTGAAATTTAGGTACAGTGTTATTTCTGGTAGATTCCAGTGGTCTAATTTATTCAAATGTCCAACAATAACCCAGCAGGGACAGTGCCTGGGGTCCTATCATAAAGTTTCTGTCTCTCAAACTACTTTCTTGAAATAAAAAAGCTATGGAAATTATTTTCCCGTGGCCTTCTTTGTCCTTCAATAGAAGCAAAAATGAAATAATCTCTTCCACCATTCTGTGTGGCCCCATTGCTCCTCAATCCATTGTAACAATCCTACCTCTTTGTCTAGAATGAGACCATGCTCAAAAGGCAGAAAGGCCAGCATAAAAAAGCAAAATAGTTTGAAAATCAAAACTGCAGAATAAAACCACTATAAACTTCCACAATCAGTGTAGTGCATAAACATGTTTCTGCTCTCTCTGTAGACATATAATATATAACATATTTATATACACACACACATATATATATCAGATGCATATGATATATATATAAGTAATTACATTGCCTATATGTTCATATCCTACGTAAAATGAGTACTAAATACATAATTATAGTCCCTAGAGGCACATTTTTTTTTCTTTTCAGGTATATTTTCCAAAATGTCAACTACTGATTCTTCTTTGAAGGAACTCAAGAAATAATAATGCTGAGATTAATGGGAACTCCTTAAAATATAACATGGGTGACAAAACAAAACCCCAAAATAAAGAGATTCTCAAGAACACAAAGAAAGCAAGTTTATTGATGCCTGCATTCAATTACTGTACTATAAAGCTTTCATTTCTTTGAAAGAACCTATTATTTTTCAAAATAATGTACAGTCCCAGCAGGTGCCATCGTGGTGGGTTGTGCACGCTACATCTCCGCCAAACTCCAGTAATTATTTAGACCAATCAGACTCTGTGTATACTCTACACAGAATCACCATGCATTACATCACTTCAAATTGTTTGTTGGATCTTATTGTTAGGATCGTGACATTCATTACTAGGGACTAAACCCATCATTACACAGTTTGTCAAAGTCTTCAAGCAATACAGTATTTGAAAAAGAACAAGCAGAATTAGTTTCCTATTGGGAGCCCCAAGAAGCAACAGAAAAAAAGAAAAGAATTTTCAAAATACATGTTACTTTGTCACCAAATAGTGACAGCTCTACTTTCACCCGAATGTCAGTCAGATCAGCAAAAATACACAACATTTAAGAATAATCAATCTATGTGGTTTTAGCTGTAGTATAGCTTTGAAAGTTCACTTTTCCAAAATATTTACTTTCTACAACCAAGTAATACCTATTACATACAGCAGGGTTTTGTTTGTTTGGAACAGATAAATGATATGAGGAAATAAGAGGTGATATTGGAATGAGACAATATACTACATTACATAAGGAGACACTCATTTCATATAAGGCCCATGTAATAACTCTTTTATTTCAAGGTGTCTTTCAGTAATATTGTCATAACCCTACTGAAGTTACAAAAGTGTAAGCAATTCATTATAAACATTAGATCAACTATTGACTACTGGAACTTCCCTATTTTCAAAAGAAATTCCAGAAATTATTTCTTAGTCACATCCACTATACCTTCTAATTCAACACTTACATAGCAATCTGCATAGTACTTTGTTCATGGTTTTACTTTATGTTTTTGGGGGTAATAGATCCAAGTTTCTCTTCAGTGGAGTATAAATATAAAGAAAGTTGGCAGTGTCTGCAAAATGGAATATTTAATACCTATGAAATGCACTCACTGTCAAGGAAACCAACCTACTTTATAGACAATGGCTTAGGACTTTACTTTCTTCAGATGACCATTTACTCTTCAGATTACCCAGGCCTATCAAAAGATGCTGCAGCATGTCCACTCAGCTTGAACTCTCTGTTTCACTCTGAATGGATTTGCTGATTGTTGTTTCTTTTCCTTTAATTAACTCAGTCCTCACTCCATGCTGTAAGCTGAACCCAGTGAAGCTAAGTGCCTTTGGTACCTTTTTCCAGATACTGTTTATTCTTCTTATAGATTGTCTTCATCTCCCACCTTCCTTTCTGAATTTTGTTCTTCCTTGTGGTACTATACTGCTGGTAATTTTCCTTAAAATTCAACTTCTACAGTTACCTTCGGTTTTTCCATTTATCTCGCTAGAATTTTAAGGAAACCATGTATGTATAAATTGCGTATTATTAGTAATCCTGAGAATGACAAAGACAATATTAAAGTCAAATGAACTATCAATGATACCATTTCTGAGACCAAATTGTGATTGGAATTTATAAGGTCACCTGAGTGTCATATGATGTGTGTGTTGTTTGTATGTGTGTAACAACAATGTCCTCATTGCTGCCTCCTCCTTCTCTTCCTCCTTCTCCTCCTCCTCCTCCTCCTTCTCCTCCTCTTCTTCCCCCTTATCCTCTTCCTCCTCCTCCTTTCTCTCTTTTTCTACTTTCCTAGTCATTGAGGGCCTGAGCTTTCGCTATAATAACTACGTTTTTTTCTACCCTGGTGTTATTTATTCCTGATATTTCATTTTGAACAATATAAAATGAACCATTCTTGTTTGGGACTTGACTTTCACAATTCCGCTATTTCTGCTTCACAGGTATGCAGATTTAACAAATTGTCTTGGCTCCCTGCAGTTTCCAATTATTACAGTTTACATGTTTTAAATTAAACCGTGGACCTCAGGCCGCTCTGGGGAGGAAGTCAGTATAGGATTCCTTGTTCTGGCATTCTGAGACCACAGAAGAATGGGTCCCAAGCCCAGTGAAGCTTCAGAAAGGAAACACATCATCAGAGCTCAAGAAAAGAACTTCAGCCCTGGGAGAAAATCCCCTTGTAATTGAGCCAGCATTTCAAAAGTAAGAATAAGTTTTAGGGAAAAGGATTCTGTCTTATATTTTAAGCGGACTGTAGACTATAAAGTGTCAGCAGATATGATGCAAAGCAAGTCTTATGGCAGGTAATGAAGAGTTGAACAGAAGAGACTCTCAGGCTACCTGGCATTGAGCATCTATCTTTTATAATAAGATATAAATATATCTGAATGTTTCAGTATAATATTTTCTATTAAAATAAATTCATCAAATAATTTAACACTTCTTTGCAATTTCATTTTGGTAACCTGATAGCAAAAAGCAGAATGCCTTTCCTGCCCATTAATGGATGAATTAAATGTTTGAATTATAGTAACTGAAATTTGGAGAAATATTAAAAATTTTAGGCTTGAACACGGTTTCTTCTGCATGGATTTTAATCCTTAGATCCTATCCAGAACAATTTCAGCATGTAATTGGCCAGCTGGAATATGATATGTCCACGTACACATATTGCTTTTTACCTAGTGACACACGGTAACACTAGGTGGCCTGTTTCTTCAAGAGAAGAGTAAGATGAAGAAGATGTGGCTGGGAAACAACACACCATTGATGATTTGCATGAATTGTCTTATTATTAAAATAACTTAAAGATCATGATGACTATGGGCAATAGGCTTTTTCATCATCAAAAAGTGGTCACCATTCTGATTCAGTTAATAATTGGAATTCTTTTTGGTTGGCTTCCATCAGTGCTCCCTCCTCCTGCCCTATCTCACTACCAGGAGAGTCTTAGAGGATATTCTTGCTTAGGGTCTGTATTGCTTTTTCTGTGAGTTCCTACATTTTCTTTCATGAGACAATTTAGGATGAAGGTAGTGCAGTTCTATTTTCCAGCGACAAAGCTATTTTCTTTTCTTACTTAATTTAGCATCTCAGATACTCCCATGTTATTGACAAACTTGACTTTTTTTTGGACAGGGTCTTATCCTGTCACCCAGGCTGGAGCACAGTGGTGTGATCAGAGATCACTGCAACCTCAACCTTCTAGGCTCAAGTGATCTTTCAAACTCAGCCTCCCGAGTAGCTGTGACCACAGGCATAAGCCACCCTGCCTGGCTAAGTTTTAAAATTTTTTATAGAGATTAGGTCTCTCTATGTTGCTTGTCTCAAACAGGGCTCAAGTGATCCTCCCTTTTCTGTCTCCCAAAGTGCGGGGTTTACAGGGTAAGCCACTGCGTCTTGCCTAACTGTGTTTTAAAGTAGCTCTTTTGCAGATTGATATGTGGAAATGATTTTACTGTTATTTTCATGGATAAAGTATTCTCAGGAATGTGGGCAAAGATTAAGGATTAAAAGGAAGATGTTGGCACTAATAGGTACCACATTAAACAAAGTTCTGACAGAAGTATTTCTGGCTTAAGGAACTAGAGGAAGAGGTTAAGAGTACAACAAAGTAAGCAAAGTATCAGAAAAAAGTTTAAAAAGAGAAGAACCAGAGACCAGGCTTCTAAAAATTTGTGAGTAAGTGCTGCCCAAATCTCCGGCTGACTCCCACATAAGGTAGGAATCAAGGAAGACTACATGCATCCTAGTTAAATGAAGGAACAGACCAGATTTTACCTGCCATCTGATAGCAAGTACAATCAACTTAATTGTCTGCTAAGCTCAATGAACAAACAAATAAAAGTAATACTCTTTACAAGAAAAGAATATAGATGGGTGTAGTGGTCCACAGCTGGAATTCCAGCACTTTGGGAGGCTGAGGCAGGAGTGCTGCTTGAGCCCAGGAATTTGAGACCGGCCTAGGCAACATGGCGACACCCTGTCTCTACAAAAAAAAAAAAAAAAAAAAAATACAAGAAAAGAAAATTGGCCAGGTGTGGTGGCACACGTCTGTAAGTCCAGCTACTTGGGGGGCTGAGGCAGGAGGGTCGATTGAGCCCAGGAAGTTGAGGCTGCAGTGAGCCATGTTCACGCTACAGAACTCCAGTCTTGGTGACAAAGTGAGACCTTTCTCAAAATATATAATAAGAGAATTTAGAGTGTTTAATGTGGTAATCACAATGTTTAGTAAATGATAAAATCAAATAATGAAAAGAAAAAAAAATTATGCTTTCTAAAAGAAAAGACATTTAAGGAAATCAATTTTAGAATGATCCAGATGTGAAAATTTTCAAATACGAATTTTCTTTAGCTCAGCCATATAACCATGCTCAGTGATATAAAAGGGACTATGAATAGGTGAATGAAAAGTATATTTGACCTATTCACCTGAGAGTAAGAACCAAGGAAAAAAATTTAAACAGACTATCAAAGTACGAAAAATGTGAAGGCAATGTGTGAAGTTGGGGGATTGGATAGTGGGGAGGAATTAAATACACACACACACACACACACACACACACACACACACACACACACCAAATATTCCAGTTGTATGAGATTGAAGCATGACTTGCATAAGAAAAATACAGTAAGCTTTTGAAAAGAGAGAATATGTATTTCCTGGCAGGACAATTTAAAATTGTACTAAAAAATAAATTAATATTCCAGTGTTTGAGATGTATATGCAAAAATAAATTCATAGTCAAATACTTAGAAAAATGTATAGTTCTGGGTGAAGTAAATGAAAAGAAAGAGGAGGTACATTTATATAATTTTCTCTTAGTCTTTTGCGTCTTGTGGCAGCTGATGGGATGGGGGCCAGGGACTGTGTTACTATTATTTGGGTGACTGATGTAAAATGTCATAAAAATAGGGTAGCTAACTCATGTAGCAACTAAGATTTACATAACCTTTGATCTGATGTGGTATTTCTTTTATTTAGGGAACAACGCTTGCTGAAATTGCTCCCTGCATCTTGAAAGAAACAAAGAATGGCATCACGACCGGCTCTCCAGAGATACAATAATTATGAAAATCAGTGTTAATTTAGAAATAATCATTAGACAGTATAAGTGTGTAAGTCTTGAATTGCAAAATAAAAACCACAAAAAAATACATCCCCACTGTCTGTTTTTTTAGTGTAGAGATAGATTGCCATAGCCTGTGTTCTCCACTAAGCAAAGCCTGAATAAAAAATTTATTGTCATAACTTTATGAGGAATACAATTCCAGAAACAGGAGTAAAGCAAAAGGGCAGTGAGGTAGAAATGCCAACAAGCAAACACAAATGCATGTTATTGAGTAGCTATCCCAAGCATATGTGACTACTCAATCTTGCAATCCCATCCTTCAAATGAACTTCACCTACTTTTCTGTAGAGTATTTATAATGCAATTGTATAATATCTGAGTATCCCTATTTCACCAATACATAGGCTCCCTAGAGAATGTCTACAGATGCTAAGGGAAGGATGGGTAATGATTATGATATATAAATAATGGTGCTGTAGATACCTTCTCCAAGATAAACTGGACTACTCTAGAAACAATTAGCTCTGTGTCTATGAAACATTTTAAAACTAGAAACTGGACTAGAAATCACAGTTTTCTATTGTAAAATTTCTTTTAATTATTTAAATCGACCTACGTTCTGATGTGCTATTTCACCCTTAGTAATACTACGATTTATTAGCCATAGATTTCTGAAGATCAATGTACTTTGATTATATTTTCAGGTTTTTTTATTCCCTGCTGATGGTGCTGTTAGGCAGACATGAGCAGCGGAAAAGAGAGCCCCCCTCCCCTACAGCCTCCAGCAGGAATGTCGGTGACCAACAGGTCATGGTCAGGCGTTTGTTAAACTGTCTCTCTAAAATAATAATTATCACAGCTGGCGCCAGGGAAATGCAGTGTTCCAATAGACAGAAAACACCAGATACTGGTGATTGGCAGCTTCCCAATAAGATCTCAGGAGCTTGGCGAAGTGGACTCAAGTATGCACACTAAGAGGCAAAAAGTGGAGTTTAGCTGGTGTATGATCTTCTTCTAGGAACACCTAACTGATAGGGGAAGAACACCTCAAGTGAGCATGCACACAACTTCCATAAACACACTGTGCATGTGGCCCCTCCTCAGTGCTGCGAGGCCACTGCACATGCAGACAGCCTACCCCAAGAAAAGAATCAGGAGAAAAAAACAAAACCCTCTGGAAGCATGCCAACAAATAAAACCCCAAGTCAAAGGTCAAACCGCACGTGTGAATCTCTCCAATTGCCCACTTGGCCCTATTTCAAGTGTACATTACTTCCTTTCATTTCTGCTCTAAAACTTTTTAACAAACTTTCAATCCCACTCTAAAACTTGCCTCTCACTCTCCCTTAGGACCCCTCAGTCAAATTATTTCTTCTGAGAAGGCAAGAATTGAGGTTGCTGCAGACCCAAAAAGATTCACTGCTGCTAATAGTACCACCTTGTCTCTTTGTTTCTGGAACTCCACATTCCTTTGGATGTACACAGGACCATTGGACAATTCTCAAGGACGATATCATCCCCAAACAACCTACACAAGACTAGAACACCAAGCTTCTCACAGTTGCAAGTGTCATCACGAGAACACTCTTTATTGCTTTAGTGTAGTGTCTTGATGGCCTTTGACCCATTCCAAGGAAATTTATGAAGTGCTGAGCTCTCATATCTTACACAATAAAAACATAAAACATTCCCACATCCTAGTGCTGTTTGACCATTTTTTCAAAACTGTGCCAATAAAGCTTGGCATCTGCAAATCACTTACTTTTACCAGGGCACTTCAAGTCTAAGTTTGAAGGAGCTGTTCTAGAGGGTATTAGAAATACTTTTCCGTCCTCTCCATGTTCATGGGTTCATTATGCAAAAGTTCAAACCTGAAACACTAGTTCAGGCCATGATGGGAATGAGGGGTTCAGATATGCCTCATTATACCTTCCTCCCTTTGGATTTCAGGCACAGCTGACCAGCATTAACACTAAAATAGAGACCTTAAGATTGACAAAACAGACTTTTTGTAGCAATAAGATACCACCATGAAAGACGGCAGGCCTTGAAAGAAATCAAAGTATTTTACCCCAAAATATATTTCTTTGTCATATTTTGAAATGGCCCTGCAAAGCTCTCTTTTGTGGGAAACACCAACATTCTGCAGAAAATCCCTTCCCTTTCCAGGTCTTTTTCCTGATCCAGGAGAGGATAAACTAAGAGTCTGTCACTTTTTTATTCTGATAAAATGTATTTTTAATCTATTATCTCTCAAGCTCAATACCTGGAGGCTTCATCTACATAATAAGAACTTGGGTCTCCACAACCTCTTATCTTAATCCAGACTCTCCCTTCTATCGATTCCAGGTCTTTAGATAAACTCTTTCAACCAACTGTCAGTCAAAAAATCTTTGAATCCATCTATGACCTGGAAGCCCCTATTTAGATTTGTCCTCCCTTTCTGGACCAAATCAATGTACATCTTACATGTATTGATTGATGTCTTATATCCCTCTAAAATGTATAAAACCAAGCTGTAGTCTGACCATCTTTGGCACATGTTCTCAGTATTTTTGGGGACTGTGTTACGGGCCATAGTCACTAATATTTGGCTCAGAATAAATATCTTCAAATGTTTTACAGAGAGAAAAAACAGGGTCAGAGGCAAAAACTTATAGTAAGTTCTTTAAGAAGAAATCCTACTGTAGTAGTTAAGGTAAAAGGGACTGAGATAAGAAAGAAGGGAAATCAACTTGGTGCCAGGATCAAATCATTATGTGTTCTTGTGGGCTTCTCTTTCAAAAGGTTGTATAAAATATCACACCCTGGGAAGTCATTAGGAGGAAGAAGGAATAATTTATTTTCTATTTCTTATTAACTATTGCCCCAAATTCTTTTCTACTGAATTTTTATTTCCCAGCTTTCTTGAATGTTCACATATTCTTCTTAAGTAGGTCCCACAGAAAATCGTGGTCTAGCAGCAACAGGGGTGTCCCAGTATTTTTGCAGCTCTTTTACTTTGTTAGTTCAGCAAGTAGGAATGTTACAGTTCTTTCACTCCCATAATTAGGCGAATTCCTACTTCTTGTCCCATGACTGAGAAGAATGAGGTATGCAGACACTGGAGAGTGAGTAAGGCAGAGTAGAATTTATTCAGTCACAGAAAAACTCCCAGCAGCAAGAGGGGACCTGAAAGCAGATTGGCAGACATGAGGCTGAGTTCAGGGGATTTTATGGACTTGGAACAGAGAGGTGCATGCTCATTAGTTTGTGGGTAGTTTTGGAAAAAGTACCACTTAGAAAAAGGCACAATAGTGTGTAGAGCCAACTGGAGGAAGGTAGGTATATGTAAACTAGGTGAAAGATAAGGACCAATGAGGAGAAAGCACACCAAATGGGGGTGGGAATTCTCACTTCAGTCCATGGATTCTATCCGAAACTGATATCTTGGTTTTTAACTTTCTTTAAAAGTTAGGTTTTTAGCTTTAGACTATCCTTGGATTGAAGCATGACTTTCACCAGGGACCCATCACTGTCTGTCTGGGAATTTTCCTGCCTCCTGTTGTTATTAGTATCATAGTGAACTCAGGCCATACCTATAAAAAGTTGGTCCTCAAAGTACTAGCTATGGTAAAATAAGTGGTCAAGAGCCCTAAAGTGAGATTGAGAGAATGTGGGTTGGTGCATCCGAAATGTCTTCACTGACTGTACCCAAGCATACATCAAATTCAGATGAAAACTTCAAAGTACATGCAAAGTTTTCATTGCACTAAACATGTTCAGTTGTTAAGATATCTAAAGCAACACACAACAAGCAATTTTAGCTCTGAGATCCTAATGAGAAATTTAAGCTTTTCTCTGTGAGGGTTTCCTATGTGCACAGAGCAACCCCCACTCCCATTAGAGACGTAAAAGTCAAACTGGCAAAACTCAACCTGAATAAATAGAAAAATGAAACAAACAAATGAAGAATAGAATAGTGTCAGAACAGTAGTCAAAGATATAAATTTTGCTGAGCTAAATTTGAAAACTGAAGGGGCTCTCCAAATTATACATGAGTTGAATGACAATATTCATTCATGAGTTTAGCTTTAAAAAGTTAGGCTAATTTTAAAAATTCTGTAAGTAGTCAGACACTTAGGGAAAACATTTTATCTAGGGATAAACATAGAGTGTTTGTCTGGATCCCTTAAATAGTGTATCTAGAAGACAATAAATTAAGATATACGTAAGCTGGAGCATGAAGGCAGTCACATTTGGCCAGTGGTGTATGTCAAGTGTTCACATCAACTGCCAATACATATCAGATGCCCAATAAATACTTTTTCAAAGAATAAATGAATGGGCCAGGTGCCGTGGCTCACGCCTGTAATCCCAGCACTTTGGGAGGCTGAGGCGGGAGGATCACGAGGTCAGGATATCGAGACCATCCTGGCTAACACGGTGAAACTCCATCTCTACTAGAAATACAAAAAAACAAAAAAAATTAGCTGGGCGGTGGTGGATGCCTGTAGTCCCAGCTACTCGGGAGGCTGAGATAGGAGAATGGTGTGATCTCAGGAGGCGGAGCTTGAGCTTGCCATGGCCAAGATCGCGCCACTGCACTCCAGCCTAGGTGAAAGACCGAGACTCCATCTCAAAAAAAAAAAAAAAGAATCCATGAATGAATGTTAAAGGAGAAAACAAGTGATATAAAATTACTGAATAAATATATGAATAGGACTAAATACAATAGTTTCAAAATCAGCCTGGATATATATTTTGAAAGTGATGTGTGGATTTTACTTTAAAATATCAATATTTATAATATAACAGAAGTTATATCCTATAAAATTATTTAAATTTATGACAAATAATTACACATACTACCAAAATATTTCATAATGTTACATAGTTTAGAAACTATTTTAAAGAGTACATGATCAAAAATATTTAGACTGCTGGCATAGAAAGTATTAATTTTCAAAAAAGATTAACGGAATCTGTTGAATGATTATTCATGTAATCCTTTGCTCATTCAGCACTGAGATCCCTTTTGTAGCAGGCAACGTGATAGGCATTGGTTTTGCAGTGATGAGCAAGTGAGAATTGGTCTCTCCCTGACAGAGCTTCTGGGTTAGCAATAGACTGTTAATGATACTAAAGTAATAGTACAAGTGGGAGATACTAAAATTTACTATATTAAAATATTCTTTTAACCTCACAAGAATACCTAATAAATCAAATGGAATCAGATATAAATCCTTATGTATCCTTACGGAGGACTCCCAAGTTGTATTTTTTTTTAAACACATCTGTAGAATAGTCACTTATAAAATCTCAATTCACCTTATATAAATTAGAATCAAATTGATCTGGACTCTATCATATACAAGCTCACTGATATGATAACACAAATAGAAGTCCCTCATTCAAAATATATATTAAAAAAAAATCAAAGAACATTTTTTATATATGTTGTCAAGTTTTCATCAATGGTACTTTCTTCAATCAATTACAATGAATAGTATTTGCCTATTCATTAAACAAATTTATTAAGGGGTGTATGGCAGTCAAAATGCACTATTTTTTTCATATTTCTCTGTTATTTCAGTATGTGTTCAAGCCATTTGGATCACCTAGACTGTATGTTTATAAAAAGTAGCCCTTTATTTAAGACACTGGTTACAAGTCAGCATATTCCTTAAGTTTTTCCTACTAACTAGTAGACAAGAACTCTGTGTTTGTTTGTAATTCTAAAAAATGTAACGTGCTTATTTTATGATATCATCATCATTAACATCACCATTACTATCATCTTCATCTTTCATAATTTTATATTATGTTGCAGTTAATTGTGGGTTTCTCACTTCTATTATAATTTATAAGGTAGTTTGTTAGACACTTCCATACCTAGTGGTTTATGTTGCTAAACTCTTAACCTTTATGATCATAACACACCTGAAATAATCATCTATCAAATATGTGCAGATTTCCATTGATATAAAAATCTTCAAATTTCTTTTGAACCACATTAATTTGGTCACAGTATGTAGACTTTATTTCTGTTATCACTGTCATGTTTGATTGTCTCTATTGAGAAAGCTAAAAAGATCAAATGAGTTTTATATGCCATATTTTTTAAATAAAAATTTTCCTGTCTAAAAAAGAATCATAATCACCATGCAATATGAATTACTATAAATAGACCAGAAACTCTGCCTGTTAAGAACCATTTTTGTTATTTCATAAAGTATGGCATTTGAACTCAAATATAGAGGGCTTTTTTTGAATCTTTTAAAGATGTAGCATAAGGAAAATATCTAAAAACAAAGAACAAACCCACATGCTAATTCTACTCACAAAATGTTATAAATGTTATTGTAATTTAAATATATTTTATTGATTTACATTGTATCTTAATAAAACTAGTGTTTATTTTTGGTACTTCTGTCTTTCAAATTAAAGGGAGATTTTGCTTTTGGGGTCTTATAATTATCGTTTTTGAATATTTATTTTTAAAAATTGCATTTTTGGAAATATAAATTTAATAATAGGCATTTGTCACACCTAAAGGGCTTAGGAAATAAGGAGAAAAATGCCACAGAGAATAGGCATGTAGCAACACCAGGAACATATAGTTAGAAAGTTTTCTCCACTGAGATTCCTAAGCCTCATATTCAATGGCAAGTAATGAATTGTGTTGATTTCGTACATTGTAGATTTATAGTTGCGCTGATGCTGGCTGAAGGATAACCTATTACTCAATAACTTTGTTCTCTCCGGGGGGAATAAAAACCATTACACAAGAATCCCTTCCCTGTTTTATACACAAACAAGGGGTTAAGTTCAGAGACTATAATCCTATTTTGTGTGTGTATGTGTTTTTCTTAGAACATTTTTTTGTGACCTAGCAATTGAGTTGCACCTGCTCTCAATCACTCTATATTTTACATTACATCATATGTTCATGCATAAAACAAGAGATATTATAGCCCTATATTCTAAAGTGTCTCAGTGGGAGGGATTTTAAAAAAAAGAAAAAAAACTTGCTTGTTTAAAGATTTCAGTGTTTCTATGTACCGTTTTTTCCCTTCTCAGAATGTAATTGAGTTTCATGAGAGATTTGGCACATTTTCAAAATGCAATAAAAATCATTAATGAGCTAGACTATTCAGAAATGGTATTTATTGAAAACCCTGTTTCCTGCGGAGCTGCTGAAATGTACAAACCCTTGATTGAAGATGTGTGTGCCATGTGGTACTTCAGTATACAAAGGAGCTCTTCTTATTTCAAATTTGAAAGTATACAGAGAAACACAAAAGGGAACACTTAAGCATGCAAAACGAACAAAATGAGATGACATTGTTTCCAGTGAGTATTACTACTTCACATATTGTAAACCTGTAACAGTTTCCTTATTTAGGGGTTGCTTTAAATGAACTGCTGCAATTAAATCACTCAAGGGCTTCACATTTATGAGAAGATATTGGTCAACTAAAATAATACAGGTCTTATTTTATTGAAAGATAGCTCTAGGAAATAAGGGTCATAAGACACAGTATAAATATGTAATAATCAAGTGTGGAATCATTTAGTGAGTTGCAATCTAAGATAATTTGATGCTCCACTTTACTTCTTTGTTCAAATTTTGCCCTCACTATGTTATTTTGTCTCTCACTTAGGAAACTGATAAACAGAAGAAAGAAGAAGTAACAAACCTGGGGTCAACAATACTACAAGCATTTAATTTTGAATGTTGTAGAGCTGTGTTTTACTGTTGTTTTTCACTCAAACCATGCTTCTTTATTGGGTTTTTTGAACTCCACATCTTTCTTCCCTTTGAATCTTGGCTGCCCCCTTTTGGTCATGTCTCTGGAGAGTTTCACTTGAATCCAAAAATGTTCTATTACAGGGCAGAATGCTTTACTTTTTTAGAGTGGTATAGCTGTGTCTCTGTATGCGGTGTAAGATAAGAAAGAGGAAGGCAGGAAGGAAGGCACGAAGGCAGGCAGGAAGGCAGGCAGGCAGGCAAGAAGGAAGGAAAGAAGGAAGGAAAGGAAGGAAGGAAGGAAGGAAGGACGGAAGGAAGGGAGAGGAGGGATCAAAGGAGAGATGGGAGGAGGGAGAGAGAGCGAAAAAAGCCAGGGGCGGTGGCTCAAGCCTGTAATCCCAGCACTTTGGGAGACTGAGGCGGGCGGATCACGAGGTCAGGAGATCGAGACCATCTTGGCTAACACGATGAAACCTCGTCTCTACTAAAAATACAAAAAAATTAGCCGGGCTTGGTGGCAGGCGCCTGTAGTCCCAACTACTCGGGAGGCTGAGGCAGGAGAATGACGTGAACCCGGGAAGCGGAGCTTTCAGTGAGCTGAGATCGCGCCACTGCACTTCAGCCTGGAGGACAGAGTGAGACTCCGTCTCAAAAAAAAGGGAAATGTAGGAAAGAAAAAGGGAAGGGAAAAGGGGAGGGAAAGGCAGAATATATTCTGGGATCTTCCCCAGTATTGTGCCTTTATAAATGGTTAGTCCTGAGCAAAGAAACACATTAACAAGCAATGCAACATTTCTGTGTTGGAAGGAGAAATCAGTCAATAGCTACCGGCTGCATTAAAATAAATCCTGCTGCCTCCACTGAAAGCAGAAAGCGTTAGTCTCACCATATGTTTAGAAAGGTAGGTCAAGTTTAGAATTATTACAGAGTTAACAGTAGTTCATATAAATAATATGGAAAAACGTATTAATTAAGCAAGTAGAAGTATAATTAAGTCTCATGACAATAGTTCTGTAAGGTTTATACAGTCTCCCCATTCACTCTTTAGTTGCATGCATTGCATATACTTGCATTCTTAGAAACCAAAGCAAGTATTTCCGTGGACCTCTTGCTAATCATTGAACCAGAAGGTATAATTTTTTTTTTTTTTTTTTTGATTTGGAGTCTCGCTCTCACTCTGTCACCAGGCTGGAGTGCAGTGGCGCCATCTCAGCTCACTGCAACCTCCGCCTCCCAGGTTCAAGTGATTCTCCTGCTTCAGCCTCCCAAGTAGCTAGGACTACAGGCGCCCGCCACCACGCACAGCTAATTTTTGTATTTTTAGTAGAGATGGGGTTTCACCATGTTGGCCAGAACGGCCTCTATCTCTTGACCTCGTGATGCCCCTGCCTCAGCCTCCCAAAGTGCTGGGATTACAGACCTGAGCCACCGCGCCGGTCCCAGAAGATGTAATTTTAACAACAGAATTAAACCAATAATCTGGTCTAGGAACTGACATTAACCTGTAACTTAACACTGGGGCAGTATTTTCATATTTTCAGAAGTATGTATTTACTAAAGATTTTGTTTCTTAAATTTAAAAAATTCTGTGACAGTTAAGTTATTTTCTGAATTGCTTGAAAAATATATTAAATTTCTTAAAAAGATACTGTAGAAAACAATGATATAATAAGAATCATAGGACAAAACAGATTATCTTTATTGTCTCGAATAGGTTCTTGACACTCAAACATATAAAGGTATGCACAACCTCCCAACATACAGATATATGTAAGCCTATGCTCGTGTTTGCAGAGATAATGGGTTAGGAAACTAAGTGATCACAGCGTGTAATATGGGATCTAATTCTAATTTCTTGTGTTATTTTAACCAGGTAAATTCTAATCATTTAGCTCTCAGTTTTTCCTAAAATAATAGACTTAGGCTACAGGTTCATTAATATTATATGGTTCAGCTTTAATATTCTCTGTTTTATCAATCTAATTTACAGAGTATTTCACTGTTTCTCTCATTCTTGGTTTTAAACTTTGTTCCCACCATTTCCTTCCCTCTTTGCATTCTCTCTGCTTCGAGAGCTTAACTCTAAACACACTCATTCACCTGTAAGACCTTCTGGGCATGCATTGATAAACTTCCTCTTATACTTTTATGTCTATTCAGTGGTTTTGCTTAAGCTACAATAAAATAATTCCTATACTTTTATGTGAGAATTGAAACTATTTTAAGGGAAAATAACATACATATCAGAATACAACTAATTCTATTAAGGCCCCACTTTTCAAATCCTCACTTGGACCTATTCACACCATTTTCTTACCCCTGTTTATACTTACAAATCGTGGTCAGAAGTCAAATAACTAACATCAACAGCTAATCACCTTAACTATTTTAAAACCACAGATACTACCTGGATTTCTCCCTGCAGAAATGATGATGAAACATAATATTGAGGCAAAAATGTTGGAACTAAGAAATCTCACTATGTTTCTATTTCTTGTTCATTTTTTCCACTTACCACCTAAAATTCAAGAAGCTCTGTCACCTGATCTCTCCTTTTCACATATATTTATTGATTTTTTTCCCTTTAAAGTAGCATGCCCATGTTTCCTTTCCACTGTGCTGCCAGGACCTACGGTTCTGCTGTACCTAAAATACATCCCCCAACTTTTCAATTTACTCTTCAGTCTTAAAGGCTAATGGGCTCTTTCCCTGTTAAATGTATTAGTAAAGTTAAAGATTAT
Organism: Homo sapiens; assembly: GCF_000001405.40. Taxonomy (NCBI): domain Eukaryota; kingdom Metazoa; phylum Chordata; class Mammalia; order Primates; family Hominidae; genus Homo; species Homo sapiens. The sequence goes on along the minus strand of NC_000004.12, from coordinate 29,802,784 downwards.
CATTTGTTATCACCAAGAGAAGTCAACATTTCAGGGCCTAAATAGGACTGAAGTATATTTCTCTAAGAAGAAACAGCTCAGAACTAAGTGGAAAAGAAGTATTAGGGGTGCCATGACTCCTTAGCACAGGGTTCACACTTCTGTGTCCAAAGCAGTTCCTTCCAATCTCATCTTATCTCTGCTATCAGGAAAGAGGAAATCTGAAACAGTGGGAAATCTCCAAATTGGAAATTTCATTTCTACTCACATGGCTTAAGCCAAAACATGGCTATACCAAGTTGCTAGAGAATATAGTATATTTTTTTGCAGCTGAGCAGCCACATGGCCAACTAAATTTCAGAGGGATCTATAACTAAGTGGAAGAAGGTGGTAATGGCTATTTGTTGACATTTTTTTTCCTGCCATAATTGTTTATCTGAAAACTTCTCATTTCCCACTCACTACAAATGTTAGAACGGGTTTCCTATTTCCCAACCAGTATTTTTGGTTCTGGTTGAGAAATAGGAAACCCGTTCTAACATTTGTAGTTAACAAAAAGTCTCAAAGCATTTTTGTTAAGGCCCACAATTTTCTATATAGGACATGTGGAATGCGTTGCCACAGGTGATAGTCATTTTCATGTTTTAACCTTAACTCTTAAATATTTGACACTGCTATATACTTTCCCTTCTCAAATCACTGATTTTTATAACTAAATTTATGTAATGATTTTGTTTATGAATGCTCTTAATAAACTTTTTTTCTTTCTCAATCTTCTTCATCAATAATGATGTTAGTGGGGATATAGCCTCACTATAAGCAACTTAGAATAAAGTAAAAGGTGGACATTGAATAACCTTGTATGCATTATTGTCTTCTTTATTTAAAGGGAAGAAATCCTGTAGAATGATTATTGCGGCTGATTATTCAAATGCTTAACTCAAGGGCAGCTTTGATATGTAAATTCTGATTATAAGAACTTCATGTGAAGTGAAACACATCCTAGATAGTGGGTATATTTTGAACTGGCTGCAGAGCTTATAATGACCTTTCTTATTTATTTATTTATTTATTTTTGAGACTGTGTCTCCCTCTGTTGCCCAGGCTGGAGTGCAGTGGTGCGATCTCTGCTCACTGCAAGCTCCGCCTCCCAGGTTCACGCCATTCTCCTGCCTCAGCCTCCCGAGTAGCTGGGACTTTAGGCACCCACCACCATGCCAGGCTAATTTTTGTATTTTTAGTAGAGACGAGGTTTCACCGTGTTAGCCAGGATGGTCTCAATACCCTGACCTCGTGATCCGCCCACCTCGGCCTCCCGAAGTGCTGGAATTACAGGCGTGAGCCACCGCTGAGGGCCCTGACCTTTCTATTTGTACCATCTTCCTCCCATTCATAGTAACAGTCCCTCACAACCATTAGGAACAATGTAATTCTGCTCACTTCCTCCTTCCAAACTGACTAGGCCAGGCAGAGTAACCTAAGTTGAAACAATCATCACACAATACTTGTATTTAGAATAAAAAGTGGTAGAAAAAAAAAGAGTCAAAGAGAGACAGGGAAGATAGCTAGGGAGCACAAATGAGCCAGCGCCCTTGTGAACAAAGCAGAGGAAGAGAGTTTGAAGAAGAAGAGAGTAAAGACAGGACAAGAGAAGCAGAGATAATGAGGGAAAGGAACACTTCCTGGTTCCCTGTCAGCGTTCTAATTCCCCGTTCCAGAAGTCTCTCAGCCTTAATCCTGGCTATACTTTGAGAACTCTGTGAAAGGCTACCTACCTTCTCGTAGCAAACTGCCTCCCATACTTGTTTGCTCAAATTAAGTTTTGTAACCTGAAAGTAGAGAGGTATACAGGACATAAAATTATGTGTTTAAATTTGTTGCTATACATCTCTACCCATGGTCTAGAAACAAAATAGATGTTTCAATGGGAATTTCTATATGTTGTTTGGGGTTGGTTTCTGTAAAAAAGAATAACTTTTCAAAATAATTAAAACGACTAGTGAAAAATATGAGGTAATGTATAGCAACTGAGTATGTTAGCAACAAAAAAAATGCAATGAGTTGTTTTTAAGTGAATATTTTGATAATAAAATTGGAGATCAGCTATATACTAGCATGAGTATAATGAATTGAGGACTACGTTTCACAACATGTAACATAGATTTGTTCGAGACTGTTGAAGAATGAATATAGTCAAACACTTTTTTTTTTCATTTTTTGCCACTTGTTTGGGGAACATAAAAGATGGATTATGCCTTTCATCTTTCATAGTTTAGCCTAACTTCATTCCACTGATCTCCTCAGCTGTTTATAATCGTACAGCTACATTTATAACAGAGTAAAATTAGGTCTAATAGTTATAAGGCAATTTTTGCACCAAAGCCATTGAAATAATTCAAATTACAATGCAGTAACAAACTTTTTTTGTTTCTTTCTATGGTCTTCCAACAATATGGCCCTTGTAATGTCAAATAAATTACAAAGTATGGAAATTAGAAACAAACGGCAAAGAGATGGTAGCGGTAAATTTTGTGGATGTGCAAATGGGTGTGTGTGAATATGTATGTGTGTGTGTCAGAGAGAGAGAGAAAAAAAGAAGTATCAATTAGAATTAAGAAAATATGACAACAGAAAGGAAACAAAGCCATAGTGGCAAATTGGAGATTAGAAACATTCTATGACCCCATGTGTAAATATTACAAAGACAGACAACTGGCCTTAAATAACAGAACATTAAGATTAGTCTGTGTCACCTATAATGTAAATTTAATAAAAACAAATTTGGCATAAATAAACTGAGTGAATTTTAACCAGACTATATGACTGACATATTATAATTTTGAATGATTAATGAAATAATTTATTTGAACCTGCTGATAGCGATTTATTGTAAAAATTGAAGTATATATTGTTTATAGGGTTTCTTGAACAATAGCTTTTTTGAATAAAAATTAATGATTATTTCTTCTCTTTTTGCTGTGCTATATAAAGTGTAAATTATGTCTATTTTGTTCCTTGTAATTCTACATTACAGAAACTTTGTTGATCATACTAATTATATTTTTTGTTTTGCTGCTGTTTTGTAGTCATAAATTCATTGTACTGCAACCCTTGATCTATGACACTGATTTAAAAATTGGATAATATAAAAATCAATATCAATTGTGACTTTGTAGTGATACAATGCTAATAGGCATAATACTGTCTTTAAACCATAGGTCTACATATAGGTATCTGGATTAAATAAATAATTTATCCAAAGTTCATGATGTTCAAAGGTATGAGATCCAATACTTAAATATAATAGTGTCCTTCAAATGAAGGCAAATTGTAGAAGCATATTATCTAAGAATACCAAGTGACATAAAATAAATTACTTAGTTCTGCCTAGCATGTTAAGTAAATGGCACAATGCCAATTGCCTCACCTCTGATATAGTGGAATACAGTATGCCTTCCATTGGGTGTGCTGATTGCACTTGCTAGAAAATTTAAAGGCACTCTGGAGCCCATATTCCCATAAATTACTCCTTTGAGGACACTGTGGTAGAGTAAAAGCATGGAAAATGAGAATCTTCCCTCCTTCTTAGATAAGAATGATGAATCCAGTGGGAAAAGGTAGGGAAGTTAGAAAGATGTGGGAAATGATCTCACCCCTCAAAGCTCTTTACTGTTCCTACAAAGAGCTCTAGGGAATACATTGGTGGAAGTTCTAAATCACTTTCCTGTTGCAAATCTGTGGGGAAATGCCAGATGATTCTGAGGACTGCAAATGAAAAGAAACTTTTCTCTCTTTGTTACATTCCAGAAAAAGTTTGGAATCTCATTTTCTATCTTTAGGAACAGACCATTGCTGTGGTTGCTACCTGAGGCTGCAGGAGCATGGGTGGTTTAATGAGAGTGAAAATCTGTCAACAGTATCGAAGACAGGTAGGCAATAAAGAGGATCTATTAGAAGACAGAAATTGGAACATGTTTGAAGAAGAAAATATATAAACTTAATCTTTAGAGAAACAGTTGCTGAAAAGATGCAGAACAAATAAATCAAGATTTCAGTTAGATAATTGGAAAATAGAAGTAGGAAGGAAAAGAGGAGGAAAGCTCTTTAAATGTTAGCAATGTAGCCTAATAAATTTTTCGTATCTTAAAAAAAACTCTATTTTGCCTATTGAATGTTTTAAATTTATAAGCTGTTAAATTTCACTGATACTCATTTTCATTTTAAAAGATAGATTGGATGTAATCATTATTCAAGAGTATTTGCTTATATTCAACAATAAACTTAGATCAAAAAAGAAGAAATAATAATGATTAGAAGTGTCTGAGAATGGAAAGTGAGAAAGTGATGAAGTTGGTTTGTGGGTTTCCAGGAAGTTATAAGAGAGTCACATAATCAAGTTCATGGCCAACGGACATATCAACACATGATCTAGAAGGAAACAATTGTAATTATTTCAGCAAGTATCCACTAGTTTGTAACCCAAATTTTCTTCCACTTATTTAAATCTTGACTTTAGAAAATGGAATAAATAGGATTAAAATGTAAAATATTGATTTTTTTATTTCTATCTATTCACTAATTCATTTATTCAATTTATATTATTAACAACCTAATATGTACCAAGTACTCTAGTAAATACTGGAGATCAGACTAAACAGAATACAGAGAATTTCTGTCTTTGTGGAGTTAACAGTACGATAGGAAAGACATAGATAGTCTACTGCTAATTACAAATGTGATTATTGTTGAAAAGGAGAAAAAATAAAGATATATTCTTAAGTAAGTTTTTCTGGTTCAATTGTTCAACTTTAAAAATACATCTTTTTTCTTTACAGTTGATCAATTTTCTGACTTTGTTTTAGCATATCTTCCTTACTATTATATTGCAACACCTCTGTATCAGGTAAGGTGGTCCTACAATTTCCATTTTTGGGACCAGGCAAGCAAGCCTGTGGAGCAAAAGGGGCATCACAACACAACAGGGCCCTCAAACTACTGTCAGTGGTGCAAATCCAGGTGGCTTTTGTACAGCCCCAAATCTATGTACGGTTTCTACATTTTGAAATGGCTGAAACATACCAATTAAAGAACATTTTGTGGAACATAAATTACATGACATTCAAATTGTAGTGTCCATATATAAAGTTTTATTGTAAAAGTCATCTTTCATTTACATATTTTCTATGTCTCCTTTCACACTGCAAGGGCAGATTTGAATAATTGGGAAATACATCATATGGGCTGTGAAGCTTAAAACATTGATTACCTATATGGTCTCTCTCAGAAAATGTTAACCATTTCTGTCAAGAAGAGCAATAATTCTTAAAATTTTCATAATACCTAAGTTTTGTTGAGTGTTTTATTATGTGTGAGCCAATATCACTTACTCTTTGCATGTATTAAATTAAGCAGTAAGTGAATTTATGATAAAAGGACTTCCTTCCTTTTATAAATATGAAAATAAAAGTGAGGTGTTTTCCTAATGTCAGGGACTAAGAGTTTGAACAGGGATTTTAACCTTGACAGTTTGGCTCCAAAGCCTCAACTCTTTTTCTACTGGTCTATGCTTATACTAGGAGTAAACTGAGCATGCATAATTTTCAAGATCCCCTCAAACTAGAAGTTGCTATAATCTGAAGCCCAAACTATCTTGTATAAATGGGTCACATATTTCTGTTAACTGCCTGTTTGGTATTTTAAATATTTATGGGGAACTCCACCAACTGTAATTGCTGCTCCGTTATTTAGAACTGAAAATAAACACAGTATCATGAAAAAGTCTCCTCTTTGTAGGATTTATTTTATTATCATGTCCATTGTCTATAATGATGAAGGCCACTCATTCTTCACTGGCCATGGAAGTGATTGAATTTAAGGATGTATATTAAACTCTTAATTTCTAATAAGGCCAGAAGTCTCTTTTATCTTTTTTACTTTCAGTAATCTATGACAGAATTTGGAAAAAAGTAGGTGTCTGTTTTTAACTAAGAATAAAAACGTATTATTTTTATTGAATTAAAATATTTTACAAATATATGGGGTACAAGCAAAGTATTTGTTACATCATAGAGTATGTAATGATCAAGTCATGGTATTTGGAGTATACGTCACCTGGTGTATTTATCATTTCTATGTGTCAGTAACATTTCAATTTCTATCTTCTAACTAATACATACGATATAATGTCATTAACTATAGTCACCCTATTCTGCTACTAGGGCTTATTTGTTCTATCTAACCATAAGTTTTTATTTATTTATTAATCTCTTTTTATCCTCCTTTCCACCCATGCACTGTTCCCAGCCTCTAGTACGTACCATTCTATTCTCTGTTTCCATGAGATCAATGTTTTTGGCTCCCACATATGAGTGAGAACATCGACATGTGTCTCCCTGTGCCTGGCTAAAGCAGACACCTAATCCACATTTGTGTTGTGACCTCAGTGGCACTATTCAAGAAGTTAGTCCTCCAAGTTCAAGATTCATACTCAAATGAAAGGTAAATGATTGGACAACAGTAAGTTAGATTCATTATGGCATGTAATATGCTCTTTATGTCAGAATCATTAGTAGGATAATGAACATCAAATAATCATACTTGCTTTTATTCTGAATGAGTTTAAAAGAGGGAGCAAGACCTAGGATTCAGGTAGTTTACTTTCAAGTTTCATTATAAACTGCAAAGCACTGCTCAATACTACCCTCTGCAACCTTTTAATAAAATGGAGCAAAACTAATAAAAGAACAGTTCATCTACTCCCCACACAAATTAATATAGATACCTCAAAGTCTTTAGTCCTGTGCCCAGTAAGAGATGCTAAACCAACAAAGTTCATCAACTCTCTTTTTGAAAAGCACTTTATGCCATATTTAAAAAGTGAGGTGATTTCTTAAGGACAGAGACTAAGAGTCTAAGAATCAGACGCTTTTCTAAGTTTTTCTCTTTGTGTGAATAAAACTCTACAGTGAGCATTAAGTCTCTAGTTAAAAGGGGTACTGAGATTCACTACTTCAAGGAGCCACCTGCTTTGACCAATTCTTTCTTTCTTTTTTTTTTTTTTTTTTTTTGAGACAGAGTCTTGCTCTGTTGCCCGGGCTAGAGTGCAGTGGCATGATCTCGGCTCACTTCGAACTCTGCTTCCTGTATTCAAGTGATTCTCCTGCCTCAGCCTCCCAAAGTGCTGGGATTACAGGCATGCGCCCCCACGCCTGGCCAACCAATTCTTTATTTTCTTTAGGTCATTAAAACAAATTATTATTATGTATGTGCCTTTAATTCTAGTTTTATTTGTGTGGCTTTCTGTATATAATCCATTAATTACTAAATTATAACTTGCATAAAAGAGAGTCAATATTTATTTCTTAGCCTTTTGACATTTATGATAGCACTTATAGATTCTGCAGTTTTTAAATAAGAGCTTTGAAATAATGAAATAATAAACAGTAATTTTTAAAATTTTATTTTATCTTGAAGTTTTAATAAAAATATAATCATTCAGTGGTATTCATGATATTTACAAAGGAATTCAACATAAACATCCAGTTGTTATAAATCATAACTTTATGTACATAAGTGAAAGCTGAAGCTTTCAAATAAATCAGGCATAGGAAACTAGGATTACAATAAGAAATGCCTGAGTCAAGATACCAAGTTCTTTTCTTGCATACAGTTGGTATGGATATAAGTTATTACAGCCACTATAGAAAACAGTGTGGAGGTTCCTCAAAAAACTAAAAATAGGACTACCATATGATCCAGAAATCCCATATTCAAAGGAAGAAAAACAGCATATCAAAGATATATCTACACTCCTATGTTTATTGCATCACTATTCACAATTGCCAAGATACCAAATAAATCTTTGTTAATCAATGAATGAATGAATAAAGAAAATGGGTTTAACTGGAATATACATGATATATTATTCAGCCATAAATAATGAAATCCTGTTATTTGCAACAACATGGCAGAACTGGAGGACATTATATTAAATGAAATAAGCCAGACACAGAAAGTAAAATATAGCATGTTCTCAAAAAAATGACCTCATGGCTCTAACATTGATGTTTATTACTATTGAGTAATGTTTATCATACTATCCTTATTTTACCAAGAAGGAATATTGGCATTGGTATACTTGAATTGATTTTCTATTTTTAATTTGAAAATTTATAAACATTTGCATGCAAAGCAAAAGCGTTCTTAAATGATGCAAAGCAGGTTAAGCTTTGCTACAGGGACCGTAAACAAAATAGGAATTCATGGAAGTTTGTAAGATGTGACTCTTCAATCTTTGGACCCAGAGTTAAGTGTGATTCCAATGAAAGAAAGGATTTAAGCATTACTCAAGCTCCTCAGAACTCTAATTAGCTCATCAGATTGTTCAGTTGTTACCTCCTATTTTATTATGCAGCAATAAGACACAATAGGATAACCAAGTCAAAAAGATTACAGCATACATCTGGTGAAGTTGCAAGTCATGAATCAGAAGAAAAGATGACTGCTTATTACAAGAATTGCGATAATGACTTCATAATTTACTGTCTAGAGCAGCTCCTTGCCATCATTATACAAATAAAAAGTAAGTCAGTGGACATATTTGGAGTTCTAGTATGATGCCTGACATGACTGACAACAAATTATAAACTTTGAATTGTTTATTGTGAGTGTAATCTCAGTTCTTACTTAATAAAATTCTTCCTGTGCCTACCATGGTTAAAAAATATATGCTAAAAATTTTGCATGGAACAGATTTTGGTATTTTTTTATCATCAAAATACTCCTTCTTTGTCCCTTTGTTCACCTTTTTAGTGTGTAATTCCTGAGGCTATAAGAAAAAGAAAATGCAGAATGCTATTACTGAATATAACTCCCATTTGACCTGATAAATCCCTGGCTACACAGAAGGAAACCAGGATGAACTAAGGGTAACAGAATCTTCTTATATTTGAGCACCAGATAAATAGAAAATAGAAAAAAAATAGAACAAGATGAGACATAATACTATTCAAATAAAATTACTATAGGGACATAAGGAGAAAGAATATAATTATCTAGTCTATATCCTATTCAGGAAACTGAGTTTAGCTTCACTAATCCCAATACAAATTGTCACTATATTTTCAAAATCATGCAATTTGCCTCTGGTGATGGACAGATATCAACATTAGTGCATTTCCTTTATCGCCTTAATAGTGCATTTAATCTGCCTTCCTAGCTTTACTTAATGATTTTGAATAACTTCATTGCAGTTAAGAAAATGCAAAATAAATGGATTCTGTCTTCTATAATAAAATAACTCTTTATTGTATAACACTTAGGGAGTTTGGAGAATGTTTTTACAAATTCTATAGTGAAGAGATAGACTGGCGTTAGCTAATAGCATCATCATAACATAAAAATTATTCCTTGTCTATATATGAAAGCCTAAAGGTTTAATTACTTAGAAAGATCATATTAAAAACACATTTGTAAAGTAAAGATGTGCTTTCTTTTTTGTTAAAATTACATCTTAACTAGTACCAAAATAACTAATCCTTAGTTATTATAACAATACAAACATTTAGGGTTTATATCACAATATTTGGGATAATTTCAGCATGATTTTGTGGGAGAAAACCACTGAAGTAATAACAATATGGAGTTCTCCTAAATTTAGTCAGAATGATTCGTCAATGGAATTGAGTGGAATTATCAAAATCCATGATTCTTATTTCTTATGTTCTCTGAACTCTGAATCTTATTTTATCATTTTTTTCCTTTTATCCTCTAAAAAGATGCTTGTAATTTTCTTCTTTCCTGATCAGAAATCCATTCTGAATGTCCAAGTTTGTCAGAAAATACGTGGCTATGAGTTGCTCTCTCACTATTCTGTTTTAATGGTATATTTAGGACAATAAATAATATTGGAATGAATGGTTATGAATCTTACATTAAAAAGCAGATCTAATACTTCTAACACCTTGCAGATGGAGGTGAGGTTTAGGCAAAATTTAAATGGTGGTCCTTTTGAATGATGCTTCTGAGATCCATAGTGGTTCTCATTAAGAAAATAAAAAATTAGATGAAGATTGTAATGGCATTATGCAAAGAGGAATCCCAGAATATGAAAAATAATTTGTCTGTGAAATTTAGTTGCTTCTATAGTGAGTAAGGGTAATTGTGCATTTCCTGAAACAAGATAATGTATTAGCAACTAGACCTCAAAGAAGTGCAGAAACCATCCATGTTGCTGGGCTGTATAATTTTTGATATAGATATTACACCCATATTTGGTCTTTTAGGAGCAGAAAGTCTTTTTGACTTGAACTACTTTGGAGTCACATATTTGGGACTTAGTCAAAAATGAGTTATCCGTAGTTTCACATGAGAAAAGTAAGATCCTTAGCTATTAAACGAGACAGTGCTTTTATTTTTTTAATTTTTTAATTTTTTTAATGTTGAAAACCTGTATTTAACTTTTCAAGTTTAAAAAATTAAATGTTGAAAAGATACAAACAATTTTCAGTGCTTTTAAATGACAACTCAGAGAAAAGAGTCAGAAACAAGTCCAGGCAAGAGGTGAAGTTTTTACTCAATAAGAGTGTATTTAAAGTTACCCAATTTTTCTTTTTTATTTATTTAACAAACACTTATAAAGGACTTACTATCATTGGGGACTCTCATAAGTGCTATGTAAATATTAAACATGAAATGAGGAACGTGAGGGCTTAAAAGATTAAGTAGCCAAGCACCAAGCACACACCTCTAATGAATGGCAGAGTTGGGAGACTCAGAAGATGTAACATCAGTTTGAGTCAGTAGGTTACCACTATGCTATGCTGCCTCATAGATAAAGAACTTTCAAAAATTTTTTTCTAACATTTTATTTCCTTGTAAATAAATCGAGGATGAAATACCATGTGTTAGCTTTCCCTCTCAGTTGGAACAGCACATGTAAAAGGACTTCATAATGAACATTTTATTGCTCATAGTAGTAATTAATTAAAATGGAAAATAATTATTAATTTGTCATGCTGCACTAGATACTTTGAAAATCATTACATATTCATCATTTCATTTAATACAGCAATCCTATGAGCTCGGGAGGGTATGCTATCATGCTGTTTTACAGATAGTAAAATTTTGCTCTGTTTACAATTAGTGTTTATAATACTTATAATTCTTCTGATATTAAACAGAAGGTATTCAAAGATAGATATTTTCAAGAGTGGTGTTATTATACACTTATCTGTCACCATTATTTCTTCAGTGTTGTAATGAATTTGTTAGTACTAATAATTAAATTTCCAAATTTCTCTAGAGATGCACTTTTAACAATATGAATTACATCATAAATGGCATTATTCTTATAGCAACCTGAAACTTCTTCATTTGCATTCTAACATGCTTCGTTGAGTGGAAGAAAAATAATAGGGTAAAAACTAGAATGCTAGAAATGGCATATATTAATACATCACATCAGATGAATTATTCTGTTGAATATATGCTGATGTATTTTTTAAAAGCATAAAAATACAAAGATATCCCCATCACGTTCTTTTAGAAATTAATATTCATAGACAGCATTGTATTTGGGATTCACTGCTGCTTCTCTGGTATTTATGTGCCTATAATCCATCTGGTCCTTTTACCAATTCTTAATAAGCTTCAATATATTTGGTAAGAATAAATGTCTGACAGCTTGTAGCCAAACCAATAATGTCATAATACCAAAATACCTAGTGTGTATCCCAATTTGATTTTATTAAAATAATTGTAATTTATTTTCAACCAATATTTTAAGGGGCAACTTTTTTAATGTCTTAAGATAGGTTTTGAGAGTGTTTTATCATTGTTTATATTCTGATTGGGAAGACAAGTCTATTTTTTTAGTATGATGTGTTAAGTACCAAAGATACGGAAGTTCGTATACAGAGTTCAATCTTTAAAGAGGATAGATAACTCGATTTGGGAAGATCATGACATGCTTCCCTGAGGTAGTGATAGTAGACTGAGATTCAGTATGTGGACAGTAATTTCACATATAGATACAACTATAACAGTAATAAACATATTTTATGATATGTTGTATTACGGAATAAAATTGATCTTATACAATGTTACCCTAATCTTCCGTAAATGCTAATCGTTTTTCCTCAAAAAATTACACAGGCATACATGAATTCAAAGTTGCAAACTCACATTTAAGGGGTTCATGCCCAACGAGAACTCCCTTCCCAGCTATGAAGTCCTTATAATTTAAAAAAGGGTCATGAAAGAGTGAATGAGATAGAAAATAGTAGGATTTTTATCTTTATACTTCTTGATATCACTTTATTTCTAAATAACCACATAAAATACAATTGAAAAAAACCTCAAGCTCAGATTATTCTTTCTCTCACTGCATTCAAAGATTATTTCAAAAAACTCAAATCAGTTCATGTTGCTTCTTTGCATGAAGAGTATACCAGCTTCATAATGGCCCCAAATTGAAGTCTCAACTCAAGTGCTTGGTATATGAAACTATTACAGCCTGATTCTTAGCATCATTTTTGGCTCTTCCCACATATTCTGTCGTAATAGTCACATTAAGCTTTAAATTCCTCCCTAAATATGCTATATTTTTTCCTAATTCCATGTCTTTTTACATGTATGCTGATCACTTAGCCTAGAATATTCTAACTTTTGCTTGATAACTTTACAGGACAAAGCTTAAAGTTTTCATTTTACATTGTCCCACAGTTCTTGCATCTTCTATTCTGTAGTTTTTCAATTTTATTCATTTTGTTGATTTATTTTATTTAGTTCTGAAGAAAAATCTGTTGATCTATCTTCAAGTTCACCGATTCCTTGTCTTGTCACATCTACTGATAAGCCCGTCAAAAAAAAAAAAATTCTTCATTCTTGTTACTGTGGATTTGATTCCCAGAATTTCCTCTGGATTATTTCTTAGAATTTTAATTTTCTGCTTACATTACCCATCTTGCATATTGTCATATTTTTTTGTTTTGCATATTGTCAACTTTTTTTGTTAGGGATTTTAACATATTAACCATAGTTATTTTAAGTTCTCTGTGTGATAATCCCAACATTTGTGTTATATCTGAGTCTGGATTTGATGACTGTTTTGTATCTTCTGACTTGATTTATCTTGCCTTTTGTCACACCTTATAAGGTTTTGTTGAAAGCTGTTGTGTCAGGTAACAGGAAATATGATAAATAGGACTTTGGTTTATTTTAATCTTGCTAGGTGCTTATCTATATTTAATATTGCTGTAATCATAGGAAGCAGAGGCTTCAAATTCCTTGAATATTCTTAGTTTTGTTTGCCCTCTTGCTATGGTGCTTCCCTGTGCACTACTATCCAAAGAGACTGTGTCTTGCATCTCTTTTTTTCTCATTATCTACTGATATTATACTGTGCCCCTGACGGTGTGATAAAGTGTGGAGTAGGGGAAGTTTCTATAATATTCTGGATTTTCATTTCTTTACCAAGGCTTTATCTTGAGATTGTGGCCTTCACAAGCATTTCTGTCCCTCTTCGGGTATTATGGATAGCTGTTTTTCCACCTGCTGGTTACTTCATTTCCTGGATGCAATAGTCCTACCTATTTTCTAGAAACCCTGGTGTTGGTTAACCCTTTTTTTTTAATCTTTCTCTTGGGTAGCACAGGAAGGCTAAGTGAGGAGCCAAGTGAGAAATGCCCCCTTCACCATAGCTAAGATAAAGTTCTCTCATAATTTTGTGTTTAGGCAAAGCCCTTTCTCCTGGAAAGTAAGCATTTGTAATGAAGAACACTCTGACATGCTTTACAAAGGTTATTCCTCCCTTCTCCCTCCCAGGATTACAAAGAGGTCTTTTTCAACTTCCAAATGTGAGAACCTGGTGGAATTTTAAGACTATGGATTCCCAAGACTTTTTGCCCCTGAAGTTAGTCCATACAAAAGTTCCAACAATTTATCAAAATTACTATTCACATGTTTCTTTCCAAATTTTGAGATGGTGATTTTCCCTCTGATGAGTCCAAGAAAAGTTATTCATTTTCAATTTGTAATTGCTTTTGTTCTTGTTGTAAAAGTGAGAGTGACAACTACTAAGGTTATTCTACATTGAGGTTTGATATGGTTTGGCTCTCTGTCCCCACTGAAATCTCACCTTGTAGCTCCCATAATTCCCACATGTTGTGGGAGGGATCTGGTGGGAGAAGATTGAATCATGGGGTTGAGTCTTTCCCATGTTGTTCTCATGACACTGAATGGGTCTCATAGAGATCTGGTGGTTTTAAAAAAGGGAGTTTCTCTGCACAAGCTCTCTTTTTGCCTGCTGCCATCCACATAAGATGTCACTTGCTCCTCCTTGCCTTCCTCTGTGATTGTGAGCCCTCCCCAGCCATGTGGAACTGTAAATCCAATAAATCTCTTTCTTTTGTAAATTGCTCAGTCTTGGGCATATCTTTATCAGCAGCATGAAAACAAACTAATACAGTAAATTTGTACCAGGAGTGGGGTGCTACTGAAAAGATACTTGAAAATGTGGAAGTGACTTTGGAACTGGGTAACAGGCAGAGGTGGGAACAGTTTCGAGGACTCAGAAGACAGGAAAATGTGAGCAAGTTTGGAACTTCCTAGAGACTGGGCGAATGGCTTTGACCAAAAGCCTGATAGTGATATGGACAATAAGGTCCAGGCTGAGTTGGTCTCAGACGAAGATGAGGATCTTTTTGGGAACTGGAGCAAAGGTGACTCTTGTTATGTTTTAGCAAAGAGACTGGTGGCATTTATATACATGTGGAATGTTGACCTTGAGAGAGACGATTTAGGGTATCTGGTGCAATAAATTTCTGAGCAGTAAAGCATTCAAGAGGGGATTTGGGTGCTATCAAAGAAATTCAGTTTTAAAAGGAAAACAGAGCATAAAAGTTTGGAAAATTTGCTGCCTGAAAATGTGATAAAAAGAAAATCCCATTTTCTGAGGAGAAATCCAAGCCAGCTGCAGAAATTTGCATAAGTAACAAGGATCCAAATGTCAATCTCCAAGCCAATGGGACAGATGTCTCCAAGGCATGTCAGAGGTCTTCATGGCAAGCTCCCACATCAGAGGCCTGGAGGTTTGGGAGGAAAAAGTGGTTTTGTGGGTCGGGCCCAGGGTCCCTATGCTATGTGCAGCCTAGGGACTTGATGTCCTGCATCCCAGGCACTCCAACTGTGGCTGTAAGGGGCCAACAGAACTCAGACTGTGGCTTCAGAGAGTGCAAGACCCAAGCCTTGGCAGCTTCCACATGGTGTTGAACCTGCCAGTG
The DNA here is from genome assembly GCF_000001405.40 of Homo sapiens. Classification (NCBI taxonomy): domain Eukaryota; kingdom Metazoa; phylum Chordata; class Mammalia; order Primates; family Hominidae; genus Homo; species Homo sapiens. The sequence continues at coordinate 29,787,524 of NC_000004.12, read as the reverse complement.
TACAGAAGTCAGGAATTGAGGTTTGGGAACCTCTGCCTAGATTTTGGAAGATGTATGGAAACTCCTGGATGCCCAGGAAGAAGTTTGCCATAGGGGCGAGGTCCTCATGGAGAAACTCTGCTAGGGCAGTGCAGACGGGAAATGTGGGGTTGGAGCCCCCACACAGAGTCCCTACTGGGGCACAGCCTAGTGGAGCTGTGAGAAAAGGGCTACTGTCCTCTAGACCCCAGAATGGTAGATCCACTGACAGCTTGCACTGTGTGCCTGGAAAAGCCACAGACACTCAATACCAGTCTGTGAAGGCAGCCAGGAGGGAGCCTGTACCTTGCAAAGCCACAGAGGCAGAGCTGCCCAAGACTACAGGAACGGACCTTTTGCATCATCGTGACCTGGATGTGAGAGATGGAGTCAAAGGAGATTATTTCAGAGCTTTAATATTTGACTGCTCTGCTGGATTTTGGACTTGCATGGGGCCTGTAGTCCCTTTGTTTTGGCCAATTTCTCCCATTTGGAACAGCTGTATTTACCCAATGCCTGGACCCCCATTGTATCTACAAAGTAACTAACTTGCTTTTGATTTTACAGGCTTATAGGCAGAAGGGGCTTGCCTTGGTGTGGATGAGACTTTGGACTGTGGACTTTTGAGTTAATGTTGAAATTAGTTAAGACTTTGGAAGACTATTGGGAAGGCATGACTGCCTTTGAAATGTGTAGATAAGAGATTTGGGAGGGGCCAGGGGTGGAATGATATGATTTGGCTGTGTCCCTACCTAAATCTCATTTTGTAGCTCCTGTAATTCCCATGTGTTGTGGGACAGCTGCAGCACTATGGCCCCTTTCTATGACATCCCCGAAGGACAGCAGTGAATGGAAATTTTCCCACTGGGCAGAATTTTGGACAGTGTGCCCGGTTGTGCATTTTGCATGGAAGGAGTAATGGCCAGATGTACAATTATATACTGATTCATCGGCTGTAGCCAATGGTTTGGCTGGTTGGTCAGGGACTTAGAAGAAGCATGATTGGAAAATTGGTGACAAAGAAATTTGGGGAAGACGTATGTGGATGGACCTCTCTGAATGGTCAAAAATGTGAAGATATTTGTATCCCATGTGAGTGCTCACCAACGGGTGATCTCAGCAGAGAAGGATTTTAATAATCAAGTGGATAGGATGACCCGTTCTGTGGACACCACTCAGCCTCTTTCTCCAGCCGCCCCTGTCATCACCCAAAGGGCCCATGAACACAGTGGCCATGGTGGCATGGATGGAGGTTACACTTGGGCTCAGCAACATGGACTTCCACTCACCAAGGCTGACCTGGCTATGGTCACTGCTGAGTGCCCAATTTGCCAGCAGTAGAGACCAACACTGAGCCCTCGATATGGCACCATTCCTTTGGGTGATCAGCCAGTTATCTGGTGGCAGGTTGATTATACTGGACCCTTTCCATCGTGGAAAGGGCAGAGGTTTTTCCTCACTGGAATAGACACTTACTCTGGATATGGGTTTGCCTATCCTGCACACAATACTTCTGCCAAGACTACCATCTGTGGACTCATGGAATGCCTTATCCACTGTATTCCACACAGCATTGCCTCTGACCAGGGCACTCACTTTATGGCTAAAGAAGTGTGGCAGTGGGCTCATGCTCATGGAATTAACTGGTCTTACCATGTCTCCCATCATCCTGAAGCAGCTGGATTGATAGAATTGTGGAATGGCCTTTTGAAGTCACAATAACAATGCCAACTAGGTGATAATACTTTGCAAGGCTGGGTCAAAGTTCTCCAGAAGGCCATGTATGCTCTGAATCAGCATCCAATATATGGTACTGTTTCTCCCATAGCCAGGATTCATGGGTCCAGGAATCAAGGGGTGGAAGAGGAAATGGCACCACTCACCATCACCTCTAGTGATCCACTGGCAAAATTTTTGCTTCCTTTTCCCACAACATTACGTTCTACTGGCCTAGAGGTCTTAGCTCCAGAGGGAGGAACACTGCCACCAGGTGAGACAACGATGATTCTATTCAACTGGAAGTTAAATTTCCACCTGGACACTTTGGGTTCCTCCTACCTTTAAGTCAACAGGATAAGAAAAGAGTTACAGTGTTGGCTGGGGTGATTGACCTGGACTATCAAGATGAAATCAGTCTACTATTATACAATGGAGGTAAGGAAAACAATGCATGAAATACAGGAGATCTAAAAGGGCATCTCTTAGTATTACCATGCCCTGTGATTAAGGTCAATGGGAAAATACAACAGTCCAATCCAGGTCAGACTGCAAATAGCCTATGCCCTTTAGGAATGACGCTTTGGGTCACTTCACCAGGCAAAAACCATGACCTACTGAGGTACTTGCTGAAGGCAAATGGAATACAGAATGGATAGTAGATAGTAGAAGAAGATAGTTATCAATACCAGTTACGACAACGTCAACAGTTGCAGAAGTGAGGACTGTAGTTGTCATCAGTATTTCCTCCTCCTTTTGTTAAAAACGTTTGTGCATGTATACACTTGTACTAAGAAAATACCTACATTTTATTTCCTTTTTCCTATATCATGTGACATAAGATTTATTGACTTCATATCAGCATTTGACTATTGTTAACTTTATGTAATAGCATTTGGGTTGGGGATTTGTGCGTTTCTGGTTGTACAAAGGATAGCTGTATTATGTTAGGCATAATTATGACCTTATTATTGTCTTTGTTTGAAGATTATGTATGATCTCAGGAGATGCGTATGGGTTCAAGTTGACAGGGGGTGGACTTGTGATAGTTAACACAGAGTATCAACTTTATTGGATAGAAGGATGCTGATTTTTTATCCTGGGTGTGTCTGCTAGGATGTTGCCAAAGGAGATCAACATTTGAGTCAGTCGGTTGGGAAAGGCAGACTCACCCTTAATCTGGGTGGGCACCAACTAATTAGCTGCCAGCGCAGCCAGGGTTTAAAGCAGGCAGAAAAATGTGAAAGGATGATACTGGCCTAGCCTCTTGGCCTACATTTTTATCCCATGATGGATGCTTCTTGCCCTCGAACATTGGACTCCAGGTTCTTCAGCTTTGGGACTGGGACTGGCTTCCTTGCTCCTTAGCTTGTAGACAGCCTATTGTGGGACCCTGTGATCATGTGTTCTTACTGCTTAATAAAATCCCCTTTCTTTATATATCTATACAATTAGTTTTGCTGTTCCGGAGAACCATGACAAACACAGAGTTGAAATTGAAAATCCAAGGTTGCTTTTTAAACTTTCTCACTTTTCTAATAAAATTCACTATCTTTTTTGTCTTCTATACAATTCCTACCAACAAATTATCCCATAACAGAATTTATTACATTTCTCAGTTGTTGATATAAGATATGTCTGTTTATATAATCTGGAAATTATCAAAGATCACTCAAATGAAAATCAGCAGAGGTTATTTATACAGAGCTAGCAAGGGAATCTGTGCCCCTCACCTGAGTTTGGTAACAATTCAAAATAGGCAGGAGAATATAAAAGCTTTATGGTTAAAAAAAAAAAAAAAAAAGAAGCAGCGTTGGTTGAACTCTGATTGGAGGTGGTTGGCATAGAAAATCTGGAGGTAGGTTAACAAGAACCCAGGCTCCTCTGTGATTATCTGGGGAGCATATCTGGCTTACTCTCGTTGATCCTAGATTGGAACTAAAGGCAGAAGTTAGAGAAGCTGCCTCTCAGTGACTAAGTCCTGACCATTTGGAGCCAATTGCTGCAGTGGTTGTAGTTTGGCTTTCTAGACTAGTTTCTGCAGAGATCGTGGCCCAGATTGTGTTTTTATGCCTGTTCTGGTCATTGTCCATTTCAATATTTAGTCTCTCAGTGAACATCATCCCCCTCTTAAAGGGCAGTCTTATTATCTTCTCAGTGACTAGTCTACAGCTAGAGCAAAGTACTTACATGATTGATATATATTTGTTGAAGGCATGAATTAATTCATAAATTAATAATTTATTTTATTGTCACAATAACTTTGCAAGGTTTTCAAGATTAATACTAATGTGCCAATTTATTTTAGATTAACAAACTGGAGTCCCTAAATTCTAAAACAGAACCATAATAAATGTTTAGGTCCATGTTGAACATGGGTTTGTTTTCATGTGTTACCTTTAATATTTATCCCAGAAACATTCATATTATAATTATTACATATCTACTATGTGCCAGTCTCAGCACTGTACATACTCACTTTTATTATTTAACTTTCTTTTATAAAGTATTAATAATAAAAATATTTATTATTTAACTTTCTCTCATAAAATATTTATATTAATATTTAACATATTAATATAAAATATTAATGAAGTTTGTATACAAATATTATTTAGAAATAAATCAAAGGATTTTTTAATTTCACTAGATGTTATATCAATATCTAATTACAAAGAACATCTGATTATTCAATTAAATAATTTTAATAATTAATGCAAAGCAGGATTTTATATTATTCTTTACCTCAATTTTTTTGCCAAATTTTAATTGACACGTTATTATGGGAAACAGTGTATGTAATACTGTATGCTTCCATAATGTCACCTATTCCTTCTCTAGAGTATCTTTCCCTTTTCATCATATACATTACGCCTTTTTCTCCATTTTTCTCTCTGTCTTTCTCTATCTCCTCCCCTAAATGTATCTTTCTATATTCTTTTATTAGTGCAAAGATACGACAGATTGAGAAAACCTCTACACCACTATAAGCTTAAAAACAACAGTAATAACAATCACAAAAGCAACATGCTAGTAAACATTATGTGGGCTTTACTAGTGGTTCTAAGAGTCTACAAACACTCCAAACACACCTATTAACAGGAGGCTAGTATTATGTAGAGCACTTTAGTTTAGGGAAAATTACTTGCCTCATTGTACACATAAAGAGGCACAAAATGCTGAAAGTTTTATGTGTAGTATGTAAGGATTGTAGAGACCAAGAATGAGCCATATTAACAGGCGAAAAGAGGATCAAAAACTAGTAAATTATATAATAAAGGGTAGAAGGAAATGTGATTTATTAAATTGTTTTATTAAAATAAGACTGTTATAAGGTAGTTGGGCCTATTTACTTATCTGTAGCCTAATCATGACTTAAAACACTGTAATCACTTCCTTTTTATGAACTGTGTTTGTAGATGATGTCCCAGGAGAGAAGAGATCGTAATAGTAGCAGCAAATACAGACCAACTCATCTCATATCGACAGATTTTTCGGATCTGTAAAAATCCACACATTCAATGGATCCCCTGTGACAAACAAGTGATAGAAAAAAAGCAAACATTTTAAGCCAAAACAAATAAAAACTAGCCTTGCAGCTCCATTTCATTCAAAAAGCTTCCCTATAAATTAGAGCAATCTGGTCTCGAGGAAACTTGTTCTCCACTCTCAGAGGCTAAACGACATTAAAATTTAACAAATAGAAGGAACTATAAGGCCTGAGGACTGTCCTTGATCAAATATCCAATATCCCTTTCATTTACTGTAAACAGGTAAATTCTGGTTAATCCTAGATGGATTGAAAGCAGCAGGAAACTTAAATATGCAATTCATGCTGAAAAGACTCTTCCTGCAGGCACACTCAGAAAGAACAAATGGTATTTATTTTCAGCAGGCTCAATATTGGTTCTATGGAAGCAGAGGGGGAAATATACATATGGATAAACCACAGATAGAATATCTGAAAATATCTGCTTTCTTTTCAAAAAGGTTGGCATTTTAAGGACAACATTTTGAAAAATGTACTAATTTTGTTCCCAGAGGGTCACAAAACCCAAGAGTGACTGAATCTACTACCCCTGACAGAGGAATCTGACTGCCTTTACTCAGCCTGTTCTCCCTTAGGAGTGAGCCATAGGGATGGTGGGGCACTGGCAATCTTAGGGTAGACCCTCTGGGCTGTAAAGAACAACTGGAGTTCATAAATCAAATGGCAGAAATAAAGTACGTATGGCAGAATTCAAGGTCAAATAAAAACTCTGAAACTGTACATCATAGCAACAATAACATTCACTATTTAAAAAGTATCAGCAGGTGCGAGGTATTACACTGAGCACCTTAGATTAGGTATCATGACTCTCCTCAGTTTATAGATAAAGAGGCACCATTTGGTGAAGATTGTACGTGTAGTATGTAATAATTAGAGAGACCAAGCATGAGCCATATTAAAGAGAGAAAAGAGGTTCTGAAACTATGAAATTATGTAATAAAGGGCAGAAGAAAATGTGATAAAACTTCAGCAATTCTGGAAATAGAATATAGGAACTAAGAAGACTATCAGCATCTAGACAGAGAAAGATAGCAAGACGAAAAAAAGTTGTTCAGTAACATATTTTATTTCTAATTGACATATTTTCCATATATTATCCATTAAGGATTACACACACACACAGGCACACACATGCACACACACACACACACACACACAGCTGTCTCTCAGTATCCATGGGGAACTGGTTTCAGGATCCTCTGTGGATACTCAAATCCATGAATGCCCAAATTCTTTATATAAATTGAGGTAGTATGTGCAAATTACCTAAACACACCCTCCCATATACTTCACATTATCTCTAGATTACTTATAATACCTAATACAGAGTGAAAGGTTGTACAAAAATAGTTGTTTTACTGCATTTTTAGGGAAAAATAATGAGAAAAAAATTCTGCACATGTTCCATACAAAAGCATCTGTGCATTTTTTTTACGTATTTTTGATTCACACTTGATTGCATTCATTGATGGGATACCCACAAATGCAGAGGGCTGACTGAGTATATATTAATGCTGATAAAGGTAAATCAGAGTCATGGATAAAACACTCTGTTCCATTTGTATGAATAGAAGTTACACTTCTTCAGAGTGAAAAAACAGTGGCTCTGGCATGTGAAAGTTAGCACACTTGTCCTACCTAAGTTCATGGACGACAATCACCAAATTTTTGGCTAATTCATTCTCGTAGTAGAATGGTCCCAAGATCTGCAGTCATTTCAAGATGCTTTTTATTCAGTGTGATGAGCTTCCAAGTACTTGTTAATAGTTTAAGGACATGTGAATCCATGAAGACTGGAAAAAAATGTATATTTTCATATAATCTTTTATAAAGAACATTTGAAAAGATTGTGTTTTAGGATTTTTGTTCCAGATCTAGTTTAGACACTTATTAGCTGTTTCAATTTGAACAAGATACGTGATGTACTGGAGTTTCATTTTCTGTACTAGTATATAGAAGATGAGGATGCTTCCTAGAATATGGGGATGCTGTTAGAATTCAACAATTTAAGTCAAGTAAAAAAACCTTGTACATTTTAAAGAATATATACATGGTGGTCATTACTATATTGAAAATATTGATTTTAAGAACTACACAAAGTCATTATTTTCAGAAAAAAATCAAATAAATAGAGAAGACACAAGGGAAAGCATAGTAAATATTGTTATATAGCCAAAGATTCCATACATAAAATATCCCAGTAATCTGCTTTCTCTGAACTGAAATTCAGTTAGTCACATGTGGATATTTAAAGATCTTACAGGTATAAAGTGCTCTTGAGGATGTGCCAAATCACAATTTAAAAAATCCTTCTGGAGAAGAAAACTGAATAAATAGAAAAAATGGAAAAGTACAAAGAGAAGAAAATAAAATAAGAAATGGGTAAAAAAAAAAAGTAGATATTGACTCAATATTTATAAAGAAAGCAAAAGAGATGAGATGCAGAAGGTCTAGCCAAAAATCTCCTTGTGACCGCTTATTGCTTTAAAATGAGAGAAATATTCTATTAAAGTTTATAAATATTAGAATAAGCAGTAAGCAATAGAATAAGTTTGAAATACTAGACAGGCAGCTGATACTTAGTTCTCAAGGTCTAGCCCTCTATTGAGTCATTGGTGAATAGTGGAGAAGAATTTGTTCTTTCCATTACAAAGAAGCAAACATCCTTCTCAAGCTTGTAGTTTCTCAAGCTACATTTTGTGCTCAATTATTACTTATGACTTTTAAAAGAGTTAGCTGGAAGTGAAAAAACTTTTTTCTATAGCAGCTGTAGTCATCCAGGAAAAATTAAAATGTTCACTTAGTCTTAGAGACAAAGCCCATGTTGATATTAAATTAGGATTTTCAAATGGAGTGAAAAATTTTTTGGCAAAAACTTGAGCAGTGAAATTATGTTGACCTTCACTGAGAAGAAATATTGAGTCCAAACTCCCTAAATGTTAACTTTTGAACCAAATTAGTGTTTAGAATGATTATAATAATTTGATGTTTCTGCTAATAGTTTTTGTATAACAGCAGCATATTTGACCTTTTTAAAATGTCAGAAATAATATTTAATATTAATATGCTCTTCAGCCACTTTAAACACTCAGGTAATATTTAATATTAAAAATAATAATCTTGATATTTGTACTCAAAATGTCATCATATATTGCTGAAGGATGATTCAATGTCTCTCTAAAATTGATGAATTCAAATATTCCTTCCACAAAGTGGTTTAGGAATTGGAATGGATAAAAGTAATTTATTTTTGTAGAAATCAAGTAGACTGTACTCAACATAAAGTGAAGTGCAATGAAGCCCATTTACATTAATGCAGTTTTTATTGTGGGTATAATGGTAGTTTAGAACATGAATAGTTGGAAAGAAAAATCTATCTTAGTGTTGACATCCGAGCCCCTAAGTAAAAAATTCAGGGAATGCTTGTAACAATGAAGCTTAGGAGAATATTAGTTGTCTTAGTCCATTTTCTGTGGCCTTAACAGAATACCACAGATGGGGTAATTTAGAAGCAATAGAAGTTTATTTTGTCTTACAGTTCTGGAGGCAGAGAGGGTCAAGATTTGGCAGCTAAATCTAGTCGGCTTCAGGTGAGGGCCTTGTGCTCAGTCATCACATAGAAGAGAAATAGCAGGGAAAGCAGTCATGCAACAGGATCAAAACACGAGCAACAGCCTAGCCTTATAATACTCTGCTTTCTAGGTCACTAATCCAGTCCCAGGAGTGTGAGAACCCACACGTTCCTGCAGAATTAACCCAGTCCTGTGAGAGTGACATTATTCCCTCTTAACAACCTAATCAACTCCCTACACCACCACACAGGGGAATGAATTCCCAGCGTGTGAATTCTGGAGGCACACTCAAACCACGACACTAGTTAAGATAAAATTTCAAGTAATTTTGTCTTTATGTAAACAATATATTGAATTTTTGTTTCACTAACTGTCACCATAAACTGCAGTTGTACATCTATAGCTAGAATCAGTTGGAAAATTTTTAATAATATGGTTCATTTGAGCACCCATCTTTATCTTATTTGAATACTACTTTAAATGGCAAGCAATTTACACGAACATTTTTTAAGGGATTCGTGCAAAATAAATACAAATGTTTCTCTTAGATACCTGACATATAAACATACATTTTTTTTTTAAAGAAAACAGCCTATGAACTATTCTGCCTACTACTATAACTTTATATCAGGAAATATCCATGTGGTGTTTATATACCTCTTTTGCGGTCTTGTGGGTAAGAATATTAACCACTCTCTCTCAGAGTGTTTGTGAAGATTAAATGAAGACATTCATGGTCAACACTTGATATATGGCTTGGTCAATAACAGATGCTCCAGGCCGGACGCCGGTGTCTCACGCCTGTAATCCCAGCACTTTGGGAGGCCAAGGCAGGAGGATCATGAGGTCAAGAGATCGAGACCATCACGGCCAACATGGTGAAACCCCGTCTCTACTAAAAATACAAAATTTAGCCAGGCGTGGCGGGCGCCTGTAGTCCCAGCTACTCGGGAGGCTGAGGCAGGAGAACGGCGTGAACCCGGGAGGCGGAGCTTGTAGTGAGCCGAGATCGCGCCACTGCACTCCAGCCTGGGCGACAGTGCGAGACTCTGTCTCAAAAATAATAATCATAAATGCTACATAGAAGAAGCAAAAAATTTTTTGAGAGGCAGTGTTGACTACTTAAAAGAGTTTAAGCATGGAGTGACACACAGCTGGTATTTGCAGCCATCTTTAGAAATTACTGATAGTATGATTTAAGTAACACAATAGGATTATATTTTACAAAAAAATAATGATTTCAATTATAGTATGAACAACTGTGCTGAAGAAGGTTTTGTGATCATTAGTATTGTTCACTATTCTTTTGGGTTCTTCTTCTGGGAATACTATAGCACTTCACTTTTCTATCCATGAAATATGAGTGAAATAATGCCAGCCACTTCTAGAAGAAGACGTTACGAGCTAAGACACAACTGAACACTTTCCCTTCCCTTGTTATTGACTGCAATGCTTCTTATTTTTGGAGATTTTAAGAGTGAATTTCTGAATAAAGAATATGTGGAAGAAGTTAATTTCTATTAGCATGCTGGTTCAAACATTTGTGGAGTTCTCTTAAGGCCTGGGTGGTAGCCAGCCAGAAACTTGATGTTGAAGATAAGAAAAATGGCAAACACTGCTGTTAGTAGAAACTATTCTATGATGTGTTGGCAGAAGCTCCTGGTTGTGATGATTACCCTCAGGAACAAATTTGGTCACTCATAGGATGAACTCAAAAACAAAAGTTTAAAAATGGAGAGGGTTTCTGTTAGCTGCAGTTGGCAAGTAATTCTAGTAAATGGTAGTTGCTAAAAGTAATTAGCTAATGAGCAAACAAGAATAAAAAGGAATAGAGAGATTCCCTGAATTCGGGGATCTTTAGCATTCAAAAAGGCAGCAGATTCTTAACCCTAAAAGACAAAATAATTAAAGATTGGAGTTAGAAACAATAATTTAAATTTAGATTTCAGGTAATGGCTAAATTAAGGATATTAAGTAAGAAACCTACTTATAGGACGCAGAATTAGGAAACTACTCATTTTTTTTTCTTTTATGAATCAGAAAGGTTTGGGATATTATATTAATGTTTTACCATACAATGTTCTACCACTGTAATTTGTATGGTGGGAGAGGCAAGCAAACATGCAAATATCCTAACTTTTAGTTTATGGGTTTCTTATGTTCCCTAGAAATCTTGAAATTTCATCTTCATCCTGTGAATGAGTAGGGATTTGGATTATTACTCCTGTGTTTGGTAAGAATCAATTTTATTATATAAAGAAATGAGACCCAAATAATTGTTGAAAAATAAAGTATACATTAGAAAATTGCACTTTTCCACTGAGGAGTTCGTTATGTGGACCAAAAAATATGAACGAAAGTGGTATAAATTATTGCCAGGCAGAAGCTGACTGTGCATGGTTTTTTATGGTCCCCCCCTTCCTTTTACAGGGTGGTGATATGCTAAGTGTTGAAGCCTTTGTGCTTTGGTGTCCTGAAGTGAGGTTTACAGAGATCAGGATGAACCACAAATACAGCATGGACAGAACGTATACATGAGAAGTAAGCTCTTATTTATTTATATTAGTAAAATATCTGGTTATATTTTACAATGACATAACCTACCTCATTCTGTCTCAACGTGGGAAACAAAAGGAGACAAAACAAAAACAAAACAAATTTATGAGTATATTAAAATAAATAAGCCAGAGATAGGGTAGCCAACTAGAGTGATGGCTATATGAAAAGCAGCAAAGTTATCTAAGATGCAAAATTTGATAAAATGTAGTAATCTTTTGGAGGTAGGAGAATAAACATAGAGTCAAATGCAATATTTGAATTTATTGCTCAGATAGTTGCAGGTTAAAACTATCTAGAGAAAAAAAAAACAGAAAACATTTGAGGCATAGAAGGTGAGTGGAGGTTTGTGTTTTTGTAATTTTAGCTATCGTAGAAATATTTAGAAGACAGTTGGATATAAATTTAAAACTCAAGAAGGACAACTGTGTTAATAATGCATATCTGAGAGTCATTATTTTGATCATGGCAGTTAAGATGCAATAATTTAGCCAAGAAAACTGTGTAGGAGGAGATAAGAAGCAGATAGCCAGGAGGAAAATAAAAGCATTTATAAGGAAGCTGAAGAGTAAGCTTAGTGGCAGGAGAAAAAGCATAATAATCTGGACCACAGAACCAAACAATAAGAATATTTCATAAAAGCAAGGTGAGTTCACAGTCAGATGCTCCTGCAGGTTAAACAACGTAAGATGAGGTGGGCTTTGGGCTTTGTAGTTTGCCACATAGAGACCATAAATGTCCTTAATGAGAGCTCTTTTAATAGAGTGCTGTTGATGTTAATTGTGTTTAAAGAGTAACAGGGAATGTAAGAAAGTAGAAACAATAAGTGGTGGGCAACCCTCTCACACAGTTAAGCTATTCCAACAAGCCAGGTATACCATGTTACGTGGACTGAGTTACAGGTCAGGAGTAAGATTTTGTAATAAATTCATTTTTATCTTCTATAAGAAGAGAGGCTTAAACATGTTTAAATAATTGGATGAAGTAACCAGAAGTGAGGGACTGAAGACAGCACAAATAGGTACAAAGGGCTTCTAGAAAGAAGGATCCAGAGCGCTGGTAAAATTATTTATTTTACATAATACCAAGACTATATCTTTCCTCCAAACAGAAGTGGAGGACAAAAAGATGAATGCATAATTTTTTTATGTTTCTTGGGAAGGTGAAAATAATTTGAAAGATTATTTTCAGTTTCTATTTTCTCTTTGAAGTAAAAGGGAAGGTCATTGGTTCAGACTGAGTCAGTAATGGCCAAGTTGCATGTTTTGGTTTAAAATAGTGAGTAGGAAATCTATAAAAATACCCAGGTCATACTGAGGGATTATTCAAGGCGGAAATAATTTGAGATTTTTCTCTAGCAGTTTTAGGACTCCTGAGTATTAATGCAAATGATGCAGTTAATTTTTACTAGGGTTGTGACTGTACTAGACCAGTAAAACATGAGGTCACCAAGAGAAGGGATTCAATCATGTTAGACATTGAGCTTCAGAAGTGATAAATTAAGGGGTCTAAACAGGTTATAAAAGAAAGGAGCGAGTAACAGAAAGTACAAAAGTGAAGTGATTGAATAACTAAGTCTAATTATAGTCATAACCATACTTATGAGGGAAATATTTAAAGATATAGGAGGCTGTGGCACAGAAGGTTATTTTTGTTTGAAATTTTTAGATTTATATCATCACTGTTATGTTTGTGTGTAGATTCAGAATGTGTAATTTAGAATTGTATCTGAAGTACGATCAGACAAGATCAGACACAGAAATTCAGGTAACTTGCTGAAGATGTTTGTGAACTGCCAATAAAGAAGTTGGCTTTGGGGTTGATGCCATCTGTTTTTTAACCACTGTCTGCAACTTTCTATCCATAAGTTTACACATGGTTAAACTGTCACTAAAAAGATATTTATGAAAATCTGGCAAGGTGTTTAGAGAAAGAAACAATTGAAGTTAGCGAACATAAAGAATCATAAGAAATAAACTAGAAATTTGAAGGATGATTCTATACCCTAAAGAAAACAGCACTGAGTATTTATTCTCGGAATTATATACAAGTAATTTTTAGAGACCATCTTTCAGGATATTGTTTTTTTTTTTTTTTTTTTTTTCATTTGTTTGTCTCCCTTAGTCGCCCAGGCTGGAGTGCAATCGTGCCATCATGGCTCACTGCATCCTCCGCCTCCCGGGATAAAGCAATTCTCCCACCTCAGCCTCCCAAGTAGCTGGGATTACAGGCACCAGCTGTCATGCCAGGCTTTTTATTTATTTATTTATTTATTTATTTATTTATTTATTTATTTATTTTTGTAGAGACGGAGTTTCACCATGTTGGCCAGGCTGTTGCTGAGCTCCTGACCTCAGGTGATCTGCCCTCCTCGGACTCCCAAAGTGCTGGGATTACAGGCATGAGCCACCGCGCACAGGCATTCAACATACTTTTATTTCCATATATTTTTGTCAAACCTTTCAGTAATTTTTCTTTAGTGTCCTTTCCTTTAGTAATCTCTTTTCCCTTAAATTATAGATAATATTTCACTTCGTTCTCTGGGAAAAATATATAGAGATAAAGTTTAAAAATGGGTAATTTTTTACTGTACCTAAATTTGGGCTTTGGTAAGTTGCAAGATATCACACAAAATATTGCCAAATTCTGAAGATCAGGTATAATAACAGAGATCACTTTTATCAGAACACTTAAATAATGTATTTAGTCTGCACAAAATAAAATGTTAGCATTCAAGAAAATGAAAAGTTCAAACCTAACATATTTTACAAGAAGATCATTCCATCACTATTAGACTAAAAAAGGTCTAATATTTAATGGTAATTCTAATGGTCCAGTCTGAAATAAACACAACCTTATCTTTTTAGTTACAAAAAGTAAATATTTATTAACTCGCAAAAAGTTTAGAAAATTAAAACTTTTTCTATAATATTTTTCATCTGGCTTGATAGATATAAACAAAGCTAAAAGTAAAAACTTTTTGTGAGTTAATTTTCACTTCAGTTCAATAAACATTTATCGAGGAGCTAATAAGCCATGTCTGATATGACGCAATGCTAAAATCAGTAAGATATCGGACCTCAAGGAGTTGGTAGTCTAATGGAGGAGAAAGACACCTGTTCAGTTGGCTATACTAAAGAAATATAGTTTTCTCAGACCTAAGGGGAGGAATTAATGTTGACTGAGATAATAGGGCAATGCATCATGGAGCAGGTTACAGGACATTTGAACAATTAGTGTTGTTGAATATTATGAGTGCAGATAAAGCAAGTATGAAATACAGAGCTAAATTTGTAGTTGTGACACAGCATATCCAGAAACTTTTAACAAATATATATCTTCTCAAATTATAAAGTGAAAAAGATTCAGCAGAAGTCTGCCTAAAAGTACATGTGCCCACACATGCACGCATGCACACACACACACACACATACACACCAGATTCTATACCACTTCTCAGAAATATCAGAGAAACCACTTTACATATACCTAACACATATTTCCCTAAATGAAGTTTTGTTGTAAGGAAAGGATTCATTACTAAAAAATTGTACATAGGTTTTTTTTTTTTAATATATATACTCTAAGTTCTGGGATACATGTGCACAACGTGCAGGTTTGTTATATAGGTGTACATGTGCCATGGTGGTTTGCTGAACCCATCAACACGTCATCTACATTAGGTATTTCCCCTAATTCTATCCCTCCCCTAGCACCTCATCCCTTGATAGGCCCCGGTGTGTGACGTTCCTCCCCGTGTCCATGTGTTCTCATTGTTCAGCTCCCACTTATGAGTGAGAACATGTGGTGTTTGGTTTTCTGTTCTTGTGTTAGTTTGCTGAGAATGATGGTTTCCAGCTTAATCCATTTCCTGCAAAGGACACAAACTCATCCTTTTTATAGCTGCATAGTATTCCATGGTGTATATATGCCACATTTTCTTTATCCAGTCTATCATTGATGGCCATTTGGGTTGGTTCCAAGTCTTTATAATAAAAACTTTTATTATATTTATTTTATTATATCATATCATTCATTATATCTAGTTTATTAATAAATTTTATTATACCTATCAAGCAGATGCAAACTATTTTGAAAAATTGTATATAAAAGTTTACTTTTATCATTATTTATATCTTAATAACTTAATAGTGTAAAAAGAAATATGCACAATCGTTCTAAAGTACATTTTATTACATGAATAGTGAATTTGGTAGAAAGATATTTCATCTTGGATATGACTCTAGGTTTTATTTTGAAAATGAGTAAAAATACCTTGATATTATGTTGCACCCTTTTGGAAGATTTTAGTATAGCTCTGGGATATGTTTCAACTTTTTAAATGCATGATGATTATCAATGATGTACAAATATAACACTAGTACATTCTAAACTACAATCATGCTAATAGTCATTATATAAATACATAAGAATCATAGATTTTCTTTTATAATTACTGCAGACGAAAATGGAATTGTTCTCCCATCACCCAACTAGAAATTTCGTTCAATTTGTTTTCATCACAAAGATTACAAATGACAGATGACAGTGACCATCAGGGGAAAATTGAATAAAATTATCAGATGCGAAGTGTTAGAAGAAGAAAAGTGCAAATAGGAGAGACCTGTGTATTTAGCCTAGCTAAGCCTGGGGCAATAAGACTAATGTCCAAACATGAAAAGGCAAACTGGGGAGATAATAGTCATAATCAAAATTACTGACAGTAAGGGTTATACAAAAAATTCACAATGAAAGCAATTTTCAAAGAGGTGACATTCATTAAATAGTTTGCTCTTTGGAAGCATAAATCCAAATCATGGCCAAATAAAAAATCATTTTATTCAATCAATAAGTGCAGTAATTAGTATATTATAAAATGTATTTATTTTTATGCTTATGGTATGTGTGAGACCTGGATACTGTAAGCTTCATGTGAGTAAAGATATTTCTTCCTCTAAGGCATCACTTTATATCCTGTTTCTCTCATCTGTCTCCCGGTTCTGGTGACTTGATCCATTGCCTGCTGTAACCAATTCTGTGTGGTCACTGGCAAACTTCATTTGTACACACCCATGGTATAATCCTCTCATGTTCTACAACAGATATTCCCTGTTGATAGATAGATTCATTCCAGGCATGAATGTTTGTCTGGAATTGCAGGTTGACAGGGCAATGCTATGTATTTAGAAGGAGTGATGAAGTGGAGGGATGGAATCTGGTTTCAGAGATAGATGGGATCCTGTGGAGAAATTTCTTTTCTTCTGTAACCTAGCAGGGAAGTACTGAGAAGCGGCTGTTTACATGGTTTATTAAACACTTCAAAAAATGTGCGAGTCATCACCATGTTGGCTCTTTTATGTGTCCTCTTCCTGCCTCTGTTCTCTGAAATTTCATTCTCTAAAACACATTTAATATTTGCTTTAGGTTCTGCCCTGGAACTAGGCTAAAATGTGTGATGACCTGTAAAGCTCAGAAAAGTAAAAGGAGTTTACTTTCCTTTTTCAGGAAAGGAACTTTGCGTGGGACTGTCTTCATAGCCTTGGTGAAGACTACATGACTGAACCCATACCAATCAATGAATTATGCCTCTCGACACACAGCAAAAACATATTTTCTGTTAAGACTTATATCCCCCTGACATAATGTGTACATTCACACATGCTCTTGCCCTCTCTCTCTATCTCATATTACTGCCACTAGACTATATACTCAATGAGGCCAGAATATTTTATACATTCTTCACTGTTACAACTCTAACACCCAGAACACAGTACAGAATATATAAATAAAAGAATTCATTTACTGAGGAGATACTGTGTGCCAGGTACTCTTCTAGGTTTGGGGAAAAATATTACTAAGTAAATAAAACAGACAAATATACTTTCCTCATGGAGTTTATGTTCTGTTTAGGTAAAATGTGCAATAAACAAAGAAATAAGCGTGTGTGTGTGTGTGCACGCATGTGTATTTACATCTGTATATATGTTACATAGATACAAAATTTAAATATAACAATTATATATATGATAGTGAGAAGTACAATATGGAGTAAATAAAACAGGGAAGGGGATAAGGAGTATCTGAGGAGGAAGGACTAGATATTAATAAGTTAATTTGAATAAGTACATGGGTAAATAAATTATTGACTCAGGGATGGTCAAACTATGCTGGGTACTGTCTTTCTCCTGGTCTTGAATTTGAGTAGATAAGATATCATCACAGAACTGCTGGCCATCAACCAGAGTCTTCCGGGGGAATCTACCTGAGGTCCCACCCATCATTGAGGGAAATGGAAATGGAGATAGCAAGCATAAGTCTCGATGATATAATATCAATCACTGGACCTAAATCCAGTATTATTTTTATGATATCTTTGGTTATATGAACCAATAAATATTGTTTGTTTTTAAAGAGGCTGGAGTTGAATTTTCTATCATTTATAACTGAAAAAGTTCAACTAAGACGAATAAAAAAGTTCTAAGTCTGAATGCTTATTTCTTAAAACTTTAAGGGTACAATTTATGAAGAGTCAGACACACCTAAAATGGTATTGTGGCTACAAACTGTAATTTATAAAAAAGAGTGCAGTTAAGAAAATTTAAATCCTATCACATTTTTGCATCACTGAAATTCCATTATTTCTTTTATTTTTAATCTTCTCTACTTAGTATTTATCTTTTACTATGTCTTTTTTTAGTTTTCCACATCTATCCATCCATCTGTGTAATTAATCATGGTTGCAATATCTTTCTTTAAAAACAAATACATAAAGTCTTTTCAAAATTTTACAGATTTTTTTACCAAGCAGAAAAAATATTGAAAAATATCAGTTCATTTAAAATAGAAACATAAAGGCAGTAACAAATATAAATTATTTGAAAATAAATAAATATAATACATGCAAACTTTTAAAAAAATGTGTCAAAATAAAAACTGGTTCAGAAAATAGGATTATTTGGAAGAGAGGTCAGCATGATGGTGAAATAAGAAGGCCCAGCTCTTGTTCTTCTACAGAACTCAGTGTGAAAATGATATACAGCCCCAAATACCTTTATGATGAGTCCAGAGTCCACTTAAGAACCAGTAGAACCCAGAATGAACATAAAACCAAGAAGAGCAGCATTGAAACAGATAAGAAGGGCAATTTTACTTTACCTGCATCAATCCAAACTGGCACAGATAAACGCTTATTGCTTCAGCATGTGACTTCCTCTGCTGGAAGAAAGAGAGAATGGAGCATGCATCCAGACTTCTAGCCTTTCAGAGCACTCCTCGAAGATCCAGTTTCTGTCTCACCTCATACTGAGTACTGACAGAGACCAAACATTCCAGAGTAGAAACAAAGGAAAAGAGTCAGGTGGCTTTTTAAAGATATCATATCTGTGAGATTGAAAAAAGATTCAAAACTGTGGTTCTCCCTCAGGAGGGTGCAAGAGGAGAAGGATGTGTCTCCAATGTTTTTGACTGTTCACTGTACTTATTGAAGGGACTGGTTTCTGTACTGCCTCACACTAACTACTGCTGAGACTGCCATAGTCAGAGACCAGAGGAAACAAGAGATTGCCAGCTTCAGAGAGAGACAGAGAGAGAGGGAGAGAAACTGGATGCCTGGAACACCTAGGAACAATGGCCCAGAGTCTTTAGCTTGGCTGATCAGTAAAGAGTTTTCCCATCAAAGCCAGTCTATAATGACTGGGAAAGGTGGTTGTTTCTTTAAATACTCAGACACCAACACAAATGTATAAACAAATGAAGAATTAGAAAAAAAAGTGACACAAGCAAAGGAACAAAACTAATCTCTAGTAATTGACCCTAAAAAAAGGAAAGTCTATGAAATTTCTGAAAAATAATTCAAAATATCATCTTCAAGAAGCTCAGTGAGTTACAACGGGAAACAGATAAACAATAAAATAAAATTAGAAAAACAATAAATGAAAATTTAGAATATAAACAAAGAGACATAATTAAAAAGAACAAAATATAAATTCAAGAGCCAAACAATATAACTAAACTGAAAAATTCACTAGAGGGTTTCAGCAACAGACTTGATCAAGCAGAAAAAACAAACCAACCAACCCGAAACTTACTTGAAAATATTCAGTCGAAAAAAAATGTAAGAAATAAAAAAGAACAAAGAAAGCTTAAAGACTTACGGAACTCTCGCAAGTGAAACAACATATTTACTATGGAATTCAAGGAAGGAGAAGAGAGAAAGTGGGGGGAAATTATTTAAAGAAATTATGTCTGAAAACGTTTCAAATCTGTGGGGGGAGATAGACATTCAGAATTATGAAGCCAGAAGGAATCAGAAAGAAAGAATCCGAAGAAATATATACTGACCCATATTATAACCAAATCATTACATTCAAAGTAAAGACGGATTTTTGAAAGCAGCAAGAGAAAAGTGACTTGTCACATTTAAGGAGCAGATTTCTCCGCAGAAAACTTGCAGGCCAGAGGAGAGGGAGATGATATATTCAAAACACTAAAACCAAAACAAAAGCTGCCAAACAAGTACACTATATTCAGCAAACATGTTCAGAAATGAAAAAGTGATAATTTCTCAGGCAAACAAAAATTGATGAAGTTTATTATCACTAGGTGCAAGAAAAAGAAGTGATTATGCAAGAACAGAAAGTGGAACAAGAGGTTCATCAAGTTAAATGAAAGCATGCCACACAGCAATATGAAAGCATGCAAAAGTATAAAATTCACTGGTAAAGGTAATTATTTAATATATAGATAAATGCAATATACTGTAATACTGTAATGGTGACATGCAGATCATGTTTAATTTCAGTGTAAAAGTTAAAAAATATTAAGAATAACAACAACTAAATAATTTCATGATATTCAATATAAAATATGTAAATTTTGCCACCAATAACTTAAAATGTCAAGGGAGAGAGAAGCAAAATTGCAGGGTTTTTGTAAGTGATTAACTTTAAGTTGTTATCAGTTTAAAATAGACTGCTATAAACGTTTTATGTAAGCCTCATGCTAAGAGAAGAAAAAAAACTCTATTGGTATGAAGAGAAAAAAATGACAGAATTAAAGTATATCACTACAAAAAATCATTAAATCAAAAAGAAGACAGTAAGAGAGAAAGAGAAGGGAAAGTTAACTGCCAAAAAAGACAAAAAAAAATAAAAAAATGGCAATAATAAGTTTTTACCTACAAAGAATTACTTTAAATGTGAATGGATCCAACTCCACCAACAAAAGTAATGGAGCGGCTGAATAATAAAAACAAAATATTCAATATTATTGATTACAAGAAACTTGCATTAGATTTAATAATATACATGAGCTAAAACTGAAGGGATGGAAAAATATATTCCATGCAAATGGCAGCCAAAAGAGAACAGTAGTGACTATATCAGACAAGATAGACTTTAAATCAAAAACTGTAAAAAAGATACAGAGGAAGTCATTAGATATTGAGAAGAGGGTCAATTTATGAAAAAGAGAAAATTGTATTATGTATAAATATACAAAATTATATGTTATATAATTATATGTGCTAATATAATTATATATCATATATAAAATATGCATATTATACAATATAATTCAATATAAATATAATATATGCCTTATATTATATGTAATATAATTTATATTGAATTACATATTATAATTTATATTAAATATTTAATATACATATCACATATTATAAATACATATTTATATTTTACAATATTTAAAATATAAATATTATATATTAAATATATATTAAAATATAAATATTATGTATTAAAATATAATATTTAAAATAAATTGGCAAATCATTTTCTCTTTAAAAATAACAAAATTCTATCATATGTGACAAGATGAGAATGAACATAGAGGACTTTATGCTAAGTGAAATGTGAGATAAGCCATTAACAGAAGAAAAATAACTCCACTGTTTCGCTTATATGAGGTATCATATGTAGTCAAACTCATGGAAACAGAGGGGATAATCGTTCTTGCTAGGGATTGCAGGAAAGGGAAATGGAAGTCAGTTGTTCAAAAGATATGACGTTTCAGATATGTAAGATGATAAATTCTAGAGATTAACCATACAACATTGTGCCTATACTTAACAATATTGTACTGTGAACTGAAATTTTTAAGAGGGTAAATCTAGAATTGTTTTACCACAAGTTAAAATAAGAAAACAAAATGATAAAGCAAATAGAATTTGTGGAGTATGTTAAAATAAATTATAAGTTAATATAAATAATTAAAGGAACATTAGACTGAAAAAAGGCTTGAATTCTTTCTATGCCATTTTGTAGCTCGTGTGATGTTAGGTTACACCTTCCTCACAGGTAGTTGGAGAGTTAATAAGTCAATGAATGTAAAGTAATATCTTGTTAACAAATTTTGTTTCTTAGCCTTTAAAACTGATTGCATTGTTGAAATTATGCTTTGGTGCTTTTCCTCCACTGTTAAACATATTTCTCCATCGCTCATCAATTCTGTGTTTACTTTCTCCCTTTTTTTTTTTTTTTTCTTTTCTCAACTTTTATTTTTGGCTCAGGGAGAACATGTGCAGATTTGTTATATGGGTAAATAATATTGTTGCCCAGGTAGTGAACATAGTACCCTTTAGGTCGTTTTCTGACCCTCATTCTCTCCCCTCAGGTAGGCCTTGGTGTCTGTTATTCCCATCTTTCTGTCCATGTGTACTCAATGTTTAGTTTCCACTTTCAAGTGAGGACAAGAGGCATTTGGTTTTCTGATCCTGTGTTAACTTGCTTAAAATAATGGCCTCCAGCTGCATCCAGGTTGCTGCAAATGAGATTTTTTTTTCCTTTTTTTCTTATGGACTATTCCATGGCATATATGTATCATATTTTCTTTATCCTCTCCACTGTTGATGGACATCCAGGTTGAATTCATGTCCCTGCTATTGTGAATAGTGCTGCAATGAACATGTGGGTGCGTTATCATTTTGATAAAACCTTTATATTCCTTTGGGTATATACCCAATAATGAGATTGCTGGGTCAAATGGTAGTTTTGTTTTAAGTTCTTTGAGAAGTCTCCAATCTGCTTTGCACAGTGGTTTAACTAATTTACATTCCCACAAACAGTGCTATTACTTAAGTTATAATGTATGAAGCTGATGACATTGGAAATATTATAACAACATGAAAGTTTCTCACACTAGCTTTATCAAGTCATCTGTTTGCATAATGCCCTAGGAAGGCATTATAATAATTCTATGATATAAACTGTGGTATGAGACACTGAAAATATATATGTTTTTTAGTTTATTTTATCTCCTTTTTTATTGGTAAGTTGGTAAGTAGTCTTGTACTACCTTTGTAAATATTTATTTAATGATATCTGATTGGAAATTACATTTTGTGCAGAAAAAGTGGCTTTTGAATGGTGAATAAGAAAATAGCCATTTATCAGTTTAATCAACACATAGAAGAAATATTGCAAGTCATTAGAAAGTTAGGTTAATATTCAAAAAGCGGGCCTTTAGAGACAGGAAATTAGTAGCTTCTGGAATCGGGTTGTAAGAAATATGTTAGAAACCTAAGATGCTTCAATCAAAGTTTATACACATAAAATGTGGACAATCCAATGGACCTCTGACAATGCTTTTAGGATACAAGATTAAAATTGTATAGACAAGTTATACCAGAAATGGTACAAGTAAATATATTAAATATTTTAAATTTGTAAGCATTTTAAAAAATAGCATTACTCTTCATATTTGTAAATCAAGTGTTGATAAGTTTTACTTTCTTAATCATCTATAGAGGTTTTTATAATGCTAAAAATAAAGGTTAACTAAAAGTCATCGTTTTCCATTTTCTCTCATTACATTTAGAAATATTATTTGCTGCCGGGCGTGGTGGCTCACGCCTATAATCCTAGCACTTTGGGAGGCCGAGGCAGGCGGATCACGAGGTGAGGAGTTTCAGGCCAGCCTGGCCAACATGGTGAAACCCCGTCTCTACTAAAAATACAAAAAATTAGCCGGGCATGGCGGCGCATGCCTCTAATCCCAGCTGCTTGGGAGGCTGAGGCAGGAGAATCGCTTGAACCCGGGAGGCAGAAGTTGCAGTGAGCGGAGATCATGCCACTGCACTCCAGCCTAGGCGACAGTGTGAGACTCCGTCTCAAAATAATAATAATAATAATAATTTAAAAAAGAAATATTATTTGCCTCATATTTTAACAGCAGCTTTTTTTTTTAAGTTCCTTGAGAATGGCTCCATGAGCAAAGAGCTTGCTCTTGACTGAAGAGTAAGCAGTCTTCACTCAAGATAACTCATGGAAATGGAAGCACAGACTGGAAATACCAACAAAGTGGCATTATTTAAAAGAAAGAATGAAAAATTATAGGGTTTTCACAAGAAATTAGAACTCAAACAACCCAAATTAAAGTGTGAATATTAGAAGCTATTTTATATCAATCTAGTAAAAATAATATACAGGTATTATTGATTTAACATAAATAATCTAAGCAGAATTTACAGTGAAAGGGTATTGATTTTTAAAATGTATTTAAAGATACAAATACCGTCTCAAGGAAACTACTCACATCGCAAGCTAAAAAGATAAATTCCCAATTAAATATCAGAAAGAGGCTATCATTACATTTCAAATGACTGTTTCCTCTCATAAATTTATTTTTAAGGTAGAAAGTCACTTAACAGAACATAATGTAGTTCATTATGAGGAAATTCTGTTTAATTATGGTGAGTCAGTATCTATAAAAAAGATTTTTCTTAGAGAAAAAGACTGTTTAATGAGATATCTGAACAATCAGTTTGTGTCTATCAGGATGAAAATTTTAAATGATCCCAAGGATTAATAAAACTTTGAACAGTTTGAGTAATTTGGTGAAAATTAATACACTGGTCTATTATCTCTGCTACCAAAGCATTTTTAGTAACTCGATTTTACACATAGCAGATTACATTGTCATTGTTCTATACATAGCCCTATCTTCTATTAGACTGTATTCTTCTCTAGGGCAAGGAGAATATCATTTTGACCTATCCTAATTTTATAACAAATGGAATTCTAAATGCTTTGTATGTATAACTCTTTTGCAGAGGGCCTCATCTAGTAAAACCAAATATGGCAGGTTTTTTTTTTTTTTTCTGCTTTGCTTATTTGAAGCTTGAACTTATTTTCTTTGTTACCTAAGATTTGCTAAGCCTGGCAGTGAACAGGACCATGAGTTTCAGTTGAATTAAAATCTCTCCTTACTCTGCTCAGGTTGCTAATTTAAATTAGTCTCTAATCACCTCCATATTACCTTTTGGCTTTTTACTCCCTAGGAGACAGGTCCTTCTTCAAGAGTATTTGCCATGATGCTGATTATCTTTTTTAATTTATAACTCTGTAGCCCCCCAGAATCCACCAGGAAAGAGTTGTGTTAGCTATGATCTTTGAATGAATTTTAGTCTTTCCTCTTGAAGAAGAGCAGCCAGTTATTTCTTTATCTATTCAAAATATTTCTGACTCAGTTCTTTTGTATCCCTGGAGATCTTAGCATGCTGTGTATTACAAGGCTTTGAAAACTAATGAGTAAAAATAGTGAGTGAATGGATTACCTTTGCTAGTATGTTTCAAAGATTTACAGTTTACATATATTCTTGATTTCTAAAAAAAAAAGAGGGCTTCTTCTTTAGAATAATATATATTCTAAATTCCTCTGCCTGAATATAATATTAATTTTTGCCATCCAAATGAAGATCAGTTGTGGTAAAAATGCACAAAGCATGTCAAATCAGGGATTTTCCTCATGCTGACTGTGCATATTTAACAAAGGAGAAAACATGTACAATTATAAAAGTTGAGAAGTGAAATGAAAAATTTATAAGTGTAAAATACTCTTTCTGAAATAACAATATTGTTTGATTGACAAACAAAAAATGACATTTAAGTTAAAAAATAACATGTTATGGTAAGATGCTGTGGATGACGGTTCACTCGACTCTGCTTGAAGAGTCTCAGGAAGAGGAATGTCATTTGACCTAAATATATGAAATATAGTAGAAATTTCTAATGGTGCTTCGGCCCACTGAGTTCTCCTCAGTTCTCCTCAACAGCCACCATTGCACCAGCATAGTTTGTCTAGAATGATTGTTTCTCTAGAAGTTCAGTAAATTATTAAAGAGACTACAGGTTAGAGTGACAAGTTATGTCGTTTGGTGGTGGGTAAAATGGAGGTAATAGTATTAATTAACTGACTATTGTAATCGCCTAAATAATGGATGTTGGTGCCACACCATAGCAGGAAACATAGTGACCAGATGAGAGATATAAAAAGCCAGAATTGATGTGATATAGTGGCAAACAGAATGTTAGTATAGAAAATGAGAAAGAATACAGGTGGTCTCCCAGGTTTTTTATTGGCCAACTTGATGGCTGCAGTATTATACACAGTGTGCTTGCTACTGTGAAGGATTTGACCATTTTTTTTAAATTTACAAGATCACAATCCAAATGCTTTGCTTAATTTTCTTAAGGGTCAGTTTGATGTTTAAATATGATGGTGGATTATTGAATGTATGGCTCACATGCTTATATTTACAGCAAAATTTATCTATCACTTAGACCAACTGATGGCCTTATTTAGATCAAACTTCAGCCTTCCTGCTATAGAAACAAGAAAGGTAGCATCATTTGTACTGTCGGGTTGATCTTTCTTTCCTGTTAGAAAAATTGCTTCATAAAATATTTGGCTCTACTGATACATTTTTGTTTAAGAAAAGTATATGTATCTTAATTTGACCAAAATAAAACGTTTTGATACATGTGGATAAAATGGTGCTACATCTACTGTTGCATTTCCATATGTCTTAAACATGTAATGACTTTCTAGACTGCACTTACAGATTATATCTAGAATCTGACCTTTACCTAATGGGTATCCAATTTCACAAGTGTAGGGATACTGAATTTATTCAGGCATTCATTTATTTAAAAAAACTATTGGATTATACCATGTGCCCAAAAATAAATGTGCTATATTATTGTGTTGCAAAAGGGTCTTGGGTGGTCCTTGTTCTGAGACACTTACAGTTTATGTAATTATTGCAATATGATATGATATGTTAAAAATGTTCTACAAAAATACTGTTGAAAAAAAAACATAACCGACATTTCCCTCAGAGAAAGAAAGGGGAAGGTAGAGAGAAGAGGAGAGACAGAGAAAAAAAGATAAATAGAAATAGAGAGAGAGAGCAGAAGCTTCAAAGAGCCAGTGATAGTTGAGTCATGTTTTGAAGAATGAATAGGAAATTGAAATTGAGAAATGTTGGCTGTATGGGAGCATATAGATAGAGGAACAACATTTGCAAAGGATTTGAGGTGTCCTAAACAAGACAATATTTGGAGAGAGACGTGTCAGTAGTACAGAGCATACAGAGGGAACGGTAGAAAGAGACTGGTGAAAAAGGTCAAAGCCTTACCTTATTACTATTTTTAATTCCACTATCAGAATTAAAACTTTCTGTGTTGTCATAGAAACCTCAGTAAATTATCATAACTAAGAAGGTCTCATGTCTGACTTTCAGCTTGAGAATAGCATTGATGATAAGTATGTTTTGTCTACAAGACTGGGGAAAATTTCAACAGGGTAAAACTGTGTTGAAGAATATTTCTAGTCTAGAAAATAAAATAAAATGGGGAACATAGGAGAATGGTTAGAGAAATACAGATACGGTGGCAAGTTTGAAATCTATTTAGGGGCTAGAATAGAGAGATTCTGATGTCTAAGATAAGGGAGTGGAGCAAAATTGCCGAGTTGCCAACTGGAAAACTCAGTGAATGCTGATGCCAGTGAATTAAAATAAGGGAACAGTTTAAGACTGAAGGTGTTTTTTGAAAACTCATCGGAGGGAAGTAGAATTAAACAGCATCTAATTGGATAAGATCACTTGTACGAACATACAGAACGTGAACAAAGAGGATCATGTGCATAACTTTGCATGAATGTAACCCTGGCTAAGAATGAGAAGGAATTAATGCAGAATGAGAAGAGTACTGCCAAGGAAATCTCTAAAACTAAGAACTTCAAGAAAAATGCAAAATGAGTTAAGAATAGCAGCTATACATGGCGAATCATATAAGATAAAAAAATTGAAAAGTGTCTAATTTTTAAAACTTACATATTGGTTGATAACCAGTAAAAATGCATTTTTGGTGGTTTTATTTTTTAATGTATGTGTGGAAATCTGACTGCAAAAAGTTGAGTAGGTTGGAAAACATTTATAAGTGCAAGATTTAACCCATGAATCCAAGGAGTGAAAAAAATCAAGGAGTGGCTATAGAATATGCTGAATCAAGGGATTCTATCAATGGAATGCAATTGAGCATTCATTTACATTATATAGTCAAGAAAATGAAGGAAAAACAGGTACTAGTACATGTAGTACACCTATAGGTACTATTTCTACCCCCATGGATTCTAATGCCCACTCCAAGGGCAATTAGAATTCATGGGGGAAGAAATAGTACATATTGGTGGCATAATTGCTTTTACAGTATAGGAGGAGATAAACTTTAGAGATAGATAAAAAGTTTTAAAAAACCCTCCTATATGTAAATAATTGGAGTCAATACTCACAACCAATCTTATCAAGACTAATTTAGCATTAAATGATATATTAGTAGAACTCTTTATAATTGGGCAGATCTTTTCAGTTCTGTAAGGAACAAGCTATGGCAGCCAACTGATCAACAGACTGAAAATCTGGACTCCCTTTTTAGTAACCAAACGTTCCCCTGGGATGTGTATGCTGCTTGTTAAGGTAACACCTAGGTTTTCCATATAATATAATGAATGACAGAGTTTAACAAATGTCATGCTTCACATTTCAGAGCTAAATGAAAGTAATGCAGACAATCAAAGAAGCAAGATACCTGATTCCTCATGTCCCAATAAATTTCACATTCAGTACACCTCAAATATAAATAAACAATCAAGCCAATATAACTTTTAAACCATAAACTAGTTCTTACCAGTTCTTGCCAGAAATATTACCTGATGATCTCAAATTTTTTTTTTCTTGACATAGGGGAAAATGCCTGGTACAAAGAATCTGACAGAAAATGAGATAATGAGCTGGATTACAAAAATCAGTCCTTTTATTCAGTAGAGCAGCCGAACAGGATAGGAAAAGTCATTTAAGGTGAAAAAAAGACTCGGATAGTATAAGATAAAGAAACTTGGAACTAGAAGAAATGATAGAAGAAACTTCATACTTATTAGCATGGAGAAGAAAAATTTCAATGAGGGCAGGGAACTTTACACATTTTTAAGAGTAGTCACAGATAGAGGAGATTAAGTTCGTCTGCATAATGTTATATCTCTGTGACCAATTGATAGAAGTCAGAGAATATAGATTTTGGCTCTTTGTAAGGGAGCATTGTGTATGTAATAGTAACATACATTCAAACATAAGAGAACTAACTCAAGAAGAAGTCATATCCACATCAATGAAGATATTTAAACATAAATCAGAAGACTATTTTTAAAGAATTTGCAGTCCAAGTCCATGATTAACAGTTCTGCTGAAATGACTTTGAAGTGACGATGTCCAGATAATTTATTTTTAGGATATCTTAATATATTATTTTATCAAAATATTTTATTATGAAACAAGGCTCAAATTATATACCCCATTGTAAATGCATATTGTGTTTGAGTCAAATGTTTCATGATCTTTCTCTTTCACATTTACTCACCTTTATGTATAAAATTTCTAAAGTAAAATAAGAAAAAGGAAGATGAAACCTTGAAAAAAATGTGTAATCTAAATATCACAATTTGTTCTAAAATGGAGAGTGGTCATCTTTTTTTCTTTTTTTTTTTGAGAGCTAGGCCTTTTGTTTATGCAAGAAGTATACATTTTTACATATATGATATATAAGTAACATGCAATATTATTCATCTATTTAAAGTGTAACATTTATTAATTTTATCATATATATTAACCTGTAAAACCATAACCAAAATTAAGATAAAGAGCATGTTTGTTAATCCTGAGTTGCCTTTTGCCCTTTAGTAATTTCTCCCTTCTCTCTCCCAAATACACTCTTTGCATCACCTGCAGACAAAAACAATTGCTTTCCTCATAATATTTAATTTTTTATCATCTATAATTTTGTATATATTTAATCATGTAGTATGTACTTGGCCTCACCTCTTTCACTCAGTATAAATATATGTTAAGTTTCATCTGTGTTGTTTTGTGTATCATTTATTGTCATTTTTATTCTTTTTTATTGCTAAGTGTTACTCCATTTATGGCTATGCTGCAGCTTCTTTATTCTTGCTTCTTGCATCTGGTTGTTTTGTTTTGTTTTGTTTTTTTGTTTTTTTGTTTTTTTGAGACGGAATCTCGCTCTGTCGCCCGGCTGGAGTGCAGTGGCGCGATCTCAGCTCACTGCAAGCTCCACCTCCCCGGTTCATGCCATTTTCCTTCCTCAGCCTCCCGAGTAGCTGGGACTACAGGCACCAGTGGCTAATTTTTTGTATTTTTAGTAGAGATGGGGTTTCACCGTGTTAGCCAGGATGGTCTCGATTTCCTGCCCTCGTGATCCACCTGCCTTGGACTCCCAATATTCTTGCATCTGTTAATGGCCATTTAGTTTGTTTCCAGGACTTTTCCATTTCAAATGCACTTGTTATGAGCACTCACCTGTAAGTATTTATTTTGTATATGCTTTTATTTCTCTTAAATGCAGAGTTCCTGCTTAGTGGGCCCAAATCAATAAATTCAGCCTGATCCAACTCTATGTTCCTTCCACCATTATCCCACCCCCTTAATATCCATTCTCATGCCTGTTCTCCAGATTTCTGCTTAGGTAAATTAGAAATCTCAAGCAGTTCTTTTCTAGTGTAATGCACTCCTTATGGGTCGCACTCTCAACCTCACCTCTAGAGGACCTCGGGGACTTTAGTTATAGGTCTAGAAGTATTGGGGGCGGCTCCTGAAGAGAGTCAACATTATCTTGCCAGGCAACTGCCTCAAGGAGGCCATTACTGTTTCCTCAGGCAGCACAGGGTTTATCTCCCCAGACAAAGGTGGAAAGGCTGATGGCAGCATGGGTTGGAAAGGAGATGTTGCCAGTACTGGGGGATGGGGAAGCTGTTTATTCTGGCAAAAAAGGTTCATGAGAGTTTACAAACTCAGTGTCCACAGCTTAATTAGGGTCCTCCCCACAGTTCCACATTCCAAGTTGTAGGGTCCCATTCTTTTCCAATCCCTCACTTTAACAGTAGACACCTGATGAAGCTGTGCATTCACCCTTCCTTGCAGGTCAGCCACTCCCATGATAAGAGCTTGTGTCTGTTTATCCACAATTTCAATTTCAGCTCTTTCTCTACAGGAGATAAGACTCTCACCCAGGGCAATCTTAGGAGATTTGAGGCTCAGTGTCTGCTTCTGAAGCTGGGAGACAGAATCCCTGAGTTCATCATTTTCTTTCATCACTTTGTCCCCTGAACTTTGGAGTGACCAACGAGCTTCATTATGTTCCTTGGTTCTCCACATTTGGTCAAAGGTATTATGTATACAGTCACTAAACTAGTATATATATATTCTAGTTTATATATACACACACACTAGAATATATATATACATATACTAATATATGTGTATATATATAGAGAGAGAGAGAGAGAAAGAGAGGGAGAGACAGAAAAGAGAGAGAGAGGAATTTTCTCTATTTCTCACATGAGAGGTTTCTTTTTGAGTTTTTTTATTTGTTTGTTTAACTACAATTCAAATATATATATGTGGGTGTTTATTAAGTATTAACTCACGTGATCACAAGGTTCCACAATAGGCTGTCTGCAAGCCGAGGAGCAAGGCAAGCCAGTTCAAGTCCCAAAACTGAAGAATTTGGAGTTCAATGTTTGACAGCAGGAAGCATCCAGTACAGGAGAAAGATGTAGGCTGGGAGGCAAGGCCAGTCTAGTCTTTTCAAATTTTTTCTGCCTGCTTTATTTTCTAGCAGGACTGGCAGCTGATTAAATGGTGCCCACCCAGATTAAAGGTGGGTCTGCCTTTCCCAGCCTACTGACTTAAATGTTAATCTCCTTTGGCAACACCCTTACAGACACACTCAGAAACAATACTTTGTATCCTTCAATCCAATCAAGTTGACACTCAGTATTAATCATGATATATATATATATATACACACACACATATAACATTTATATATATATGTATATGTACACTAGCCTGTTTATATACAAGTCCATAAATATTTCTATTTATTACCATTTGTATCTACATTAAACTAAACATGATTTATAATGTCTCCAACTGTAGTGTATGATCACGTGATTCAATGCAGCCTTCTCCCTTGCTGACTTGCAACCTTCACGTCAACATGATAAGGCTGGCTTCCACCATCTGCATTTCATTTGCCTTGTTGCTCAGTTATATGATTTGAAAACTGTTAATCTGGATAAACATGGGAAGCAATGCCATAAATAATAGTAGGATTATGCACAATTTTTTAACTCCTGACTTAAGGACTCCACTACTTTCAGAATTTCTTTAGGTCAACACATTTTTCTTCATTTCTTTTAGTGAGGTTGTTTCATACATGTTTAATACAGTAAGATTTTGTTTTCATAGGCTGCATTTCATCCTTAAATTCCCCAAACTACTAAGTAATTTGTAAATTTTGAATACATTGTTTTATTCTTTATGCTTTAAAGTCTATAGATTTTGACTAATCTACAGTGTTATTTATCCATCATTACAATAGCATATGTAACACTTCCACTGATCTAAAAAGTCCCCTCTTAGTCATCTTTTAAAACCTTTCTCCTCTAAATCCATAAAAACCACTGTCCATTTACTATTTCTATGGTTTTCCTCTTTTGGAATGTCACATAAATGCAATTACAGTTTCCAGTATTTCAGAATGGCATTTTCATATGCATTTGAGATTCATCCATACCTTTGCATGGCTTTATAGCTCATTCTTTTTGATAGCAGAATAATGTTTTATCATATGTAAGTAATACAGTTTGTTTATCTGTTCACCTATGTAGGGGCATCCTATTTACTCCCAGTTGTAGTGGTGATTAATAAAGCTACTATAAACATTCCCATGCAAGATTTTGTGTAGACATGCATTTTCAGATCAGTTTGGTAAATACTTGGGAACATAATTAATGGATAATAAGACTATGTTTAACTTTTTTAGAAAACTGCCAAAAATTCTTCCAGTGTCCGTACCACTATACATTTCCGCCAGCAATGATTCAGAGTGCTTTTTATTCCATATTTTCAGCAGCAATGTTCATTATTTTAGATTTCAGCCATTCCAATAGGTATGTACTAATGTTTTATTGTTCTTTTAATCTAAATTTTTAATAAAAGTATTTTGATAATTTATATTTTTATTTTATATCTTTATATCTTCTTTGGTGAAATGTCTGTTCAGATTTTGTGCATTTAAAAAATTCAGTTTTTTTTTTTGTTGCTGGGTTTTAAGAGTTATCTGTGTATTTTGGATAGACGTTCTCTTCAGATATATGTTTAGCAAATATTTTCTTCCAGTGGCTTCTTTGTTTCATTCTCCTAATGGTGTCTTTCACGGAGAAAAAGGTTTGAATTTTAGTGAAGTCCAGCTTATCAATTTTTATTTCTTTCACTGAACATGCTTTCAGTGCTGCATTTCAAACTTCATCTGCAAACCAAAAGCTACGCAGCTCTTCTAAAATTTATTTTGAAAGTTTTAGAGATTTACATTTTATATTTAGATCTATGATTCATTTTGAATTTTTTGCAAATTCTGTTTAAGATGTAAACTCTGTATCTAGGTTTATTTTTAACTAATGGATATCTAATTGTACTAACCCATTTGTTAAAAATCTATCCTAAATCCAATGAACTGCCTTTGTGTTTTTGTCAAAAATCAGTTGTTATATTTGTGTGCATTTATTTCTGAGTTTCCTTTTCTGTTGTCTTGTTCTATATGTCTTATTTTTGTTTACCAATACCATGCTGCCTTGATTGACATAACTTTGTAAGAGTGTGGGTCTTCTGACTTTGCTCTTCTTCAGTTTTATGTTGGCCATACTATGCCTTTCATCTTCTCATATAATCTTTAGAATCATTTTCTCTGCATCTGACAAAGATTTTACAGGGATTTTTACCAGGGTTGAATTGATCAAACTGGGAAAATATGACAGCTTAATAATATTGAGTTTTACAATCCATAATCTCAGACTATCTATATCTCCATTTATTTAGAGATTCTTAGATGTTTTAATCAGAATTTTCTAGTTTTTCACCTATCAACTCTGTTGTCTTGCTCTATATGTCTTTTTTTTTTTTTTACCAATACCATGCTGCCTTGATTGACATAACTTTATAGGAGTATGGGTCTTCTAACTTTGTTCTTCTTTGGTTTTCTGTTGGCTATACTATGCCTTTCTTCTTCTCATATCATCTTTAGAATCATTTTGTCTGCATTTGCCAAAGTTTTTGTAGGGATTTTTACCAGGTTTGAATTGAATCCATTGATCAAATTGGGAAAAAAATGACAGCTTAATAATATTGAGTTTTACAATCCATAATCTCAGACTATATCTCCATTTATTTAGAGATTCTTAGATTTTTTAATCTAAGTTATCTAGTTTGTTGCATATCAACTCTGTACAAATTTGTTAGATTTATACCTAGATATTATTATCCTCAGTGCATTTATAGTTTCTTATTTTAAAAATCTGTGTATAAAAGTACCTAACATTTATATATTAATCTTGTATACTGTAATTTTGCTGTTTTCACTTATTAGTCTCATAAGTTGCTTTCTCAATTCTTTGGTCTTTTCTTTATAGACAGCATGTCAGCTGAGCAAAAAAAGAGAGTTTCATGCTGTCTTTTCAATTAGTATATCATTTATTTTATTTTGTCATTCTATTTATTACCTCAGATTTTCAATACAATGTCGAGTAGCAGTGATGAGAAAGAACGTTCTTGCTTTGTTCCTAATTTTAGGGGAAAACATCTAATAAATCCATTTTAAATACCATAGATATTTTGTAGATGTTTAGGTAAGGTTGAGGAATTTTCTCTATTTCTAGCATGAGAGGTTTCTTTTTGAGTTTTTAAAATTTGTTTAACTACAAAATTGTATTGGATCAAATGCCAATTGCTATAATTGTGTTGTTTTTCTTATTTATATTGTTGCTTTGCTGGATTCTATTTATTAATAGAACAATGTGAACAAGAAACATAGCATAGAATAGCAACAATTTAAGAAGAAAAATGTAGAACCAGCATTGCATACCTGGAATAAACCCACATGGTTGTGATATATAATTTATCATAAATTATTGGATTCAGTTTGCTAATATTTTGTGGGGGCTTTTGCATGTATATTCGTAAAAGATATTGGTGTAGTTTTTTTGTTTAAATAATACCTTTATTTTCTGTGTTTTTTATTAGGGCGAAATAGAATAATGTAGAGACTGTTCCAACTGCTTTTATTTTTTGGAAGAGATTATGGAGAATTTGCATTATCTATTCCTTAAATATTTGCTATGATTCACCAATGCAACTATATAGGCCTGGTGCTTTCTCTTTTGGAATATTATTTATTATTGATATGATTTCTTTAACAGAAATAGGAATATACAGGTTATCTCTCATGCTGTGGATTTTAGTAATTTGCGTCTTTTAAAGAATTGGTCTGTTTTATCTACATTATCAAATCTGTGGCATAGAGCTACTTATTATCCTTTTAATGCCCATGGATGAGTAATAATGATGTCTTCATTTTTGACATTAGCAATTTTTGCCTTCACTTCTTTTACTGTTTAATCTAACTAGAGATTTGTGAATTTTGCTTATATTTTCAAAGAATCAGCTTTTGATTTTGTTAATGTTCTCTATTTTGTTTCTACTTCAATTTCATTGATTTCTGCTTTGACTCTTATTTTTTCTGTTCTTCTCCTGGCTTTATACTTAACTTGTGCTTTATTCTCTAGTTTCCTAATGTGAAAGCTAAGATTTTTTTTTAATCTTTATTTTTTCTAACATAAAGAAATATTGTATATATAGAGAGAAAAACATACATATAGAAAATATATAAATATAGATTTATATTATTTAGTACTCTAAATTTCATTCTAAGCACTGCTTTTTAAACTTTTTTTTTTTTTAGACAGGATCTCACTCTGTCACCCAGGCTGGAGGGCAGTGGTGTGATATCCACCCAATGAGCCTCCAGCCTCAATTGATTGTCCCACCTCAGCCTTCCAAGTAAATAGGAACACAAGAATATGCCACCAGGCCCAGCTAATTTTTTTGAAATTTTAGTAGAGATGAGGCTTCACCATGTTGCCCAGTTTGGCCTTGAACTCCTGTACTCAAGTGATATACCCGCCTCAGCCTCCCCAAAGGGCTGGGATTGCAAGCATGAGCCAATATGCCTGGCCTAAGAACTGCTTTCCTTATATCATACATATTTTCTTAATTTATATTTTCATCTTCATTTACTTTAAAATAATTTTTAATTCTCTTGAGAGCTTTTTGACCCACTTCCAATATATAAATTTGTTTTTTAATGTTCATGTATTCCGAGATTTTTCAGCTATTTTCCTAATTGAGTTCTAGTTTCGTTTCATGTGATCTGATAATTTCCTTTAAATAATTTATATTAAAATGTGTTAAAGAGTATTTTATGGCCCATAACTTGCTCTATTTTGGTGAATGTTTCATGTGAGCTTGAGAGAAATGTGTAATCTGTTTTTCTTGGATGAAGTAGTCCATAACTGTCAATTAGATTAAGTTGATTGATAGTGCTGTTCAGGTAAACCCTGACAGATAATTGCCTGCTTTATCTGTCCATGACTAAAAGAGATGTGTTGAAGTCTCCACATCTCCAACTATAACAGTGGCCTTGCACATTTCTCCTTTGAGTTTGATCAGTTTTGTTTCACATATTTTGATGTTACCATGAGACACATACATGTTAAGGATTATTAACTATTCTTAGAGAATTGATCCCTTTATCAATTTGTAATGCCTCACTTAATTACTGATTATCTTGTTCTGAATTCTACTTTGTCTGAAATTAATATAGTTCACAAAGCTTTATTTTGATTAGTGTCAGCATGGTCTATTTCTACATAATATACAGTACATTTCTAAGTTTAACCGTTCAAATTCTTTATACTTAAATTAGGTTTCTTATAGGCAACATTTTACAATTTATTTCTATTCGCTCTATCTTTGCACTTTAATCAGTGCATTTAGACCATTCGATTTAAAGAGAATATTAAAAGGTTTTGGGTTAACGTATACTTTGCTTTTAATTCTTTTTGAGATTCCAACAAATTTACTCAATATTGATGTAACTACACAAAATTTTATATGTAACACATGGTCTTTGATATTACAGAACTTGACCTTCTAAAGTGAATTACAAGTGAACAAAAGCATGCTGCATTTCTGTCCTAACCAATAGTTTTGCAACCAGAGCCCTCTCATAGCATTTCACTAGGTACTTTAAACACATTTTCTTTCCCTTAAAAATAAGTAGGGGAATAAAACGTCTCCATTTCCAATCAGAAAAACATGTTAACTCAGAATTATCATACTCCCATGAAGTTTCAGCAGATTTTCAACACCATAAATAGATTTTGAAGTCCTTTGCCTAAGCATTTCTAAAAATGTTTCAGTGTTGACCAAAAGAAGACACAGATTTCTCATTAAAGTTTGTTTTAATGGGTCTCAAAATTATGTAACAGATTTTTGTTCATGTTATTTCCATTAAAAAGTACTGATTATTAAAACTAATAAATTAAAACTGCCACAAACACAATCATACAAAACCCCAAAATGGTCCATTAAACATTTTTTTTTTCCTTCTCAAGGTTTTACGATCCACTGTTATCATTAACCAGTCTTTTACTATTAGACTTAAATGGCCAATTGAAGCAAACAGTTCTGGGACCTTTTCCTCACCACTGATCAAGACTGAGTTGGCAGTCGTTAGGGATATTTATTTAGTCTTCTGAGGTATCTGGGTATACTTAGTGACCTTGACATTTCCAGCAGGCTCCTTGTCCACTGCTTTGATGACTCCTTCAGTAACTGTCTGTCTCATTGCAAACAGCAAAATGATTCAAGAGAGGACAATCAGAGTAGCTCTCAACAAACATGCACCTGACAGGAACCATATCAATGGTGGTAGCATCACTTGATTTCAGGAATTTAGGGCCATCTTCCAGCTTCTAACTAGAACAGCAATCAATCTTTACCTTCAGCTCAGCAAACTTGAAAGCAATGTAAGCTGTGTGATGATCCATCACAAGGGCATAGCCAGCACTGATTTGGCTTGGATGGTCCAGGAAAATCATCTAAGCAATGAAGCCAGCTGCTTCCATTGATGGATCATTTTGTTGTTACCAGCAGTGTTGCCATGACAAACATCTTAGACACATTCTTGAAGCCTACATTATCCCCAGGAAGAGCTCTACTCAAAGCTTCATTGTGCATTTCAACAGACTTTACTTTGGTTGTAATGTTGACTGGAGTAAAGGTGACATCCGTTCTGGATTTGAGAACACTGTCTCCATTCAGTGCACAGGGCTCAATACCATTGACTTTGCAGACCTCTGGAAGGGTAGATGAAAGCACTTGTCAGTTGGGCAAGTTGGTGGTAGGATGCAACAAAAAGCTTCAAGCAGCATGGTTCCATTGGCATTGCCATATTTATAGGTGACTTTTTATCCCTTGAACCAAGACATGTTAGTACTTGGCTCCAGCATTTTGTCCCATTCCAATCAGAAATTGGCACATATAGTACTGCTTCAGTGTTATAGGCAATTTTTGTAATGTAAGTGCTGATTTCCTTAATGATTTCCTCATGTCTCTTCTGGCTGTAGGGTGGCTCAGTAGTATCCATGCTGTTAACATTGATAATTAGTTATTTCACATCCAGTGTGTAAGTCAGAAGGGAATGCTCATAGGTCCATCAATTCTTTGAGATACCATCTTAAAATCACCAACACCAGCAGCAACAAATAGGACAGCACAGTCTGCCTGAGA
The DNA here is from genome assembly GCF_000001405.40 of Homo sapiens. Lineage (NCBI taxonomy): Eukaryota > Metazoa > Chordata > Mammalia > Primates > Hominidae > Homo > Homo sapiens. The sequence continues at coordinate 29,749,051 of NC_000004.12, read as the reverse complement.
TTCCTATAATCATGTTTTTGATGGAGTCTTTATGTCCTTGGGCATTAGTGATAGTAACGTAATACTTTCTGGTCTCAAATTTCTGCAGGGAGATATCAATGGTGATGCCCTGTTCTTGCTCAGCCAAGCATACTTGAAGAAGTCCTCTCCCACTCACCAGCCTCCTTATCAAAATTTTCAGTGGTTCTTTTGTCAATCCCACCACAGTTTTAGACCAGATGGTCAGAAGTGATGAACATGCTCGAATCTATGTGTCTAATGACAACGATGTTGACATGAGACTTTTCTCTCCCATTTTGGCTTTAAGGGGTTGTTTTCTCAACACTTGTTCTTTCATGCAAACTCATTGAGAAGAAGTTTGACCTTTTTTTACTAATTGCATTTTTATTTATTTCTCCCATCTTTCTCTCTGATTTAAATTGAATGTTTGATTGTTTCCAGTCTGTTTTAGCCTATTAATTATGCTTTTGTTTTACATTTTTGAGTAATTGCCTAATATAGTCTGACTTTGTGTCCCCATCCAAATTTCATGTCCAGTTGTAATTCCCAATATTAGGAGACGGACCTGGAGGGAAGTGATTGGATCAAGGAAGCAGATTTCCCCCTTGCTGTTCTCATGATAGTGAGTGAGTGCTCATAAGATCTGGTTGTTTGAAAGTGAGTAGCACTTCCTCCTTCTTCTCTCTCTCCTGTCACTATGTGAAGATGTGCTTGCTTCCCTTTTACCTTGTGTCGTGATGTAAGTTTCCTGAGGCCTCTGTAGCCATGCTTCCTGTACATCCTCTGGAACTATGAGTCAAGGAAACCTATTTTCTTAATAAACTACCCAGTCTCAGGTAGTATTTTTAGAGCAGTGTAGGAACACCCTAATACATAAAATTGGTACCAGAGAAGGGAGATGTTTCTGTAAAGATCACTGAAAATGTGGAAGCAACTTTGGAACTGAGTAATGGGCAGAGGTTGCAATAATTTGGGAGGCTCAGAAGAAGACAGGAAGATGAGGAAAAGTTTGGAACTCCCTAGACACTTGTTGAATGATTGTGACCAAAATGTTGATAGTGATATGGATAGTGAAGTTCAGGCTGAACTGGTCTCAGTTGGAGATATGGTTTGGCTCTGTGTCCCCACCCAAATCTCACCTTAAATTTTAATAATTCCCACATGTTATAGGAGGGACCCCGTGGGAGGTAATTGAATCATAGTGGCAGTTTCTCCCATGCTGTTCTCATGATAGTGAGTGAGTTCTCATGAGATCTGATGGTTTTATAACCATCTGTCATTTTCCTTCCTGGCATTCATTCTCTATCCTGCCACTCTGTGAAGAGATGCCTTCCATCATAATGGTAAGTTTCCTGAGGCCTCTCCGGCCATTCAGAACTGTGAGTAAATTAATCCACTTTCCTTTATTAATCACTCAGTCTTATACAGTTCTTTAAAGCATTGTGAGAATGTACTAATACAATAAATTGGTACTGCAGAGAGTGGAGTGCTTCCATAAAGATACCCGAAAATGTGGAAGTGACTTTGGAACTGGGTAGCAGGCAGAGGTTGGAACAGTTTGGAGGGCTCAGAAGAAGACAAGATTATGTGGGAAAGTTTGGAACTTCCTAGCGACTTGTTGGATGGCTTTGACCAAAGTGCTGATAATAATATGGACAATGAAATCCAGACTGAGATGGTCTCAGATGGAGATAAGAAACTTGTTGGGAATTGAAGTAAAGGTCACCCTTGCTATGCTTTAGCAAAGATACCAATGGCATTTTTCCTCTGCCCTAGAGATCTATGGAAATTTGAACTTGAGAGAGATTATTTAGGGTATCTGGTGGAGAAAATTTCTAAGTGGCAAAGTGCTCAAGAGGAATAAGAGTATGAAAGTTTGGAAAATTGCAAACTTGTGATAAAAAAGAAAAATGATGTGCTAGAAATGAAAATTCCATTTTCTGGGGAGAAATTCAAGCTGGCTGCAGAAATTTGCATAAGTAATAAAGAGCTGGATGTTAATCACCAAGGGAACTGGCAAAATGTCTCCAGGACATGTCAGAGACCTTCACAGCAGCCCCTCCCATTACAGGCCCAGAAGCCTAGGAGGGAAAAATGGTTTCATGGGGAGGGCCGAGGGCCCCCATGTGGTGTCCAGACTAGGGACTTGGAACCCTGCATCCAGTTGCTCCAGCTCCAGCCATGGATAAAAGAGGCCAAAGTACAATTCAGGCTGTTGCTTCAGAGGGTGCAAACCCCAAGCCTTGGCAACTTCCACATGGTGTTGGGACTGCAGATGTGCAGAAGGCAAGAGTTGAGGTTTGGAAGCCTCTGCTTAGATTTCAGAGGACACGTGAAAATGTCTGGATGTCCAGACAGAAATCTGCTGAATGGATAGACCCCACGTGAAGTACATCTATTAGGGCACTGCAGACAGGGAATGTGGGGTTGGAGCCCCTAAACAGAGTACCCAGTGGGGCACTGCCTAGTGGAGCTGTGAGAAGAGGGCCACTTTCCTCCAGACCCCAGAGTGGTAGACCCACTGACAGCTTGCACCTTGCACCTCAAAAGGCCACAAACACTCAATGTCAGCCTGAGTGAGCAGCCATGGAGGATGTACCCAGTAGGGACACAGGCACAAAGTTGCCCAAGACCCTGGGAGTCCAGCCCTTGCATCAGCATGGCCTGGATATGAACCATGGAGTCCAATGAGATTATTTGAGAAATATAAGATTTTATGACTTCCCTTCTGGGTTTTGGACTTGCATGAGGCATGTGGTCCCTTTGTTTTGACTGATTTTTTCCCTCTTGGAATGGGTCTGTTTACTCAACACCTGGAACCCCATTGAATCTTGGCAGTAACAAACTTGTTTTTTATTTTACAGTCACATAGGTGAAAGGGACTTGCCTTGTCCCAGATAAGACTTTGGAATTGGAATTATGATTTAATGCTGCAATGAGTCAAGACTTTGGGGCACTGTTGGGAAGCCATGATAGTGTTTTGAAATGTGAGAAGGACATGAGATTTGGGAGGGGCCAAGGTCAAAATGATATGGTTTGACTCTTTGTCTCCACCCAAATGTCAGGTGGAATTTTAGTTCCTACTGCTGGAAGAGAGACCTAGTGGGAGGTGATTGGATCATGGGGGAAGACTTCCCCCTTGCTGTTCTCATGATAGTGAGTGAGTACTCACAAGATCTGGTTGTTTGAAAACGTGTAGCACTTCCCCCTTCTCTCTCTCGCTCTCTCTCCTGTCACCATGTGAAGATGTACCTGCATCTCCTTCACCTTCTGCATGACTGTAAGTTTCCTGAGGTCTTCCCAGCCATGCTTCCTGTACAGCCTGCAGAACTGTGAGTCAAAGAAACTTATTTTAAAAAAATAATAAATTACCCAGTCTCAGGTAGTTCTTTATGGCAGTGTGACAACAGACTAATACACTGCCCTAGAGTTCACAATAAACATTTTTTCATGCTAATCTAAGCCCTCACTAAAATAGAACTAAATCATTTCATATGTAACATAAGTAAATTATATAAGAACAATTTGGGTCTTTCCTTCCTTGTGGCATTGCAGTCTTTGATTTCACTTATTAATAAGGTATAGTCACCCTATACATTCTCATTTTATTGCTTTATACACACAGTTATATTATATATTATTTAAGAATTTAAAAATCAAAAACACAGTAATTTACCTTATTTTTCTTAGCGTGGTTTGATTTTTTTATCTATTTCCTTTTTTTGTAGATCTAAATTTCTAAAATGTATTATTTTACCTCTACCCGAAGAAATTCTTTTAGTTTATTGAAAATAAATTCCCTCTGTTTTTGTCTTTGAAATAATCTTACATCATTTTAAAGAATAATTTAGCTGGATAAAAACTTCTAGTTTGGCACTTTATTCTTCTTTCAACACTTTAAATATTTACTTTATCTTCATTTGCTTATAGTCTGAGAAGTCCACTGCATTTATTATTTTTCCTCTGTAAGTAAAATATTTCCCCATGGCAGCTTCCATTCAAGATTTTTTTTTGTCTTTGGTTTTCTGCAATTTGAATATGATATACCCAAAAAGAAGCAGAATTTTGGTATTTATCCTGCCTTGTGTTTTTGAGCCTTCTGGTCCTATGATTTGATTTCTGTCCTTGATTCTGTAAAGTTCACAGCTATTATCACTTCAAATATTTCTTATGTTTGTTCTTTTCTTATTATTTTTCTTGTACACTTATGCAATTTTGAAACCGTCTCAGAGATTTTAGATATTGTGTTTTCCTTTTACATTCCTTTTTCCCCCTTTTTCTCAATGTTACATTTTTCATTTAATTTTGTGATGTTTGAGAACACAAATAAGGAAGGAATACTAAATTGAAGAAATCTGCTAAGAGAAAATTTCCATTGGCTTAATATATACCAGTTAACTTATTGGATATTCAGATTACAATAACTTGGTACACTTGTCTTAAAATAATTGAGCACTTATAGTCTTATTTAATTGTTTCTAGTATTATCAACATCAATAATCAAAATTATCTGGTAACCTCACAGCTTAGAACTTGTAAACTGCTATCAGCAAAGGAAACATGCCATCAACAAAGGAAAAAAAAAGAATGAGACATTTTAATAAGTGTAAAGTCTCACTGAGGAAAAGTTTCTGGAACTAGAAAAGGAGAAATTAAGAGATGGGAACATTTTGAGGTAAAAAAAATGCTAAAATTTAAAAATCAGAATGAAAGTATTCCCCTCCTATTATCAGAGATTATGCTCCAAGACCTCCAGTAGATGCATGAACTTGCAAATAGTATCAAACTCTCTATATACTCTACATATTGTTTTTTCCATAATTTTACAGATAGAAGATTGTCTTACCTTAGATCTTAGCAAACTCAGCATATGGTTTTTTCTTTCCTCATTATCAAGAACATTTACCTTTTCACTTATAAACAAAGCATTTTACAGCTTCTCTTTGGCATATTCAAATTGCCAGCATTGCACTCTTGTGCTTTGGAGCCCTTATTAAGTGAACTAGGGATTGCTTGAAAACAAGCTCCACCATACTGTGGCAGTCAATCTGATCACCCAGACAGCTACTAAGTGACAAAGAGCTTCTATAGATAAAGACGCTGGACAAAGGGAGGTTGCATGTCCAGGCTGAAATTGAGCAGGATGGGATGGGGTGGCACAAGACTTCATCTTTGTGCTCGGAATGGCATGCAATCTAAAACTTATGAATTGTTTATTTCTGAAATTTTCCATTTAATATTTCCTAATCACAGCTGACCACAGGTAATTAAAATCATGAATAAGAATAATAATAAAACTATGGAAAAGGGGTGTGGGGCGGCAACTACTGAATTGTATTTGTTTTCTAGGGATGCTGCAACAAAATACAAAAACAGCTCATTTATTTTCTCATGGTTCTGGATAGGGGCTGGAAGTCCAACATCGAAAAAGTTAGTTTTCCCTGAGCCCTCTCTCTTTGGCTTGCAGATAGTGCCTTCTGATTGTGTTCTCACATGGTCTTTTCTCCATGTGGTGCACCCTTGCAGTCGATTAATCACACAAGGACACCCGTCTTAATTAATTTGGGCTACACCTTTCTGATCTTATTTAATCTTAATTGGTTTTTGGTTTTTTTCTTAATTTTCTTACTTCCTTTTTTTTTTTTTTTTTTTTTTTTTTTTGAGACAGGTCTCTCATCCAGTCTGAAGTGCAGTGGTTTGATCATGGCTCACTGCAACCTCTTTCTTCCCAGCTCAAATGATCTTCCTATCTCAGCCTCCTGAGTAGGCACATGCTACCATACCTAGCTAATTTGTGTATCTTTCATTGAGATGGGGTTTCACCATGTTGCTCACACTGGTCTCAAACTCCTGGAATCAAGCAATTTGCCCTCCTTGACCTCCCAAAGTGTTGGAATTACAGGCATGAACCACCATGCCCGGTCTTAATCGTTTCTTTAAAGACCTTAGAAATACAATTACACACTAAAGTACTGAGCTTTAGGACTTCAATATATAAATTTTGGGAGGGACCCAATTCAGTTCGTAACAAGTATAATATTTACTGAGCTGATATTAAAATTCTTAAAGATATGTCAGAATGTAAAAATATCTTTCTAATTCATTTAAAAATGATGTTCTTTGCTTATTCCCCCAGCATATTGGAAATTTTTACTTCTGAGAATAGCATGTGGTGTTCAAGATACTACTCTTATTGCTTGGCATTTTATTCTGTGAGTAATTCTGTTTTTCAGATTATAAGAGTCATGAAACCAGACCTGAAGCATGACATAAAGACAAATCTGGAAGAGCAGCTCTGTCTGAGATTGCTATTGTCTATTATGATACATTGTGCATTTCTATTATACACTCCAGATGGCAATGGCATTTTATTTTATTTGTTTTGCTCTTCCTGTCTTTCTGTAGATATAAAGTACCATGAGTTACCTTGAGGTTACAGCCGTGTAGCTTTCCTGGTGTTCTAAAAACTTGCCTAAAGGAAAGACCAACAACTAAAAGAAACCTTATCTCCATTTCAAAATATATTTTCTAGCAGTTAAGTTGAGTTATTATTAACATACAATGAAAATCCACTTTCATGTGTTCATGGGGCAGTGGAATAGGATATTTACTAAATTGGCTACCTTTGGATAGCACATTCTTTTTTCTTTTCTTTTTTTCTTTCTTTTCTTTTTTCTTTTTTTTTTTTTTTTTTGAGACAGGGTTTTGTTCTGTCACCCAGGCTGGAGTGCAGTGGTACAGTCATAGTTCACTGCAGCCTCAAACTCCTAGGCACAAGTGGTCCTCCCACTTCAGCCTCCTGAGTAGCTGGGACTATGGGCTACTAGAAAATCCTGGTGAGAGAAAGAGGATTTATACTGTATAGCTGCTTTGTCTGCCTTGTTTCTGAGTAGGAAGTGGAATTACCCCACTGACTGTGATAGCTATATATCTTAGATTTTATAGGATAAATTAAGGCAATCTTAAGGTTCAGAAAGTGTTTGTTTTGTTTCATAGTTCTTAGGCTACATCTTAGAAAGTTTGTTTCCATAATTTATTCAGACAGTCACATCCATTTTAGCAGTAATAATTACTTGGTATCAAGTCACAGAATATGGGATTAACATTTTACTGGTCCAAGACCTAGAGTGGAAGCTGATGGAATACAAATGGAGAATTGAGATGGGTCATCTTTGACAGATATGAAGTTGAAAGGAGACAAAGTAAGAAAAATCTCATAATTTTTCAAATTTTAACATCGTGTATTACACTTTGGGAATTTTCCATTTTATCATAATATTATCTTGTAACATACTCTCCAGATGGCATTTCTAGAGCCAAACAAATATTATAGTCATAAGGGTTCAGTTCACATAGAAGCCCTTTGATGTGATAACATCCACTTTTTATCAGAAGAGTAAAATATATGTTTCCCATAGGAATGCTGTTCATACTGTGTTGGCAGAGAGGTTTTATCAATGGGGTCAACAGAGCAGAGAAAACAGCAGATAAAGTTTGCTGCAGAGCTTTTCATTCATAGAACTTCTACAACTGGCATGAAGTTTACACCAGTGCTCTGATTACAGAGACAAGAGGGGGCAAACTCTTCAAAGGGAAGTGTGGACTTGAGAGAATACATTATTCAAAAGACTTCAATAAGTGACTCAGAGATGCCCTTAACAGTTCACATCACAGGATTCGAGGTTATGAAGATTAAGAAAATCCCAGTGAAGTTAAACTGCAGTATTTAGAAGTCGGGAGCAAGGTTTGCCAGAGGATGTCTTTGATTATGCAACAGATCTCCTCCAGCTCAATGCACTGAAGATAAATTTCAATTTAGATTATTGACAAATTAAAAATTGATTTTATGATGGTAAAGCAACATTTGCACAAACAGTAGTCACTCAATTTTGTTCCATTGTGTTGGCAGCCTGTGGAGACAGGGAACTCCTATCTCTTTCCAAAGCTGTGTATGTTTTTCCCAACTGCTGCACTCTTTGACTTTAGCTGGTGGACAATATATTTTTCACAAGGCATGCTGAATAACAATTGAAAAGGAAAATTAAGTAGTGTAACTCTACAGTGAGAAGCAGTTCAGTGTTTCCTATTGTTTGAAGAAGAACAAATACCTACTTATCACAATGGTGTAGGTAGAAAGAAAAGTTTCCTGATTGGAGGATTGGCATGGTCTCCACAAGAGCCGCAAGGGTTAATTAATGACTGATCATTACTAGTAATCTCATGATAATCTCTTTTTTATTAGGTATGTGAGCAAATTCTGACTAGTACAATGAGCAGAAAGGGGTCTGGGTAGTAATTAGGCCACACACACACACACACACACACACACACACACACACAGACTATTGTTTCAAAAAAGAAAGCCTTTTACTTTTCTCCTCCTTAAAACTGATCAAAGTACAGCAACCATCTTGTAATTAACAGAAGAAAGGTCACCTTGCCAAGAGTGATAGAATACGAAGAAAGAATGTGGATCATTAATGACACTGCTGAGAAGCTGAGCCAATACTAGTAATATTTCCAGATACATACGAAAAAAATGCCCCTGGAAGTAGTACTCTAGCTGTATTTTCTGTAACTTCCAGGTTTACTTTATTCCAAACTGACACTTAACTTCTGGCATTATTGTGAAGACAAAGGAAATTATTCTTTCACTTATTTTCCATAAGACAGGAGACTTAGCCACACATTATTACTTAAAAATCTGTGGAATAGATGTGAATGATTAATACATATTTAATTACAGATGGTGTATTGCTTTATGGTTTTATATGATACATATCAGTCACTGTCTTTTGTGAATCTTTCCAATTTTCCAGAGGTTATTACAGAAGGAATAGCAAGAATTTTAGAGCTTCTTGGGATCTCTTCTTTATGTCCTTTTATGCAATTATTACTTACTGATAAAAGTGCTATTGTAAAAGTAGGCCACCAGCAGGGTAACAAGTTGATATATCAAACAGTTATTAACATCACTATTTTTGTTAATAAATAACAAGGACATTAAACATTTTTCCATCATAGTTGAATATTAAATGTATTGTGTCAGTGCCGTGTTGAGAAGCATTGTGGCAAATAGCTCTGAGGCTTTAATAAGGATATTTGTAGTATACTGTAATCCAGTGAATGTAATTGTACACAAATTAATAATGACACTCTTATTATCAATAGGAAACATTCATAACCACCTCTGTAGTCATGCTGTCATACTTTCAAAATCTGTCTTTTGCTTACCGAGTCACTACATTCTCATCTTGGGAAAACCATTTACGTACTTATTCCGTTAGCTGCCGATCACTGTAGTTTATAGATTTTGTTTTGCCATCTCTATCAAGACATTACATTGTGATGTGTTCATTTTCTCTCCTTCAGATATCTTAATAAAGGAAACATGCATTATAGAAAAACCTGATTATTAAATGTGTGAACATTTTTGCAAATAGGTTGAAAAGGGGGATGGTGCAATACTTACGGGGATGGTAGTACCTCCCTAAATCTGTTTTACCAATTTTTCTTTTTTTCTTGTTTATTCACATTTTTTGCATCCTTTGTGAAAGAAGCTATTTTGTAATGAAAAGAACACAGTAAAATAATAGACACATGAAAAGGTAAGTTAACTCTGCATACAGAAGTGAATCTCAACCTCACTCGTAATTAACATTTTCACTAACACTGGATTTATTTCTAAAATATAAAATATAATCTGTAGACTTTTTAAAGCATTAATATTTAAGGTCTCTTTATTTTGTTTATACTAAAAGATCCTGAACCTTATCCAAATAAGAAATTCCTTTGGCATAAAAACATTTTAGAAATAAATCCAAATCCATAAATCCAAAAAGAACACGAAAAATTAATCTGCATCTACTTGTTGGAATAACTAATAGAAAAAGCAACTTTCTTTAAATGCTTTAAAAATGGAAGCATCAATATTGAAAAGAATAAGTGGTAGGAAGTTTAGGGAGAGAAGAAATAATGAGGTTAATATTTATTTTAAAAATGCATAACTCAATGCTAGTACTATTTAATTGAGTATTTATTAAGTGTTAACAGTGAACATGAAAATAATGATAGCAGAGAAATAAGATCTTAATTATTTATTTTAAGTATAAGATGATATTTGGAAAAACAGTTGAAGTAAATATAAACCCATGAGCCCAAAAATATGATGCAAATGCAATAGAATAGTAAATTGATGTGCAAAGTGATGACTATTAGTAAGAGTATGCAGGGATAATACAGAAACAAAAGGCAGGATTTGAACTTGATAGTGAAAATGTTAATTACAGGTGAGGTTGAGATTCACTTCTGCATGCAGAGTTAGCATTAGGCAATATACCTAATGTTAAATGAAGATTTAATGGGTGCAGCACACCAACATGGCACATGTATGCATATGTAACCAACCTGCACGTTGTGCACATGTACCCTAAAACTTAAAGTATAATAAAAAAATAAAATAAACATATTTTTTAAAAATTCTGTAGATATAAGATGGATCTTGCAGCAAAATATTTTGTTTACTGGATAAAATAGTAGAAATTACTTAATATCCTCATAAATAAGACTGATTCAATGAATTACTTTAAACCCATATGTAAGCAGACATTTTATATGATGCTTCAGAAAAACACATAATAACTCAGAAAGTTGTATGCAATTAATTAAGAAAAAAAAAAACAGTGTCCCAAAAAGAATGTAACGTATATCTTGTATTAGTCCATGTTCATGCTGCTGATGAATACTTACCTGAGACTGGGTAATTAATAAAGAAAAAAAGGTTTAATGGACTCACAGTTCCATGTGGTTGGGGAGGTCTCACAATCATGGTGGAAGGCAAAAGGCACGCCTTACGTGGCAGCAGGCAAAAAGAGAATGAAAGTCAAGTGAAAAGGGGTTTCCCCTTATAAAACCATCAAGTCTCATGAGATGTATTCAGTACCATGAGAATAATATGGGGGAAGTTGCCCACATGATTCAATTATCTCCCACTGGGTCCCTCACACAAAACATGGGAATTATGGGAGCTACAATTCAGGGTGAGTTTATTGGGGATACAGCCAAACCATATTATATCATATTTTTCTGGAAATATATCTGTAAATATGTAATCTTTTAACACTGAGCTGGTTAGAAAAACATTTAAGGGATTTAAGGTTTTTCTGCTTTCATAGTGGATAAAAAATTTTCTTTGATGTACTAATGTTCAATTGGAATTCACCTGAGGCTGCTTTGGTTTATGGCTACAATTTGATGCAGTTGTATGACATTCTTCTTGATTAATCTTGCTTGAAGCTACTAAAAACTATATGCTGCCAAATGTTTTTGGAGAAATCAAATTGGAGAGGTGGAATCTTAGCTCAGAGGGTAATAAATGGTTTTGACTAGTGATTTTTATCTTTTCTTTGCTCAAAGAAAACATTGTAAAATCTGCTAATGGATGTCATCTATTGATGGAACCAACAAAAGTAGTTGTTCTGTATTTTTATAGTTTTTTAAATAAAAATTTAACTTCAATTTTCATCAGCTTCCTTTCAAAATATAAGCTACAGTGGTTGATGTTTGCTGTTCAATTATGTCTAACCAGCAGCAAAACAAATTAGTTCCAATCTCGTGTGCTACCAGTTCTTACTGGTTTCTGGATTTCTCATAAAGGTATTTTGGGCTGTATATCATTTTCACGTTGACTTTCTGTGGAAGAAAAAAGAAAGCCTTTTACTTATTTCATCAAGGTGCTGATCTCACTTCCAAATAATCCTATTTACTGAACCAGTTGTTACTTTGAGACATTGTTAATACAAGTTTGCATGTGTTACATTTATTTGCACATAATTTATATTTATTATTGCTCTTATATTTCTATTTTAAATGAACTGATATTTTTCAATATTTTTCTGTTTGATTAAAAAATCTATAAAATCTTGAAAATACTTTATGTATCTTGTTTTTTTAGAAAACATATTGCAACCAATTAATTAGACAGGTGGATAGATGTGGAAAACTAATCCCCATTAGGCTCATTTCTTACAAGCAATAAACGTTAACTAAGACACTTTATCAGGTGAGCATATAATTTGTGTTAACATTTATGCTTTCAAATATCTTCTTTTATAGCTTAAATTTTATTATTATTTTTGTCTCTTTGCACTCCTTCCAATTGTGTGAATTTTCCTGTAATGAGAACACAAATGCTTTTTCTCCAAAATGAATATGCAAACATTTTTAGATAAAATACATATCAGCCTTAATCTGTATTATATTAAAACATGCATTACTACAATATTTCATGTAAATTATTGCTATTTATTTATTCCACATTGAGTATGTCAGTACTGCTACGGTAAATAGCTTGCCTGTGTAAATCTTCATCTTAATTCTAGGGCTTGGTTTTTATACAAGCTTCTGACTACTAAGGCCATGCAATATTGACAACTACCACAGGGTTCTGATTCAGTAAATAAAATTCACTTCCACAGTTCTTTTTAGTTGAAAAAGGGCATGTTTATTCTACCTGTTACCATTGAATCTTTAAAGTAGTTTTTGCTTTGTCCTCAGTTCTGTGTTTGTAGTGTGATTCCTCATTTATCTGTAAACAGTGGTAGGATAAATGGACAGACTGATCTAAATTGAAATTTCTTCGTATCATTTCTCATCCAATTAAAAAGTGTTTAAAAGGGAAAGCCCTAAGATGAAGTTAAAAAAATATATATATATAGGGCTACACGTGGCGGCTCATGCCTATAATCCCAGCACTTTGGAAGGCCAAGGTGAACAGAGCACTTAAGCTCAGGAGTTCAAGGCCAGCCTGGATAACGTGGACGGCTGTCGTGGTACATGCTTGTAGTCCCAGCTACTTAAGAGACTGAGGTTGGAGGACCACGTGAGCCTGGGGAGGCCGAGGCTGCAGTGAGCCATGATTGCACCACTACCCTCCAGCCTGGGAGACAGAGTAAGATCCTGTCTCAATATATATATATAAGGCTCATACAAAAGTAATTGCTTTGCCATTACTTTTAATGGCAAAACTGCAATTACTTTAGTACCGTCTATATATACACAGTACTGTGATTCTTTCAAGCAAATGAATAATTAAAACATACATTTTATATCATCAAGTGGTTTAAAGTGTATATTTTGTGAAAGATTCTGTAACGGTCATACCTTAAGTAGAAAGGTAACTCAACAAATCAAAAACAGACACTAAGTAAAAATATCCAGACTTTCTCAATCTATCAATCTTTCCTACATCTTGGAACTTCATCAAATTGCAAAATGTTCCATGCTTACAGAGTTAGTAACTAAATTATGCACTATTCAAAAATGTAGAGTGAAGAGCAAATGGGTTCTTAAGAAAACACATTGAATATAAAAAGTTTGTAACATTTTGTTGTTTACTCTTCACCTCTGATATAATGGAGAGGAGTCAAGGTTGATAAAAGTCTACTTTGCTCCTCGTAAAATGCAGTATGTGGATGCATTTATCACTAATATTTCAAGATTGGATGACATATTATCTTGCTCATTGGTTTACTGACTACAGAAATGTCAATGTGGCTACAATGCTGTGAGACAGATTTGCTATTAATTCTAATGTATTATACTGTGGGAATGTATTGAGGGGTAAGTCAGATGGGCTAATTAAAATTTTATTCTGTGTACAAGTTTAAAAAAAAGTAACATCACTCTTCAGTTTTTTCTGTTATTTTCTGACAATGTGCAGATAAACTCAGACCCTAGCTTGGGGTGCAGAAATAGGTGTGTGTGTGTGTGTGTGTGTGTGTGTGTGTGTGTGTGTGTATGATGCAACTCAGGAGAAAGATAAAAATTTGCTTTCAATATGACATTTATATGCCAGCCCTTGATTTAGATATGCAGAGGTAGCAAGACATTAGCTTAAAGTACCAATCCAGCATATTTCTAAACATGATGTCCCATTTATGTTCAAACTGATATGGACGGAATCAATTAGGAGAAACAACTGAGTTCCAAGACATGCTTTTAAAAAGCTGCAGAGTTGCTTAGTAACCTCATGTTATACTTCATTTCCCAACAGAGCTGTAAGGCTGTCAGAGTCGGTAACGGAGCACTCCAGAAATGAATTAAGTCTCATGTGCTCTGTCAAGAACCTACCCATATTAAGTATGCTAGGCCTCAGAAGTTGTCCACACATGCTTAGTAATACATGTAGCAGGACACTTGTCAGGGAATGTGACTTCAAGTTGTGCCTTGACATAAAAATATTGTTTATTTTCTTTATGCACGCTGTATTGCCACCAATCGGCATAAAGTATATCTACCATTACTCTACGGAAAACATTCATTCAAGTGTTTCATTCTGCAGTATCGTTTGCCATTCACTGGACTCCTCTTTGGCAAAATTTACTGCAGTCTGCACCTCAGACACTTTGTGTATTAGGATTTCACACATGAGCAGTTATGAGCAGTTTTAATTTTCCTTAACATTGTCCAGGCAGCCATCCATCCACTCATAAAGTTGTACTCCTATATAGAAACTATATTTATAAAACACTGTAAATAATTTTAATCTGTCATGCAGATGAAACCAGGGTTCATACGCATACACTAAACTGTAAATATAACTTTAAAAAGGATGACTCATGCTCATTAATCATTTGAACCCATAAAAGCCTGTAAATTTTTGTTTTAACTTTTTGAACTATTACTTCTTTTTTTAATTTGCCAGAATAGAGAAAAAAATACTGGCAAGATGGCAGGACATCTCTTTTGAGTTGCAATAATTAGTATTTGAGAATTCATAAGCTATGAAAGACAAATGCATCTCTACTTTTCTTTTTTTCCATTGAGATGCATTAGCTGACTACCTTCATCAAGTAACAATGCAAATGACAAGTCTTGATTTCCAAGTTAAAGATCTAAAGGGAAGAAAATCCCCTATTATCTCCTACTCAGTTATTTGACACATGATTATTAAATTATTAATTCTTATATCAACTTTGTGAGATATATTGGGAGCAATCATTATTTTCATTTTTAACACATAAAAGATTTTGTAAGTTTCTGTAACTATAGTTTAATAGACTATCATGTGGCTAGATCTTAGAAAAATCATAAAGAATCATGTATAATATTTTATTGGAATATTTTATAGACGCTATAATAAATTATGTGGTTGCTAATCATGTGTAAAGTCTTATTTCAGTAAAAAAGTAAAAACTTTATTTAGTTTATGTTCAACATCCCTGAGAGAGTTTGGGCCCCTTTCCCATAGGTCATGGCCTTAGATTGTAGGGCTAGAAATGTAATAGTAATATACCTTTCACAAAGGCACATGAGAGAAACATATAGATCATTCCTCTTAAAAGTAATCATTTGAAAAAGAGAGATAGAAGAATGGAGAGAAAGATCACAACAGAATCACAACACCAGTCCTCTAGGATTATTGCCATATAATGCTTAACACTATGATCATCGATGAAAACAAACCAAACCCTCAAAAATGAAGATGTATCAAATAACGCAAAGCTGATTACATTTTTGTCATCCTTTGAACAGCAAAAAATTTCAGAGAAGGCTATTGAAGCATTAATTGCCACGCAAAAAAGACCAAGGTCACAGTGGCCCAACAGGCTAGAATTTTTTTATACTTGCAGATGAGGTGTTCTCACAAGCTAGAAATGATTGATTGTGATATTGCCTCATTATAACTGTGACTTAAAAACATATAGTATTGGCAGGGCGCGGCGGCTCACGCCTGTAATCCCAGCACTTTGGGAGGCTGAGGCGGGCGGATCAAGAGGTCAGGAGATCGAGCCCATCCTGGCTAACACGGTGAAACCCCGTCTCCACTAAAAATACAAAAAATTAGCCAGGCGTGTTGGCGGGCGCCTGTAGTCCCAGCTACTCGGGAGGCTGAGGCAGGAGAATGGTGTGAATCCGGGAGGCGGAGCTTGCAGTGAGCAGAGATCGCACCACTGCACTCCAGCTTGGGCGACAGAGCGAGACTGCGTCTCAAACAACAACAACAACAACAACAACAACAACAACAACAAAAAACAATAGTATATAACCAATCAACAGACTCTACAACTAGCTAAAACATTATGTATTATGGCTATTTCAAGTATTCAGTTTCACCTATTCTGACCTCAGAAAGTGTATTTATGCAATCTGCAAGATCAGAAGAGATCTCTCTATTGGTTGCCCTTATAAAGAAGCACAGAAAAAGAAAAAGCCCAATCTTAGTCCATTTGTTCCACTATAATAGAATACCTTACAATGGGTAATTTTTAAAGAACAGAAATGTATTTTCTCACACTTTCAGAAGTTGGGAAGTCCAAAATAAAGGCACCAACAGGTTAAGTTGTCTGGTGAGACTACTCTCTGCTTCCAAGATGGTGCCATATTGCTTCATCCTCTGCAGGGAAGAAAAGCTGTGTCTTCACATGTAGAAGGGCAAGAGAGCCCAATGTTGCAAGAAGTATCTCTTATAAGGACCTTAATAAGGAACCGTATGGCTTAATCACCTCTTACAGTATCCTGACTTAATACTGACCCATTGGCAAACACCTGAATTGGAGGGACACAGACAATAGTACACCTCTTCCCTATCCGTAAATACATAATAAGTGCCCTGTCATGAAATGTGTACACATAATTTTCTGAGCCATGAATTAGAGAATTAAACTACTTTGTTATAGTTAGACTTTAAAAAGTGAACACCAAAGTTTCGATAATTAAGTTTGAAGGACTGGTCAGCTATTACTCAACTGCTGAAGAAAAACTGTTATATCTGCTGTCCTCTTCATTTATAGGTTGATGTTGTCTCAGCACAGTGAAACAAGAGGCAAATGAAGACTCTTTCATATTTATTTCCTCAAGAAATCCAATCACAGTATCCTTTTGTGACATTTTTCTGCCAGAGATTAGAGGTTTTAATCCCACATTCTTTAGGGCATAGATTTGCCTGTCTCTGGCTGGTACATCCTTTTCTTCAAATTTCTTCTCTGGGAAGGCACTCTCTCTTTTCTCTTCTGACTCTTCCACTATCAGCTAAAACATGGATCAGTGACTCCAGTAGATTTGGAATTTGTTCTAGACTGTTTAGCATGTGGACATCACGAAGCATTTTCCTAAAAGTAATATGTTGTATTTACAGTTCGCCTTACACAGTGGCCATGACATAGTTACTATTCAGTCTCACGTAAGGTACACAAAGTTGGCTTTTTTTTTTTTTTTTTTTTGAGACAGAGTCTCGCACTTTCGCCCAGGCTGTAGTGCAGTGGCGCCATCTCAGCTCACTGCAAGCTCCGCCTCCTGGGTTCACGCCATTCTCTTGCCTCAGCCTTCCGAGTAGCTGGGACTACAGGCGCCCGCCACCACGCCCAGCTAAGTTTTTGTACTTTTAGTAGAGACGGGATTTCATCATGTTAGGCAGGATGGTCTCGATCTCCTGACCTTGTGCTCCGCCCGCCTCAGCCTCCCAAAGTGCTGGGATTACAGGCGTAAGCCACCTCCCTGGCCAAGTTGAACATTTCTAAGGTCTTAGAGCTAGTAATTATGGAGCCAGAATTGTTGCTCTTCTCTATCTGACAGTAAATGTTCATGCTGTTTCCTTGGTTACAGGCTGCCACACCTACACCATTCCCCCCAGAAAAAGAAAAAAAATTGGAATGAAAAGGCATTGCTAGCAAGCGTAGGAAAAAGAGGCCTCCCTCAATGTGTGTCATTTTCAGTGAAATAATAAAGCTAGGGTCTTTCCATCATAAGTGATCTTATGTGTTCCATCACTTATGATGGAACACAACTCTTGTGTTCAGAACCCAACTCTGATACTTAAATGATATGAACTTCTTTTGATAAGCCAGTTCCCTCATCTTTAAATGACAGTAGCTTCTGAATCATATGTCTGTGTTGACAATGTGAAAGAACAACATACGTAGATTGTGATCATAGTGCCCGGCATAAAATAAATGCTCAAAATATTTTAATTATAATCATGGTTATGTTTATCTCTAGGTTCAGCCAGAACTAATGTTCCATAAAGCTCACTGGGTGGGGGGTGACAGGACCCAGGTATGTTTCCAATGGTTACCTCTGTTTTGTCCCGTTTATGTTTTGTATCTACCAGAATAGTCTATGAAGACATTAAGGATTCAAGAGAGTTAAGTGACTTCTATAAATACATATAAGTAGAGGGAAAAATACTTTTCTATAAACCCAGGTCTCTTCATTCACATATCAACTTATCCAAAATACATCTTACCCCTACATTCACTAATTATCGTAAATGTTATCTTACGTGTTAACAAAAGTCTTGGATGAAATTACTAAATAGACAAAGAAAAGGTATTGATCAGCTTGGAATGTTTAATATACACCTATTGTTTGAGAATTACAATAGAAAGGAAAAAGAGACATACAAAACAGAATCACAGCTTTATCTCTTTTTAAATCATTTTATTTTCAAAGAGCTAATGCAAAAGTCTACGAAAAGGCACAATAGATAAATTAAAAAATCAAATAACTTACTTTCTATGAAAGTCAAATATTTTTGAGTATATAAGTTCATAAAATATAGATTTGTTTATTCAACAAAGCAAAAGAGACAAATAGAGCTTTGGTGACTATTTGAGCATAAATGTATCACATTTGGGCATATAAAGAAATAATATAACCAGATAGTTACATAACAATATATTAGAAAAAAAATTACTCAACTGATTAAAAAATACTTGAATTTTTAATATGAAGACAGTCTATTTGTGAGGTAAGGTAAAGAATGACAATTCTATACACCTCTATATTTTGGCAAATGTTGTTTATAGACATATTACCCTAATATTATTATGAGTTTGGGGTTTTTTAAAGGAGCTTATAGGAAAAGTAATTTCAATTTAGTCTTGTGATATATTTTGTTCAATGCTATTTATGCAAAGGAACAACAATGAAAGGGATTTTTCTTTTAAATTTAAATTTTAAAATAAGACCATTAATTATACAAAACAAATGATAGTCCCACCTGACATAATTAGAAATGATTTTATTCCTAATATGCCATCTCCATGGTATTATTCATCTCAAAAGTCAAGTACAGGATTTAGGCAGTAAAATGCAGATTCTGTTAAATTTGATATTAATAAGACTATACAATTCACATACATTAACATTGGTGTGAATAAAAGCATATATATTTATATTCATTTTTAAAGTTTATAATACTCATTAATGCCAAAGTGAGACTCTCTCTACTGGTTTCAAACTTGTCTGAACACATAAGTATATGTTTACTTTTACCTTTTTGCATGCAAAGTCTTATACATTCAAATTGTATCTTCTCTTGATATTCTAAAAAAATGCCATTTTTTTAATTTCTCACATTCTCATATTAGGAATCTCAAGAATGTCAATTCCAACAACTGCACTGTTCCTAAGTGTGTGTGAGAGAGGCACTTCAAGTTTTCTCTTCTTTGTCTCTCTCTTTGCCTCTCTCTCCCTGTCCCTTTCTCTCTCTCCCTCCCTCTCTATCTCCGTATTTACTTGCATTTATGTGTAAGAGCCCCATAAGTCTTATTCCTTTAAAGTAGAATTTTAACAATGAAATAACAGCTAGTTATTCCTTATTTATTGGGGATAAATATACAAATAAATATTAATAATACAAATAAGTATGAATTGTGCTATACAAAGCAATAAGCATAATTGAAAAAAATGCAGATGCTGCCACTAGAATACTTACAGTTTTATTAACTTTGAAGGTCCAATTAGGAAAAAAAAAGATACGCTAGAGTCAGAGTTACAGAGAAGCACCAAGTATATCTTAGCCTATGCAATGTTATTTAATTTCGTTGCATACATGTGCTTTTAAACGTGGTTCTGCATACTTATGATTTCTGCAAAAAATGCCATAAAATTATTATTTATGTTAATTCTAATCATTGGTCCTTGGTATGACTAACATTTTTTTAATCTGAAATTTAAATTCAATTATTGTTAATACTGTCATGTCTCGATAGCATTAATGAACTATGGGTAATAAATAAAATAAATACTCAGGTATTCTGCCAGTTAAATAGTCTACATTATGCAACTAAAGTAGCTCAAATGTATAATTTTCATAGCAGTTAATTTTCTAGATAATTTTCTAGATAATTTTGATTTGATATTTTAGATCTTTTGGTATTTCTGTTGCAATATATCTTATTGGGATGCTTTTTGTTGTTGCTTTTTTTTTTTGAGACCGAGTTTTGCTCTTGTTTCCCAGGCTGGAGTGCAATGGAGTGATCTCGGCTCATTGCAACCTCCACCTCCCGGGTTCAAGTGATTCTCCTGCCTCAACCTCCTGAGTAGCTGGGATTACAGGCATGAACCACCATGCTCGGCCTGGGATGCTTTTAAAGTTAATTGTCAGAGTCATAAAATATTTATTATTTCTAATATTAATTCAATATTTAGAGTTTAACATATGTAAATATACATTTGTGAGATTGTAAATAGATATATTTATTTAAATTTTGCCTTGTTTTGTATTGTTTTAGTCCACCTAGGAAACTATTTTCTAATGTTTGCTATTACACAACTTGTAAGATGAAAGGAAGAATTTCACCCAGGACTTCTGTCATCTACTTTCCAGTCGTTCTTTGGGTGCGGTTATAGTCTATTTACTGTAGCTTACTTACATGTGTTTATACAGTGTCCTTTTTATATATGTCCTCTTTTTATTGTACATAGGCTACATAACTCAAAATACTATTAGAATAAGGCATCCATAAAATACTTTCTATTATAAAGTTGCTTTTTCTCCAGTATGTAGTGTGTGTGTATATGTGTGTGTGTGTATAAAATATACAGAACATATGTGTTTCTAATATGGATTTTTCAAAAACCAGTATATTAATGAATTTTTGGTCCAAATCTTTTGAAGGAGTTTTCTAGAAGCAAATCAGTGATGAATTTAATCAAGGACCGCCTAGTGGCTAGAGAATTAAACCTTGTTGCCGTCATTCACAGGTGTAAGGAAACCAGAAAAGGATGATTTAATATTTGATCGCCATTATGAAGCTCACCTCTGCAATTAGCATTGACTTCCAGCAGCTGGAATACAATCAGAAGATACTTGTCATGAAATGTTGAAAATTGAAAGGACTCTGTCTCTACAACCAACTATGGATGTTAGATGTTCTTCCTTATCATTCTCTCTTTTTTTTTTTTTTTTGTCACAGCAATTCTCCTAATCTGTAACCCATCCCTCTCTTCCCTACTTCATTCTTACTTCTCTCTCTCACTGTCTCTCATGTATTTGTGTGTGCTTTGTGTGTAAGGACCACATATGTTCTATGTTAATATGAGAATATGTTAATATGAGGATATTAACTAGGAGGTAAAAATTTGCTGAACAAACAAACGCAGATTCTGTGATTATTTTGAAATACTTTGCCAGCAAAGATTATTATATGGAAGATGTTGTTACTGTTCCAGAATTGGTAACTTTGAATAAATTATTTGCCTCTAGAGTTATGTTGCTACAAAACAATTATATCAGATAGTTTCTAGTAGCTTTTTACTAAGCAGGTACATTTATATATAAGAAAAATTAACATTAAGAAGAAACTTCAATATAAATATTCACAACTATCTAATAAATAAGAAACATAATAAATAGATATCAAAGAACTTGTTAATTGTCCCATGAAAGCTAACTGAATAGAAAGAAAAGCTTTTAAAGTCTAAACATTTTAAATTTCTAAACAAAATATGGAATAAGAATAATTTAAGACCAATTTTTAAACCTCATTATTCCTTTAATCATCATATAATTTTAATTACTATTATTTAGATTGGCCATTGCTTTGGTGTTTTCTACTTTGCAGAAATATTCATAATAAATTTCTACCTAAACATCCAGAACAACTGAGACTTGTAAAATCAGCCAATAGATGGTGCTAACTGTGGCATTTGCTAAAACACTGACAAATCTGTTAAAAGCGTTGAGCTTTGTTGAAATGGATTTAGTCGGCTTTTAGTGAGTGTCATAATAACCTCAGTGTAATGCATATGTTAAATGAGCAGTCGTAGAATATGTTCTAAAACTCATCAAGTTTTATTGGGAGGCTGATAGGCTTTATTTCCTGCTGTACAGATATAGTGAATCATAGGGAGTGTTAGGAAAGAAGTTCAATGAGGATTCAACCTTGAATCTTTCTGCTCATTGGAAATCCCAATTAGGAATAAGACACATATATAAGATTTATATAATGTCTTTCCTCCATAAGACCTAAGGTGACATATACATTACCTCTTAAAACAAACAACATCCTTTGAAAGGTTAACCATCACTCTGGACAAAAAGGTAAGGATCAAGAAACTGTCTTGCTCAAATTAGTCCAATGGGAAACAGTTCATATTATAAAATATTATAATGGAGAACAGAAATAAACTGTGTGATTTAATATAGATTCAGGAAATAATGTGGCACTGCAGATCAATAGAAACTTGGAAAGAGTGTTCAAATTTCACTGTTCTATTCCCCCAGCCCTAGGTATGATTCACTGTTATTCTCTGACACATATGTGAATTAATGAATAATCAGATTTTAAATACCTTTGAAGGAATATTTATTCAAAATTCAGTGATTTTGCACCATTTTTCCTCTTTTTGATATATGGGAACATGTACCATTAAAGTTGAGGCAGTAGTGTCAGAAAACATTGATTTAATTTTGAATATTGGAATCAGCTCAATTTAAGGATAAACTAGATCAACTCCCTTAAAGTGACAGTGATGGCTCAAGCCTGTAATCCCAGCACTGTGGGAGGCCGAGGCGAGTGGATCACCTGAGGTCAGAAGTTGAAGACCAGCCTGGCCAACATGGTGAAACCCTGTCTCTACTAAAAACACAAAAATTAACTGGGCTTGGTGTCGGGTTCCTGTAATCCCAGCTACTCTGGAGGCTCGAACCTGGGAGGCGGAGGTTGCAGTAAGCTGAGATCGCGCCACTGCACTACAGCCTGGATGACAGAGTGAGACAATGACTCTGACTCAAAAAAAAAAAAAAAAAAGTGACAATTTCTAATTTGTTTATAATTTAAATATCTTTAGTGCCTTTTTTATTTACGTGTATCATTAACCCTGAACATACCTACTATATAGTAGAAAACACATACATATATTTCACTTACATACATTACCTTTTCCTTCCAGTCCAGGAATCTTAAGGCAAAGCAACAAATCATGAAACACTAACCTTTATACACTGTTACTCAAAAGCTTCTTTCATCTCTAACAATATCAAACATACTAGGATTCTAGATTTCTTGGATTTCTCTTTGATTTTGAAAGCGATTTTTAGATAGCAAGTTGCTATTTATTTCCTTTAAAGTATGAGGGTTGTGAAATTTTGACTTCATAGGAAGATGTACCAAGTTTTAAGGAAGCTCCAGATTTCTTAGGTCTGATGATGACACCCAGGTATAAATGTAGAAATCAGTGGTAGCGGAGAGAGGACATGATATGGACTAATCTTCATTCTGTGGATAGAAATTGGTGAAACACTGCTGCCATTCCTGTAGTATATCTTTTCTCTGCCTTATCGAGAACAAATCATTTTATCTTCCAGATGCAGTTCTCAGGATATATGTAAATCTGGAGTTGGAGGAAATCAAAGCACGGAAATGGAATCAGGGACATTATACACTGTCGCTTAAAGGCACGTTCTCTGCCATTGTATTACCTGTGGTGCAAATCCTGCTTCTGCCAGTGATGTCCTTGGCAAATTACCTGACCCCTCTATGCTTTAGTTTTCTGTATCTTTATATAGAAATAATAACAATAATACCCATCTATTAAGGTTGTTGTAAGAATTAAATGAGTTAATACATATATAAGGCTTAGGATAGTGTCTGATATGTAATAATATGTAACCTTAGATCCTCCCTAATTACTTTTATGTTTTTTATTATATCTCTATTAAAATGTTTAATGAACATAAAGTTTAAATGATTTTGTACTCAGGGGGACATAAACTTGCACTGTTTTTGCACGAGATGCTGTACATAACAGAGTTTCTAGCACCTTAGAGTTTGTAAAGTGTAGAATGAGTAGCATTCTCTGAGTCTAGGTTAGTACTTTGATGTTTAGATGTATTGAAACTGATGCTTCGCATATTTATTTCTTTAAAACATAAACTGACTAAAGTCTACATGTTCATGTGCAGGTAATATGGCCAATATGGGCTTCAATTAGCTAAACCAATCTCAGTCACATTCCTCTATTTGGCTGGGCAGAAATGGTTTAGGATTAAAATACTTGACTATTTGAGTTAAATACATCCAGCCTGATCATCAGGTGCCACACCATAAATTATTCCTTTCAAAGCCCTTTTTGGTACTTGGATTAAGTAATTATCCTACCTGCCTAAGTGCTTTACAAAGTGGGTTGCTTTTGCTAACCTAGGCTCTCCCAAGTTTTCATAATACCATTATTACTTTAACATACCATTCCATTATTGCCATGAGACAATCCTGTAAGGTAAACATTACCAAATTTCACTCATTGGTCAGATTATTTAATTCCCAGACAAGGTTTTCACTGGTTCTTAAAGTTTGTTATAGTGGAATTTGGGTCATCCTAATGTCATGTAGCATGTTCTAAAGGGATTAAATGGGACACAAAGGGAGACAGAGGCATATTTAAAAATGTCTAAATATGAGTAACAATTCTGTCACTGGTAGGTTAAATTATTAATAATTGTAGAGAAAATAATGTTTGTCTATTATGAGATAATAAACTACTATATTGCACATGGTACTAAATAATAATGATAGAATTTTAATATACTAAAATACATATACATAGGTAGGGATTATAGAAGATGTACTGGAAGATATGTATTGCCATTTTATTTAATCTCTGAGTTCAGAAAAATTCAATAGTTTTTGATATAAAAGTTTATACTGTCTGGATAAATATGTGCATCAAAGGGTTAAAAGCAAAATCACAGAGACAGAACTTAAGGCAGATCACTTTACTGGGATCAAAGGATACTATGAAGAGATAGAAGAATAAGTACCATAGAGAAATTTTCGTTTTATATACTGGTGTTAAAGTTTAGGGTCATTGCCCTAATGTCTGAATTTTCTTACCCCAAAAGAAATATGTCATACAGGGTTTAAAAATAAGCAATAAATGAATAAAGAAGATACTTTCTCCAAGTAGAGTAAAGGTACAAAACAAGTTTGAGGAAACTTTTTATAATAAATGCCATCTAGGTTGAGTTGTGAGGATAGGAGACATTAATGAAGTTGAGAAAGTAGTGTGTATCATTTCAGGAAAAGAGAATCACAAGGTAATATCAAATACTATGACATATTAAGGTGATGTCAGTCTAATCTCGTTTGTTTCCAAATAATACTCTTTTGTTTACACTTTAGATATCAGAAGCTTAACTAAATGGACGATGTTTATAATTGAGGGGACAGCATCCTCGTGGAGCACAAAGTCAATACTTACGTAGTAGAATTGGTTTGTTCATCATTTAATTTTTTTAACTTTATTTCTTTTTTCTTTTTTTTATTTTTGAGACGGAGTCTCGCTCTGTCGCCCAGGCTGGAGTGCAGTGGCGCGATCTCGGCTCACTGCAAGCTCTGCCTCCCGGGTTCACGCCATTCTCCTGCCTCAGCCTCCCGAGTAGCTGGGACTACAGGGGCCCGTCAACACGCCCGGCTAATTTTTTGTATTTTTAGTAGAGACGGGGTCTCACCGTGTTAGCCAGGATGGTCTCGATTTCCTGACCTCGTGATCCGCCCGCCTCGGCCTCCCAAAGTGCTGGGATTACAGGCGTGAGCCACCGCGTCCGGCTTTTTTAACTTTAAGTTCAGGGGTACAAGTGCAGGTTTGGTACATAGGTAAACTTGTGTCATGGGGGGTTGTTGAACAGATTATTTTATCACCTGGATATTATGCCTAGTACCCATTAGTTATTTTTCCTGATCCTCTCTCTTCTCCCACCCTTCACTCTCTGAAAGGCTAAGTTCCCCTCTGTGTGCTCCCCTGTGGTGTTCCCCTCTGTGTGCCCGTGTGTTCTCACTATTTAGCTACCACTTGTAAGTTAACCACATATATACTTAAAGCAGAAGTAGGTAGTAATGTTTTATAGAATCACTGTCTAAATTAAAACAATTACATATTCAATTTAAATTCATTTTTGATTTAAAAGTATTTTTTGATTTAGGCTAATCAGAGTTTAGGACATGATACTTGAATCAAAACTAAAAATAAAATGATATATGAGAGAAAATATTTAGTTGTGGCTATTGTCTATTGTTTTCTGAAAAAAATATTTTACTTAAGTAGAAGGAACAGCAGAAGAGAGTGATAGTATAAAATTATCCACAGCATATTTGTGTAAAAAGAAAATAAATTGAAAACAAAAATAAGTGTGGACATAAGAGGTCAGGCATTCCATTTCAAAAACAAAGAAATGTCATTTAGTTTAGAAAAGTATAGACTAATAAATGTGAAGAAAAAAATCTGAGGCCATCCACTGGAAATATAACCGGTTAAACAGTAATGTCAAATGAATGCCGTGGTGTCTCAACGTAAATGCACCTCCTGGCAGGTGTCTGCAGGTATTTCCTTTTTTAAATTTGCCTACAGATAGGTTATTAAAGTCATTGCAAATCAGAACATGTCTTTCCCACAGCACAGATTAAACTACACGGGAGCAGAGGCAAACGAAAGGACAAGAACACTTAGAGGGCAGAGAGAGGACTGTCTGTAGATTCCAAGTTAACGCTGAGATATGGTTCTAAATAGTTACACTTGATTTGAAATAAAATTTGATTTATAAAATAAATGATTTGATGACTTACCTCTAAATATGCAGGGCTGACAGGTAATTTGGGTATATAAAAACTGAACGATTTAGTTGATTATATTAGCGCTATTAGTAGCTTACTCATTATTTATTTAGGGGATTATTTATTTTAGGTGCTTAGGGCCAATCCCAGTTTATGCCCGGTGTTCTAACTTAGTCATTAATAGCCTTCTCTTTCATTATCAAGACCTTCCAGTCGTATGGTCTAACATAGGTTTATGTGAATTGTCAAGTATCTATGCAAACGTATATAAATAAGTTTTTGTATGTGTAAGCATGTGTGAAGTACATGTTTAATTGTCAGTCATTTCATTATCGTCTCTGCCTTGACTACGGCAGGAATATTCTAGTTTCCTTGCTCTTTTTTCTTGTCTTTTCAAGTCTTTTAAAGAGTAGTTTCCATCTTAGGGAGAGGGGTTGAAGGTAAGAAAAGAGTAAACAGGTGATAATGCTCTCTCAGCCTCTCTGAGAATTTGTATCTTCTTAGTTTCTCTGTTACTATGGTTGCATAGAAATCTATTCAATAATCTACATTCTGCCTGATTTTCTTTGGCAAATATCATATAAAAGTTTCTTCCTTGGCTACAAACCACATTTCTCCATTTAGCTCTTGTTCTTGTACCTTCTCCTGTTCTTCAATATTCAATAAATTTTTAGCAGTGGTTCACAGATCCCTGACAGCTTTTAAATTGCTTAAAATGCCCGGTGCTAAATATGAATGCCAAATATGAATATGAAGCAATGCTGTTTACACAGTTCCTTTAGAACTCTAATAGTCAGCATCCAGATGGGCTAATAATCAGGTAAGGTGCTTATTGATTTATACAAACTTAAATAAATATGGAGCACTAACTAAATTAAAGAAAGGGACCCTGGGAACTCTTCACTTTCCCATATGCTGTTTAATAATGGTTGAAGACGTAAGCTGAATAGTAAGTTCTCTTGAGTTCTTAGGCAGACTTAAGAAAATATGCTTAGTGTACAGAAAGAAATCACGTTGTAAGATATTACAAACTCGCAATTCATATTCTATATTTTCACACGTTGTAATGTAATTCTAGGTTGTTTAACTACTAGTCTTAACAAAAAGACAAATTCCATAATAAACAAGACTCTAGGTTACCACATTTTCAGAGAAGCCTAGCAAACAGTTTAGCAACAACATTAATAGATATGAGGCGAACTCAGACATTTTTTACCTGGAGTAATGGAAGTATTTCCAAGAAGAATAAAATGATTTGGGTAATTTTATGTGCTACAGACATTACTTGCATGCAAAGGACCTCAAGATGGAAAGGTCAAAAGGATGGTATTCCAGGTTTTGAAAAAACTTCAACAAGCATTATCTAGAAACTGTCTAGATTTAGTTGTGGGTTTCAAAAATCAGAAAAGTGGAAAATACTCATAATATTGCATGAGGCACTATCCATGTAGCATCCTGCAGTGGCGTTTACCTGGGTCTGCCTTTGTTTCCCTTCTGAACTTAGTCCTTAGAACACCACCCCAAATGTGACCTGTGTTATGCTGCTCACTGACACTATAAAAAGAAATCAGGAAACCCAGAGCACTGAAGTGCAGCAAACCTACTGATGGGATGAAGGACATCAGTGCAGGAAATGATGCACAGGGTAAAGTTGATTCTTGTCTTTAGAAGAGACAAAAAAATACCTAAAACTCCCTGTTTTCAGAATTAAAACTGCTTAAAATAGCATTAGAGACTTATTATTGTGTTATTTATTATATAGATTCAGTTTACGGTTAACTTATTTTTGTAGGAAGGAAGGGGAGATCTGACATTCATTACAAAATTCACTCATTTATTTAATTATTACACCAAGTATTTAATGAGTACACACTTTTGTAAAAATAAGACAAAACACTAGATTTTAAGCCTATAAAATGTCTGCCCCATCCTAAAATAATGGTATTATCCAATTTATCTTTATGTCTTCAAAGTCACACTCTAAATACCAAATACATTTTACATGTACTAAGCATGTCAACTCCAAATATGCCCATAAAATTTTTTTTTGAATATGTCAAAATTTGAAAATACAAATATGTATTCTTTAAAAATTCACTTTTTTTATTTCTACTTTAAGTTTTAAGGTACATGTGCACATTGTGCAGGTTAGTTACATACGTATACATGTGCCATGCTGGTGTGCTGCACCCACTAACTTGTCATCTAGCATTAGGTATATCTCCCAATGCTATCCCTCCCCCCTCCCCCCACCCCACCACAGTCCCCAGAGTGTGATATTTCCCTTCCTGTGTCCATGTGATCTCATTGTTCAATTCCCACCTATGAGTGAGAACATGCAGTGTTTGGTTTTTTGTTCTTGAGATAGTTTACTGAGAATGATGATTTCCAATTTCATCCATGTCCCTACAAAGGACATGAAGTACATAAAATAACATTTTAACTTTTGTTTAGGTGAGAATTGCATTAATAATCTCATCATGTAAACTATGTAACATAAACAGTCTAATCATTTACATCTATGTGGATGCTCCTCAGGCAGTCTTAGTCTTGCGTGTGTGTGTGTGTGCGCGCGTGCGTGTGTGTGGTTGTGCATGTCTAAAATATTTTATTGTGGTAAGAACACAACATGTCAGGAAGTCTTAGGAGGATAGTTCATAAACAAAAGAAGAGAAACAATCACAACATTAATAATGTTATATTTATTAAGCATTTTTTCTGTTCTAGACACTAATCTAAGCAATTTACATATCTCATTGCATTTAAACATCAGCTGAGCCTATGATATAAGATGATTATATATTCTTCATGATTATTATGTGCTTCATAATACAAAGTTTAAAAATGCAGCTAGAGAAAGGGTACACAATTTGGCGAAGGTTATAAATCTATAAAATGCCAGAACCATTTTTTTTTTACTCTCTGCCCATGTTCTAAATGTGAGGGCAACACACTTTCTATGTGAATGACTAGGAACAAATATTTTAGGCATTGTGAACTATATGTTCTCTGCCATAACTATGCAGCCCCACCGTTATACCATGAAAGCAGATATAGACAATATTTAGATTAATGTACTTGGTGCTGTTCCAATTAAACTTTATTTATATAAAAATAAAAACAAGCATCCAGTCTGGCCTGAGGGTCACAGTTTGCTAACCCCTCCTCTAAACTACTATGAATATAGATTCCATTCCTATTATATTGAGTACATTTTCTTAAACTAGATTTTTCAGGGACTGCATATTTGTGAACAACCTAGTAATTAATTTACTTAAAAATATGCTATAGTCATTTTAAAAATTTGAATTAAAATCTTTTTATATGATGGCATATTTCAAAATGCTAGAGAAGTAAGATTAATGGGAGGTACCAATCTGTCTCACAAGTCCTAAGCTGTAATACCATATATGCTAACAACAGATTACATTTATGCTCCAAGTCTGTGAAATTTTTATTGCAACTCGTTTAATACTTACTTTACATTTCCTTTAGAATTAAACACTTAAAGAACAATAAAACCTACTTTTATTTCTTTAGCTTTCTGTAAAGAGAATTGAACATTATTTATTACGGATTTTTAAGCACAAAATCAAAACCTCACTGCATAGTAGGGTAGCACAACATCAAGAATCAAGAGCACATGTAATTAATTTGTATTGTTGCTGTTATAATTATCTTCATTGTGTCTGACAAGATCAAACTGAGCTATGAAGAAATAAGTGAGCTACTAAAAACAATTGCATATTTAACACCTCTTTTTGTCATAACAAATCCTATCTGCACACAGTATTTTAAAAATTGCAAATCAGCCAAGAAAAAATTGAATTTGAAGGCAATAAATAAATCAAATTATGTATAAGAAGGCAGTAAAAATATGCCCCAGATGTTTGGCTGCAGAGTGTCTTATAAGTTGGCTTCCAACTTGAAAATGACAAGCTCCCATGCCCTAAAGTGTTTCTACTTTCCATAGCACATTCAGAGAAGACAACAAGGGGTGTCTTGTCAAACTACAAAAAGGACAGAGTCACATCTGATTCCAGTCACATTAATGTTTGAAAAGGCAGCATTGTGGTTTGCTACGGTGGTTATCTTTTTATTGACTTTCTTCTTCTCTAAAACAATCACCATAAGCCTGGTGCATTGACAGATGAAAGTGTACAAGGCAGATTTTGGGCTAGCTTTCATCTAATAGTGACTTGTGTCCCCCACATTTATTGTTTAGAACAATTTGGAGGCTTACTCCTTACTTCAAAGAATGCGTTGGCTATCTTGTCATATGCCTGAAAACTGAGGACGGGAACCCATTGGTAAACAATACTAATGACTAACACACCACCACCTGTCATCACTGCATAATCTACTGTGTGCAAAGTGCTCAGAGCAGTAAATTTTTTAAGTGACTAATGCAGCACAAGCTCTTCTAGCAAATTAACTTGAGAAACATAAGAGTGGCGAGAAGTGTGTCAAGTCATGATGGGAGCTAAGATGTGATAACATAGCAATATATTTTATAGCTCTGGGTGAGGTCAACAAGATGGCTGACTAGAGGTGCCTGGTGCCCGTCTCCTCCGACAAAACAGGATCAAAACAATGAATAACCAACTATATTTCTCATAGAATGACTGAAGAAGTACACTGAACTACAACAAGAGAGTGGCAACATCCCTGTGGAGCGTGGAAACCCAGGATGGAAGCATAGAGAGTTACGATTAGAAAGAAAAAATAAGTTCTGGCGTCCTGTTGCACAGCAGAGTGACCCAGCAGAAAGATACTGTGTGCCTCATCATAGTGAAGAGAAAAGATTGTGAATGTACCCACCACAAAAAAGATACACTTTTGAGGTGATAGGCTAATTATCCTGCTGCGATCGTTACACAATGTATACATGTACTGAAACATCACACTGAAGCTCATAAATATGGACAATTATGATGCATCTTTTTTTTTTTTTTTTTTTTTTTTTGACACAGTCTCGCTCTGTTGCCCAGGCTGGAGTGCGGTGGCGCGATCTCGGCTCACTGCAAGCTCCGCCTCCTGGGTTCACGCCATTCTCCTGCCTCAGCCTCTCGAGTAGCTGGGACTACAGGCGCCCACCACCACGCCCAGCTAATTTTTTGTAATTTTAGTAGAGACGGGGTTTCACCGTGTTAGCCAGGATGGTCTCAACCTCTTGACCTCGTGATCTGCCCGCCTCGGCCTCACAAAGTGCTGGGATTACAGAAGTGAGCCACTGCTCCCGGCCTATGATGGGTCAGTGTTTTAAAAAGCTCTGTGCGCCTGGATGAGTGCCAGCCACCTCCAAATGTCAGGTAAAATTTTATGACTGTTTTATCCTAAGAGATGATTAGAAAACTATTTATAAGAATTTAACATGTGATATTTGAAAGAAAGGAGGCCTTTCCAAAATTGTGGCCTGGACAGGGGACATAGTAAATATTCGTTTTTGCCTGGAATTTGTGGTGAAGAGGATAATGGACATAGGGCTTTGGCCAAAAATCATAAAAATATGACAATAAAGAGCCGTCATATGTGCAGAGATCCCTGGCTTATATCATCATGTATGCCATCTTATGTTATAAAGTAATCTAGAAAAAAATAAAATCTTTTTAAAGTAATGGCCTCCAGGTCACTCAGAGGCCAGTATTAATGGATAGATGATATTTGACTAGTTATATAACTGCTCTGAGCTTTATTTTCTCATTTGATTACCAGAAATATTAAAATACCCTGCACATGTAAGTATGAAGAGGATTATGTGAAAATATAAAATGCTTTGTACTGTATCTGCATAAAATAAACATTTGATAAATTATAGGTATCATCATTAATGCAAAGATAAGCATATACTTTGATACTATGTAGAGTGCTGTGCACTTTTTAACTTAAATTCTATCTAAATGACCAAATTTTCCATGGTCCAGTATAAAAAGTTAGTCTTACAATGACGTTTCATATAACTGCTTAAAAATGTTTTTTCCTCACATACCCATCTGTCTTTTTCTCCACCTCTTTGAGTAAATAGGCAGAGGACAATACTTGCATTTAATGGTTTTATAGTGGTAAGTTAAAATATCACATTTAAATTGCACTAATTTAATTTCATTTTATTTCAAAATTAAAATCAACCAGTGAAACACAATAAATGATAAATGACATAAACAAAAGTAATTTTAAGGTTAAATTTGGGTCTCTTTTTTCACAATGCAATTTTGTGGGTTATATGGGACCTCTTACATTCCTAATTCTACATTATTGCCGGAACACAGCAGGTAGTGAACTTTGATTCTTATTTTTATTTACTTACCCAAAATTCAGCGGGACATGATGCCTCATGCTTATAATCCCAGCACTTTGGGAGGCCAAGATGGGGAGATCACTTGAGGCCAGGAGTTTGAGACCAGCCTGGACAATATAGCAAGATCTTGTGTCTAAAAATATATATATTTTTAAATTATTTGGGCATGGTGGCACCAGCCTGTAATTCTAGCTACTCGGGAGGCTGAAATGTTAGGATCACATGAGCCCAGAAGCTTGAGGCTACAGTGAGCTGCGATCTCACCACTGCACTCCAGCCTGCATCACAGAGTGGGGCCCTGTCTCTTAAAAAATAAAACAAAAAAACAGTGCAGAGAGTTCCAGCCTTTGTGTGCTATCCTGAAAGCCTGGACTTACTGGAGGCTAATTTTGGGCTCAGAAAGCAAAAATACTTTGGAGAGTAAGATAAATTGACATTTACTGATTGTATTCTATGTACCTCTTGCTTGAATGAACTTAAAAAAAAGGAAAGTCAAAAAGTATTATTAATCCTAATAGATATAATCTGTGAATCCTAAGCCTGATGTGGCTTTCTCAATTTCACACAGTAACCAGAAAAATTCAACTCTGTTTCCATGGCTCGTCCTCTTTCTACTCTAAAAAAACTCCCTGTTTTTCTGCCTCCAAATTATTTTTTTTATTCAAACTCTTTTCTCAACAAAGTATTACTTGTTGTAAGATTTTTTTATTGAAATGCAAAGTAAAATACCAGAAAGATTATAAAATACTAGGCAGTATTTGTTCTTTCATGTAAAATTGTGAAATGGTAAATCAGATCTACTTACTCACGTGCTGGGGAACAAAACAACGTTGATCCTGAGTAAGAGAGTTTTGTGTGCATCTTGGTAGACAGAGAGCAGAAATATAAGCTGTTAACTGTGGAAGGCATACTTTATGCATTCTCTTCAAAGAGCTGTACTTTCGATTTTGATAACACTGAATACCTATGACCTTGTGCTTATGAGGTCCTACCACTCGGGCACCATTCATTTGCTGATCAACAGACATGAGCCTGGGAAATTGAAATTGTGTCTTAAACTACTATAATTTACTCCAGCCCTTTCTGTGACTCCTTATTGCATTCCAATGTATACCTGGATTTTGACTTTACCTGAGCTGGACTTGAGGATAGATATTGTGTTCCCTAGTTTTAATTCTTAATAAGGATACTCACCCTTTAACGTTTTTCCAGCCTCTGGTTATTTCTGGATGTTATCCAGCTTCCGTTGTTGGTACCCTAAATGGACAAATTGAAGCAATAAATAAAAACTTCTGACAATGATCCTTCTCATGATTATACCATGCCTTCACAGCACTAAAATCTCCATTAGTATTTAAGAGATACCAAGACACATAAAGACATAATCTCATGGAGGCTTCTCCTTTTCTATCTCTCCTCTCTAGATGCAATATTTCTTTTTCCTTTAAAAAATTATATGAAAAGCAGCTGGGCGTGGTGGCTCACGCCTATAATCCCAGCACTTTGGGAGGCCGAGGTGGGTGGATCAGGAGGTCAGGAGATCAAGACCATCCTGGCTAACATGGTGTAACCCCGTCTCTACTAAAAATACAAAACTTAGCCGAGCGTGGTGGCAGGTGCCTGTAGTCCCAGCTACTCAGGAGGCTGAGGCAGGAGAATGGTGTGAACCCAGGAGGTGGAGCTTGTAGTGAGCCGAGATCCTGCCACTGCACTCCATCCTGGGGACAGAGCGAGACTCCGTCTCAAAAAAAAAAAAAATTATATGAAAAGCAAGTGTAATATATTTAGAAAATAGCAGTCAAGCTCTCAGTTAAAGTCACAGATCTGTAAAAACTAGATCTATAATGAATACATAAATAGACTATTGACAAATTTCTGATTTTCCTTGGAGCCCTTCTTTTCTACTTGATATCTAGTGATGGTTGTGTATCACCTACTCATGTAACTTCTTTTAGAGAATGATGGAAAGTTTTATAAAATACTGTAATCCAATATTCATGAAAAGTATTTTATTTATAGGACACATGATTCCAACACGATGGCTGTCAGAATGCTGGCTATCTTTAGATCATTGACTTAAACATTGTTTCGTAGTTTCATTTGCCTCTGATCCAAACTTAAACATTTCAAATAATGGCTTTGAAACAACTTTTTCTCCTGTTTTCCCTTGTTCATTGTGTGTGTGTGTATATATATATATATATATATATATATATATATATATATACACACACACACACAATGTGTATATATATATACACAATGTATATATATATATACACAATGTATATATATATACAATGTGTGTATATATATATACAATGTATATATATACACACACATACACATATATACATACACATACTTATACATATATATATATATACTTATACATATATATATATTCCCACATCAAGGACAAAATCTAAAAAAAATGGATAATTGAACTTGACTTCTTTTTTTATAAACTGTAGACAAAGTTCACAGACAGATACACCTCAACACCTATAAAAATCATTTCAAATTGTTTCCCATTGTTACCAGGAACCCTTATTCAGCTAAACATATAAATAGGGTTGTCAATGTCCATGAAATTTAAAACATTAAGATGAAAGTACTTTAAATTTCAAAAGCATATTCTGAGTTGAATTTCAATCTTCAGGGAAGTGCCATTGTAGATTTTCTACTAAACAAAGTTCACTCACTGAGACATCTATTAAAATGGTGGGGAATTTTTTAAATAATTTAGAATTTTTCAAATGACATTTCTTATTAGCATTCTTCTGAGCGAATATTACCACACAACACATTTCAATATATAAAGATAAACAGTTTTTAAAGATTTGCAATAATTTTGCCAATAGCAAATGCCATCAAGATTAATTAAATGATTGCATTGTAGAAGACCTCCTAGTAGGTGCTTTGGTCTACAGAAAGATCTATCATATCCATTCTGTTGAATGAAAGAAAATATTTGCAAACTATTCATTGGACAAAGGACCAATATCCAAAACATATAAGGAACTTAAACAACTCAACACTAAAACAAAACTTTAAAATGATATTAAGAACTGAGCAAAGGACATAAATAGCAATTTTTCAAAAGAAGAAATGCAAGTGACCAACAAGTATATAAAAAAATGCTCAACATCTCTAGTCATTAGGGAAATGCATAGCAAACCATGATGAGATAATATCTTATTCTAGTTAGAGTAGCTGTTATTAAAAAGACAAAAAAATAACAGATGGTGGCAAGGATGAAGAAAAAAAGGACTTCTTATACACTGTTGGTAATGTAAATTAGCACAATCGTTTTATGAAAAACAGCATGAAGATTTCTTTAAAAATCTAAAAATAGAACTCCTACACAATCCAGCAATCCCACTCCTGGGTATTTATCCAAAGGGGAAAAAAATGGTCTATCAAAAGGATACTTGCACCGGCATATTTAACACAACACTATTCATAATATCTAAGATACAGAATCAACCAAGGTTTCAGTGGACAAATGGATAAAGGAAATGTGGTATATTTATATTATTTGGCCAAAAAAATGAAATCACATGATTTGTGACAACGTAGATTAACCTATAGGTCATTATATTAAGTCAAATAAGGCAGACACAGAAGGACACATATAACATATCCTCATTCATATGTGGGAGCTAAAAAAGTTGATCTCATGAAGGGAGACAGTAGAATGATGCATACCAGAAGCTGGAAAGGTTGTGTGGGTGGGAGGAGGGGATAAAGAGAGGTTGGTCAATGAGTACAAATATACATTTAGATACAAGGCATAAGTTCTAATGTTAGGTAGCAGAGTAGGGTGACTATAATTACCAATGATATATTGTATATTTCAAAGTAGCTGGAAGAGAAAACTTGAAATGTTCCTAACACATAGAAATGATAAATACTTAAGGTGATGGATACACCAAATTCCTGACTTGATCATTACACACTCTCCATATGTAAGAATGTATCAAATATAGCTCATAAATATGTAAATATTATGTATCAACAAAAAGGTCTTCCATATCAAAGTTTCTTCTAAAGTGTGATTGTATCATGTTGCAAATAGTTTAAGGTATTAGACTCAGATCTAGATTCAAGGTCTCAGTCTGCAACTTGCTACCTTTGATGATGTCTTGTGAAAATCTTTAAACCTTTTTGATTGTGATAATCTCATTGGCAAATATTGTAGGGATTCCTTCATGTGCACTCCTTTTTGTCCACCCCCTCTGGCATCTCTTCATCAATATAAACAATCTTTTTTTTTGGAAAGAGAAGTGAGAAACTCAGCATGTGAGACCTATTCCCAATTCTCTCATTTCTCTTGAGAGCTGGATTGAAAGCACAGAACATATACTGTGATCTGCTTTTTGGCCCTGCAGGGAATGGTACTTGCCCCTGCCATTATGAGTAAGTCTGACTAATTCTGGGGTTGAATTTTATGAAATCTAACTGCACAAATCTCAGCCCTAACCTTCCATATCAGATTTCCGGGTAGTAGAGTTGTTTATCACTCTTCATCTGCTGACACCCTATACTCAATCCGTATAGAATTTGGAAAGGCAAGAGGGTGCTATTTATTATCACAACAACTCAAACATCCCAAAGTGGTGATCCATACATAGTAGTACTTTTCAACCTTCTTGTAATACTTAAGTATTTAGTAAGATAAATAAAGTATATTGAAAACACATGTATAATATAAAGCAACAGAAGTTAACAAAAGTTATCAGAATCATAGTAAATGTTCATTCTTACAGTATAGAATATCATCCTGCATAGAATTAGAGATGCCTCTTAATATTCTATTTTCTGTTCTCTAAGAAGTGAGCTATGTCTCCCTCATCCTGTAATGTAAGAAGACCTGCAAGTGTTTCAATCAATAGAGGATAGTGGAGGTAATGTCATGGCAGTTCCAGGTCACACTCTTAAGAGTTCTGGCAGCATACAACTTTGTCTTAGGGACCATCCTGCAGGCAGCCCGTAAGACATATGGATATCCTAGGAGATGATGTGGTGGGGCCATGAGACTACATGGGAATGAGGCAAGCTGACTCCAGTCTTCAAGCCATCTCCAACACCAGTGCCAGCCATACGTATGAGCAAACTGCCTTGGATCCTCCAGCCCAGCTCAGCAGCCAACAGAAGTCTAGCTCCTGACTCCAGGTGACAATCAGGATTACACAATAAAATACCATCTGGATTCTGTATCCACAAAATCATGTAATGCAATAATTACTTTTAAATCCACCAAGTTTTTAGGATGTCATTGATGATCAAAACATCTCTACCACAAATAGGCAAAATAAAAAGAAAATATGTGAGTAATCAATAAGTGACTGAAACATAGAACAAAAACCTTTAACAATTCAAAGAAATGTGCCACCTCCAGAAAGTAAAATGACTTGGTAAGGGTTTAAGAACAAATTAGAATAATATGATGGTATACTTTGAAAAATTAGAAAATTTGTAAATTAGAGACTATGAAGCAATAAAGGAGCAAAACTAGCATAAGGTAGTTATCATGTAAAGAAACATCTTATCGTTTATTCTTTCAGTTTTTTTTCCTATGTAAGCAATCTTCAACCCTAGGGTTTCAATCACATTCTGTTTGTTACATTTATATTTACTTTCATGTTATGATATAACTAAATATTTTATCAGTGCTAATATTATTTTAAAAAGAGACACATTATTCATTTACATTTCTCTTTTCTTTCTTTCTTTCTTTCCCTTTCTTTTTTTCTCTCTTTCTTTCTTTTCCTTCCTTCCTTCCTTCCTTCCTCCCTCCCTCACTCCCTCCCTTCCTTTCTTTCCTTTTTTTTTTTTGATGGAGTCTCACTCTGTTGCCCAGGCTACAACCTCTGCTTCCCGGGTTCCAGGAATTCTCCTGCCTCAGCCTACTGAGTAGCTGAGATTACAGGCACCCACCACCACAACCGGCTAATTTATGTATTTTTAGTACAGATGGGGTTTCACCATGTTGGTCAGGCTGTTCTTGAACTCCTGACCTCAAGCAATCCTCCTGCCTTGGCCTCCCAAAATGCTGGGATTACAGGCATGAGCCACCAGGCCCGGCCTTCATGTGCTTTCTAATGGCTGTTTAGTTTTTCAGTAGGTAGATATATGAGAAAGTTATGTTTTTGCGATTTAATGTTAATCTAAATAAGCAACGGCAATGCATCATTGATTTTTTCCTAACCTTTGTCTAGACATTGGGACAGTATTAGTGGAAATAATATTCCATATAATTTATAATCTGTATAACACTGTAATAAGCAATTTAAATCCACTAATTTCATTTAATCTTCACCAACAAAAAAATACTCTAACATTATTTCTCTATTTTACATACACAAGGAAATGAGGACGAAAGAGATTATTCATGCAGCAGAGATTTTACAAGCATGGAAGCATAATCATATTTGACCTAACATTAGGGAAGATTAAAACTTGCTTAAGAGATCATAAGAGAAATAATTTGAATAGGTTATATGGGCTTCATGAAAGTGGGAAATAAGTTAGGTTGCAGCCTAACTTTTAAGTTCTTTAAATATCAGGTTTAGTGAGCAATATAACAACACTTAATGCTGAAGCTCTCTTCTCAAAGATCTAATTTTGATACCCTTCTGGAAGAACAATCTCCAGGGGTTTACCTGGAGAGATAATCTGTGTCCTTCTCAAAATGGTAGGTGAGGGAAGCATGGCCAGTCCTTCCTTTGGTGCTTTCTCAGTGGTCTGAGTACGCCAATGAGAAACTTGTATTGGGAAGATTTATAGAATAGAAATCAACAGCACAAAGTAATGAAGAATTCCACAGCCTGTAAGATCATTTGCTGACATTCAGTTCTATTAGGCCTAAAATCATGGCCCAGTATTATGTGTGCCATGAGAGAAATTAGGAAAGCCTAGAATAGCCTCATCGCAAGTTCCCCTTCCAGCTCTGCCCCTACATAGGAGGTCCTTTAGCCAAATGATCCTCCTTATCATGGAGACCAGGCACAGGCTCATTCTTATCTCTGGGTAGAGGGCTTGAGGTCCCTGCCAGCCCATGGAATTATTCAAGCAAGTTAATCACTGCCTCTGTTGGGAACCAGGGCTTTCTCTTCCTCCTGATGGAACAAAGCCTGCCTCCCGAATGCTATGGCTGTTCACTTTGTTCCTGAGTATAACTCATGTGTGGCTCTTTGTGGTATGCAGTTGCTTCATCCCCGGGGCTTTTGAGTATATGTGACTAATAAACTGCTGTCATCTCAGCTGTCTAGCGTCAGGTTTCCTGTGTTCCCCATAACCCTAGGGCATGAATCCTCTCCTCACAAATAGGGTAAATAGGAAGAGATCAAGGCATACATAGGCATTTGGCAACAAGAGGAGACATCTGTATCTGAAAGGTAACAGTTAACTTATGCCTACTTGTGTGCTGCATACATAGCAAAATAAAACATATTCTTCAGTTTCCAGGAGGGAGTTTGTAATGTGTTTTGGGAGATGTCAAATATAATTAGATGAATCAATAAGCCAACAAATTATCACTGCATTTTCCAAATTTGTGGTCATATATTGAGAATCTATAGCAACTGTAACATCAAATTTTAGTTATTTTACAAAAATAGTTATATACAAATTATAGACATCTTTGGAAATAATGGAGGCTGTTTTATAGATACTAATTCTCTCCCGGAAAAAAGGCTGAATTAAGGAGATAGTTAACAAGCTCAGTATAAAAAAGAGACTGCCTTAAAAAGTATCTGCATTAGCAAGAAAAGCAGAAAATGCAAATAATGATCATTTGGCCACCTACTACATGTCATTATTGGCTCCACAATGTGCCTTATTTAAGGAAATAAAATATTTTAGAGAAAATACACCTGCATTAAAATCTAATATAAAAAATTGGGCCGTTATTTTTTTTAAAAAGTGAAGAAATCTTCCTATAGGCCTGAAAGAAAACATTGCCAATGAGCAAACAGAAGCTTCAATATCAAGAAATACGACTTGCAGCTTAAACTTGTCTCCACGATTTCTGTGGATTATACCAAGAAGTAAAGATTTTGCAGAGTAGTTTAGGACACAGTTCATATGGTTTGGCTGTGTCCCCACCCAAATCTCCCATTGGATTGTAATCCCCATAATCCCTACAAGTCAAGGGCAGGACCAGATGGAGGTAATTGTATCATAGGAATGGTTTTCCCCATGCTGTTCTTGTGATAATGAGTGTGTCACAAGAGATCTGATGGTTTTTAAAGGAGCTTTTCCCCTTTAATAAGGTCAGTTACCTGAGGACTCTTTTCCTTTATAAATTACCCAGTATCGGGTATGTATTGATTAGCAGTGTGAGAATGAACTAATACAGTAAATTGGTGCCAGTAGCATGAGGTACTGCTATAAGGATAGCCAAAAATGTGGAAGCAACTTTGGAACTGGATAACAGGAAGAGGTTGGAACAGTTTGGAGGGCTTAGAAGAAGACAGGAAAATGTAAGAAAGTGTGGAACTTCCTAGAGACTTGTGGTGCTCAGAAGACACAAAGATGTGGGAAAGTTTGGAACCTCCTAGAGACTTATTGAATGGCTTTGACCAAAATGCTGATAGTAATATCAGTCCAGGCTGAGGTGGTCTTAGATGGAGATGAGGAACTTGTTGGGAACTGGAGCAAAGGTGACTCTTGTTATGCTTTAGCAAAGAGACTGGTGGCATTTTGCCACTACCCTAGAGGTCTGTGGAACTTTGAACTTGAGAGAGATGATTTAGGGTATCTGGCAGAATAAATTTCTAAGCTGCAAAGCATTCAAGAGGAAGCAAAGCATAAAAATTTGGAAAATTTGCAGTCTGACAATGCAATAGAAAAGAAAAACCCATTTTCTGAGAAGAAATCAAAGCCAAAGGCAGAAATTAGCATAAGTAATGAGGAGCCAAATGTTAATCACCAAGACAATGGAGAAAATGTCTCCAGGGCATGTTCAGTGGGTTGGCAGTGCCTCCCATCATGGGCCTAGAGGCCTAGGAGGAAAAAATGGTTTCCTGGCCAAGGACGAGGCCCCTCCTGCTGTGTGCAGCCTAGGGACTTGGTGCCCTGTGTCTCAGCTGCTCCAACCATGGCTAAAAGGAGCCAAATTACAGCTCAGGCCATGGCTTCAGAGAGTGAAAGCTCTAAGCCTTGATGACTTACACGTGGCATAGAGCCTGCAGGTGCACAAAAGTAAAGAATTGAGGTTTGGGAACCTCCACTTAGACTTCAAAGGATGTGTGGGAATATCTGGAAGTCCAGGTAGAATCTTGCTGCAGGGGCAAAGCCCTCATGGAGAACCACTGCTAGATCAGTGTGGAAGGGAAATGTGGGGTTGGACCCCCAATCCAAGTCCCCGATGGGGCACAGCCTAGTGGAGCTGTGAGAAGAGGGTCAGTGTCCTCCAGACTCCGCGGAATGGTAGACCCAATGACAGCTTGCACCTTGTGCCTGGAAAAGCTGCAGGCACTCAATGCCAGCCCTTGAAAGCAGCCAGGAGGGGGTTTGTACTCTGCAAAGCCACAAGGCAAAGTTGTCCAAGGCCATGGGAGCCCACTTCTTGTATCAGCATGACCTGGATGTGAGGCATCCAGTCAAAGGAGACCATTTTGGAAATTTAATGTTTAATTACTACCCTATTGGATTTCAGATTTGCGTGGGGCCTCTAGCTTCTTTGTTTTGACCAATTTCTCTGATTTGGAACAGGTATATTTACCCAGTGCCTGTACCCCCATTGTATCTAGGAAGTAACCAACTTGCTTTTGATTTTACAGGCTTGTAAGTGGAAGAGACTTGCCTTGTTTCAGGTGAGACTTTGGACTTGGACTTTTGGGTTAATGCTGGCATGAGTTAAGACTTTGGGTAACTGTTGGAAGGACATGATTGTGTTTTAAAATGTGAGGACATGAGGTTTGTGAGGGTTCAGGGTCTAAATGATATAGTTTGGCTCTGTGTCACCACCTAAATCTCACCTTGAATTTTAATCCCCATAATTCCCACCTGTTAAGGACAGAACAGGTGGAAATAACTGAACCATGAGGGTGGCGTACCCCATGCTATTCTCATAATAATGAGTGTGTCTCATGAGATCAATGTTTATTTAAGTGTCTGGCCATTCCCCTGCTTACATTCATTCTCTCTCCTGCCACCCTATCAAAAGGAAACTTCTGCCATGATTATAAGTTTCCTGAGGCCTCCTCTTCCATGCAGAACTGTGAGTCAAATAAACCTCTTTTCTTTATAAATTACTAATTCTTGGGTATTTATTCATAACAGTGTGAGGGTGGACAAATACAGCAGTTCTCTTTGACTGGGCTTTGGTTTCATAGTTTATGCCACTTGATCAACTATGGAAAAACTAAAGAAACATAGTGAGTGCATAAGTTTATGTAACCACTCAAACTTTCTATATAAATGCTAAAACTCTTAAAATAATGTGGTTATATAGACACTATTTTGGTTATATCAACAATATTTTATTTTATGGATACATTTGTATATGTTTTCAATAAATTCAGAGTTTTTAAATTATAAGCAAATGTGAGTAGATTTTTGGAATAAATGTATATATTACAGCACCCCACATATCAATCACTACCACTCTCTTTTAGAAATAAAAAAGATAGTAGTTGTTCTTCTCTAGTGCGAATGTAAAATACTGCATTTCAGTCCTAGAGTAAATGTGATATAAATCCCAATCCCAACTTCTTGTTTTAAATATTTTAAATACCTCTAAAACAAAAACAAACAAACAAATACTTTGATGATGGTCATTCAGCCAGTGAAGTATGTTTTTATGTAAAACATTGTACATATTAAGAAAAAAAACTAATAATTTTGAATAATTACATTTAAATGTAGGCTGAAAAGTTTAGAGATGTTTTCAAAATTTGCACAGTAAATAGTAAAAAACCTCAGCGGTTTTTCCTTGTAAACTGAATCTTGTGTAGCATAAACAGAGTTTATGTTAAGGGCCACTACAGTGTAAACTCTCTCAGGTTCCCAATGGAAATTATAAATAACCCTTAAAAACATACACATATTGTTTTTATTCATGAATTTTCCTCTGCCTTGGACACTGCCCATAGCATCTCTTATTGTAAATATGCTAATATTTTTAGTAGAAGCATCTTTACCATTACT
This sequence comes from Homo sapiens, assembly GCF_000001405.40. Lineage (NCBI taxonomy): Eukaryota > Metazoa > Chordata > Mammalia > Primates > Hominidae > Homo > Homo sapiens. The sequence continues at coordinate 29,704,759 of NC_000004.12, read as the reverse complement.
CAAAAAAGTTTACTAATTCAGTTAAAGAAATACAGAAACTAACTTCTCCGAAATCCCATGGTTTTTACTGCTTTCTATATTGTTATAAACTTATAGTTCACATTCCTTCTTCTTATATTTGAGTGCATAGTGTCAAATATATCTTTTGTAACATACGTTTCCACCATTCATTCATTAATTTATTAACCAAACATTTTTTCATTTTCAAGATCTTTGCTTGTTGTGTAGTATACAGTGTTGAACAATGAAGATATTATCCATCCTATTGTGAAGCATTCTTTCTCGCAAGGGTAACCGGTATAAAAAAAAAGGAAAATAGCAGACAGATATGTATTTAATTACAACTGTAAAAACATCTCTCTCTCTCTCCCCCCATATCTATCAAAAATCGATAAACAGAATAACACAATAGAGATTCATAAATTAACAAATTAAAAGCATAACAGATTAAATGTGTTCAATAAAATTCCAAAGTAATTATCTTGATTTTTTATTGCTGACATAACAAATTATCACAAACTTAAAACAAATTTATTATCTCACAATTCGAATGTCAGTGGCTGAGTAGGCTCTGTTGGGTTATCTGTTGTGTATAGTAGAAAACCAACATCAACATGTTTCTTCTGGAGGCTCTAGGGGAGAATCTGTTTACTTGCTCATCCAGGTTTTTGGCATAATTGGATTTCATACAGGATTGAGTTTATTATTTTCTTCTTGGCTGTCAGTTGGTAGTCATTGGGAACCTCATGGGGCCTACTTAATTCCTTGGCTTATTGTTAATTTCTTTCATCTTCAAAGCCATGGTCAAGTCCTTCTCATGCTTTGATTCTCTCTGACCTCCCTTTCTGCCCTCCCTTGCTGTTCCCGTCTTCTGCCACATTTCTCAGACTCACCCCTTAGCCCTCTTCTGCTGCTTTGAATGGCTCATGTGCCTTAAATAAGCCCATGCATATAATTCAGGGTATTATCCCTATATTAAGCTCAGCTGTTTAATAATCTTAATTTTTATCTGCAAATCACTTTGCAAGTCTACCTACATTGGTCTTTTATTGAAGAACCTAAGGAAGAGGACATCTTCAAGATTCTGATAAACACATCAGAGTCTTAGTTTTATCAAAACCTGTATCTATGAATCCATTTGCACGGCTATCAAGGAATACTTGAGACTGGGTAATTTATAATGAAAAGAGGTTAAATTGGCTCACAGATCTGCAGGCTACACAAGAAACACAGTGCCAGCAGCTACCTCCGGTGAGGCCTCAGAAAGCTTACAGCCATGCAGAAGGCAAAGGAGGATTTGGCTTTTAATAAGGCAAGAAAGGGAGCAAGAGAAAAAGAGAGGTGGAGGTGCCGGGTTCCATGGTCCTTTAAACAACCAGTTCTCATCTGAACTAACAGCAAGAACTCACTCATTACCACAGGGAAGGCGCCAAGCCATTCAAGAAGAATCTGCCCCATGACCCAAACACCTTCCATTAGGCCCCACATCCAACTTTGAGCATCATATTTCATATGAGACTTGGATGGGATAAACATCCAAACTATATTACTGTGATTGTGAGTTGACTTGAAGAGAACATTATATTACATATCTAAATAATAAATTCAAAAAGATAAAACAAGCAAGTGAATTTCTTTCTGAATGTCACATTTTGTTTGCACATGTTTGATATTTCCTAAAGTGATTATATTTTGAGATAATGCAAAAGCAGTGTGAACTCTTGATTACAGTTCAATGAAGACCAGGACCTCTTTAGGTGTTTTGAATATTTTAATCATCATAATAATTATACTATTACTCTTCTGATGTGGGAACTAGGTCAGATATTATGAAAGCTACCAGCTCTCCTTCAATTCTAAGTATCATATTATAGTGTGTTAATTAGCTCAAAGCTTTCCAATAAAAAATAGAAGTTATAAATGAACATATGTAATGTCCCTGCTTTCTCCTACCTCTACTCCCTACATTTTCAGCAATCTTCTGTCATACAGGTGAATTTCTCTTCCCTGGTTTCCATGGTGCATGCTCAAACTCAGCAATGCAGTTAATTTCCAAGAGTATAGTTTCCACAGTAACCAGATGGCAAACAAAACCAAAAGTCTTCTTCAACATCAGCATGTTCAATTTCTTTAGGAGTTGAACATCTTAGTTTTATAATTTTGGCAAAAGTTTTTAAGGGAAAGGTAGAGATTAAGATAGAACCTCTACCAATATAGTTTACATTGTTTAAAAAATAAATGCTAAATTTGAAATTTAACTGTTTAACATCTTCAAATCACCATGAGACTAATAAATAAAAATATTCATGTTAATTATGTTAAGGATCACTCTCTCTTTTCATTTGATATAATAAAATTTTGAAAATCATGAAGAAAAAATATATTTTCCAGATACCATTTATAAAGTGAGAATAGAAATATAGTAAATAATTGTAATTTAATGATAAAATTTTGTATTCATTTAAATAAATTTCAGACAAATACTTTGAAATGGATGAAACATATTTTACATGTAACATATACTATAAAATCAGCTTTTTATTGAGACTGCTTATATCTCTAATGTGTTCTAAAAGGTTAAAAAAACTACTAGTGCATTAAAAGCCACCATCATATTAGAATTAATACTTTTTAAATTTTACAAATAATCTGTGTTTACACAACAAGGCTAGTAGTAGATTCTTATATTCTTACTCTAATTTATCTTGTCTCAGTGTAAATAATAGAATATTATTTTTCATATCTTAAAATGGTGAATTTTTAAAATAAATAAAAATTCATGGGTTAAATTTTGTTCAATAAAAATAATGGCAATATTTTTCCACCCCTTGAATATGGATTTGTCATGTGACTTTCTTTGGCCAATGAGACATTTAAAAATATGACAAAACAGAGTAGTGGAACATTATTTTCACTTGGATATGCCATCTTTTGCTGAACTTAGGTTCCCCTGACTATGTCTACCAGTCTGAGCTAGCGTGTTGGAAGATGAATGACCATGTGGAAGAGAATGCAGGCATCCAGAAGATGGAAAGTTCCAATAGTCCCAGCAGTTTACTGCAAATGGATGGTTGAACTCCAGTCCAGTTCAGCTAAGCCTCTTCAGACCAAACAGAACTGTCAGTTAGGTCCAGCCCAAATTTCTGACCCACAGAACCATATGAATCGCTGTTGTTTTAAGATATTAAACTCTGTGGGTGTGTGGTGTTTTATCACACTGCAGTAGCTAACCAAAACATATTTTTTTTACATTTAAAAATATAAATTATGTTAAATATCTAATGTGATACTATGTATTCCTTTGAAAAAATCATCTCTGTCTTTTCATACTCTGGGAAGGGAAAGACGTGTTTGCTCCGAATTTAGGAAATAACATAAAAAGACTTTCAATGTGTATTTTTTCATTTTCACATTGCTGTAAAGGAATACCAGAGACTGGGTAATTTATAAACAAAAGAGGTTTAATTGGCTTCTAATTCTTCAGGCTGTACAGGAAGCATAGAAGCTTCTGCTTCTGGGGAGGTCTAAGGAAACTTACATATCATGGCAGAAGGTGACAGGGGAAGCTGGCATGTCTTGCATGGCCCAGCAGCAGGAAGAGAGCAAAGGGGGGAGGGGCTACAAACTTTTAAACAACCAGATCTCACAATAACTCACTCACTCACTATCAGGAGAACAGCACTGAGGGGATGGTGCTAAGCCATTCATGAACGACCACCTCTACGATCCAGTCACTTCCCACTAGGCCCCACCTCCAACATTGGGGATTACAATTAAACATGAGATTTGTTGTAGTCACAGAATCGTATCACAATGTAAGAGCACATTGTGTGTGTGTGTGTGTGTGTGTGTGTTTTTCTTTCTTTCGATTTGAGTTTCCCTCAGGCTGGAGTGCAGTGGCGTGATGTCGGCTCACTGCAACCTCCACCTTCCAGGTTCAAGCCATTTTCCTGCCTCAGCCTCTTGAGCAGCTGGGATTACAGGCACCTGCCACGGTGCCCAGCTAATTTTTTTGTATGTTTAGTAGAGAAGGGTTTCACCATGTTAAGCAGGCTGGTCTCAAACTCTGGGACTTAGGTGATCCTCCAGCCTCGGCCTCCCAAAGTGCTGGGATTGCAGGCATGAGTCATAGCACCTGGCAAACAGCACATTTTAAAAACATGGTTCCCCCATTCTTATTTTAAATAAATAAACTTTTTAGGTCATCTTGATTTAAGAAATTAACAACTACTCATAAGTTTCATGCAGACTTGCCACGGTTGTATAAATTATTAGAAACTGACAAATACAGTATTATACCAGAGTAAAAAAAATTTTTGTAAGTACTATTGCTCATTATGTAGAACTAAAACATTTCTGTGAGGCTGAGTTTTATGTGGGGATAAAAACTGTAATTTTAACAATAATATGAATTAATATTGATCAATGAATAGACTTTTAATTATGAGTTGATCTCATTTAGCAGTTTTAACAAAAGGCACTATTTAAGGCTCCAAATTATTTATATATCAAGTCTAATCAGAAGAATGCCTCACAGAATCAAAAGGACATCAATGTTTTAATGAAGATTTGTGTTTATTCTTCTTATAGTGATTATATGCTAGTATTCTCACATGATATTGAATATTAACTTTATTACTGCATAATAATGACATACTTTAATGTATGTATGTTGTTAACTATTCTCTTTGTATTGAAGAGAAATTATTCAGTGATACTTGTTAAAACATAGCAAGAAAGACTTTATTCAGGGTCCCCCCAATAGGCAGCCAAACGTTAGACTTCTGAATGTTCTGCTAGGCTCATTTGTGCATTTCCTTGTAAAATCAAGCTTTAGCAAAGAATCCTGCTAAATCTTGTGTAGCAAGACACCCCCATCTTCAATACCTGATCATCTTCCATATCTGATCAGGATTCTCATCCACCACCATCCCCCAGATAATGTCTGAACACCCTAGCCTATCTTCAGCAAAAATCTTATTAGGTCAGTTTAGCCTGAATATCCCTTACCCATAATGTCTCATCTTAGTAATTTTTTATCCATTGACCTTCGCGACCCCTGCCACCCTGCTTCTTGGCTATAAATTCCCACTTGCTCAAGCTGTGTTCTGAGTTAAGTCCAGTCTCTCTCCCCTACTTCCAGACCCTACTGCCGTTGCCCCTATGCCTATTCCAATGCTCCTGAATCAGGTCTTCCTTACTGTGCTTTAACAAGTGTCACTGAGTATTTTTTTAACATTTCGTATTCCACATATTTTTTTTTTCATTTCCAACTAACGGTATTTAATAAGCTTTGATATATTTTACCATGCAGAGATCTCTATGGAACATCCACATCAAATTCATCAGCAATATCTGTCAGTTCTGTCTTCAAACTCTGTCTAGTATATAAGGCCATGTTTTGTCAATTTCATAGTTTTTGACAGGATGGTACATAAAATCAGAAACATGATGAACGGACAAAGAAAGCCAGTTAATAGAAAGTGTGCAAACAAAAATCAGAGAGAAAGATATAAAACAATTTTCACATGTAAGAGATGTGAAAATGATGGAAAAAGAATAATATTTTGAACAACTAAGTCTTGTATCAAATTGTCATTCAATGAAATAAATTATTATCTAGGGAAACCAATACAAGAATATAGAAGTAAAGAGACAACAGAGGATAAAACAGAAAATCATATAATTTCTAGCCCCCAAAAATAAAAACAAAAGATGAAGAAACATAAAAGAGGTGAATCAACTTGAAAGAATAAAGGAAGAAAATGATTTGAAAGAAAAAGCAGAAAATTAATAATCTGAGTTGCTACTCCAAAAAACTAGAAAAATAAGAGAAATACTAATCAAATAAAAGGGATAATAAGAAAAATATGTTGAATGACTGGGAACCTATGTCATGAGACTCGCATAAACTTAATTTAAAACTTAATGAGAATTACTTAAAAAGTCACTTACTCTATCAGTACTTGAGGGAAGCAGATAAGAAGATACTTTTCAGTTCTCTTCCCTCCCTACTAAAATAAGGTTTTCTGTTATTTTCTTTGAAATTTGAAAGGACACGAGAGCGAGATTTGAGAAAAGAGAGGAAAGAACACCGAGAACAAAAAAGTCTCAGAAAAAAATGTTAAAATTCACAGGCATTGGTGAAAGCCTGTATAAAAGTGAATAGCATGAATCCCAGTCTTAATGTTGTGATTTCTTTAACAATCCCCACATGCTTAAAAAGACTCGGACAAGACCAATCTTTCAGGTTAAGGTTGGTTTTTGTGTTTGTTTGTTTGTTTGTTTGTTTCCCCAGGAAGAAAGGAAGAAGGACAAAGTAACAAAAGGAGTTGAGGGCTTGAACAAAGAACTAATTATAATTCAAAGTTTCAAGGCTGGGCAAATAGACAATGTAGTCAAGAAAAGTGTGATAAAGGGCGAGGCGCGGTGGCTCACACCTGTAATTCCAGCACTTTGGGAGGTGATACACTTTGGGTGTATCACCTGAGGTCAGGCGTTCAAGACCAGCCTGGCCAACATGGCAAAAACCCGTCTCTACTAAAAATAACAAAAATTAGCGGGGCCTGGTGGTGGGCGCCTGTAATCCCAGCTACTATGGAGGTTGAGGCAGGAGAATCTCTTGAAACCAGGAGGCAGAGGTTGCAGTGAGCTAAGATTGTGCCATTGCACTCCAGCAACAAGAGCAAAACTCCATCTCAAAAAAAAAAAAAAAAAAAGTGTGATAAACAATGATGCAGTCATTGGCTTAGAGCCCTCTATGAGGACCAAAATCTACACCTGACTATCCCAAACGAGTTAGTAGAATGTGGCACTGCTTGATGTTGAAGGTTTCGCTCAAAGAAACAGAAATTACAGATTTTGGAGCAATCAAAGAAAAACTAGTTTACTAATGTCAATTTTTAGTATTGACTCTCATCGCTGAAGAGAGAAAGTTCTGTCTCTACTTTAAATCTGATGCCAAAAGAGGGGGCATCAAGGTTTAGGTTAACATGAAATAAAATAATATTCAGAGAAAAAAATGATACTTAGGAATTTACTATCAACACTTAGAATATTACAGAAGGCAATATTCCACTCTTCAAAATCTGTTGAGGAGTGAAGAAATGAGAAGCTAATCAATACAAGTGTAGAGATGACAGGAGTTATTTATAATTAGAGAAGCCTCCATTTATGAAAATGATGGATAATTACATCACAGGATGTTGAGTCCTCTGACAGAAGAATGCGTATAATGCACTAGAGGGTACAGAAAATGGTATCTAAGGTCAACTTAAATGTTATTTATGCCATGAGACAACCTCTCTGCTTTCTTCACTCCTGTGATATTAGTTTAAATTCCTCATGGTTCTATCAGTCATTCACATGTATAATTTATACACTTTATCTCTGAGCTCCATAGGAACAGTTTTCTGGTTTCTCTCTAATTTGCTACTTAACTCCAAGCATCTAGCACAGATTCTAGCACAAAATAAAAATATTCATAAAAAAATGTTGAATGCCTCTGTAATCCCTGTGGAAAGCATGATAATGATTAATCTTTATTCATATACTCTAACGGGCACAGTGATCAACAAAATAAATTAGGTAACACACATTTGTTAAGTAAATAAATGAATAAAATAATGATTCAGACATTCAGAACCTTATGTAGAAAAAAATGAATCACATATCCAAAGAATACTTTTATTTAATAGAACTTGTAAGAAGGACAAAGAAAGAGATTTTTAAACATTAAAAATGCATGATAACTTTCAGTTTTGTGAAAGATGACACAATTTATTTGAAGCCTTCATGGAGGCATGCACTGAGTAGCCATACTAGCGTGGATGTTGAGCTCTGTGGATTTAATGATGCATAACCATTATGTGATCACACAACCATTATGTCATTGCTGACATATCAGAACCGTGAAATCAATTACTTCACAGATGTGAATATCAATTGTTCAGTTTTCCTAAATGGCAGAAAATATATATTCACAAGTAATTTACAACATTTTTTGGAAAAAATATTTTGAGTGTGTATTTCAACTTTCCAAAGTGAAGGTGTGAGTGATAAAGAATACCTTGATGTTTCTTTTTTCAATTTCCTTTATATGGTGAGAAACTGTATTGTGCCTTTATAGTTGTTTTCCATGCCATATGCAGGTTCTTCAAGTATTAATGCATATTTACTATAAAAAACACAAATATGGAGAAGAACAGTACTAGATCCATGCATATTTTTACCAACAAGAAAAACAAAAATGTGAATTAGATATTGTTTTAGCATTATTCCCTTAACTTTATGCATATACACATATATTTTTAATATAGAAATATGGTAATTACATTGCTTTTTTATTTACCAATATCTGACTAGCATTTTCTTATAATTTTAAATATTCTACAAAAATTGTGTGTGATGCCAATGTTTTCTCATTAAAAATAATGACTACAGTCATCTTTGTAATTCTATTTTTGCCATTTTATTAACATTATTTCAGGAAAGTGGAATTACAGTGTTATGGATTTGGAATAAATAGTTTGATATATTTCCTGTGCACAATAGGATATTGATACAAATTGCATTTCTGTTAATAGGATATGGGGGCTTAATACTTAAAGAAAGTTTATAATATAATTGAAACTGTGCTTGTATGCATTTTGTTGGCTATTGATATGATTTATTCATATAATTTCATATATTTATTCATCTGGAAGGAACAGTGCAACTGATAGTCTTCCAAAGGTGTTAGAGGAAAGAGCTTAGGTTAGCTGAATTTTTCTGAAAAAAATATCTAATTTGATGAATTAGAGATTTAGTAGGGAAATATCAGTGAGGGAAAAAAACTGGAAGGAGCTAGAGCAAGTAGAAAGAGCTATCTGACAGAGGGGCAGTGCTGAGTTTTAGGAAAAAGAGAAAGATATAACATGGAAGAGCCTGAACTTTAGTGTTTCTCCTTGTTGTTGGGGACAGTTGAATGGAATAAACTGTGCTTGATTGGGATTTACATCTGGAGAATTGAGTTCTCATCTTGGCTTGGTTACTGTATTATTGATAATTTGGACAATTTACTCTCTTTTAAAACTGATTTTATTTTTAATTATTATGTATACATAATAGTTATGGATTTTATAAGGTACATGTGATATTTTTATACAAGCATATAATGATCAAATCAGGGTAATTGAGATGTCCATCACCTCAATTATTTATTCCTTTTTTTGTGTATGTTAAGAGCATTCCGATTCCACTCTTTTGGTTATTTTTAATTATGAAATAAATTACTGCCAGGTATGGTCATCCTGTTGTGCTACTGGACACTAGATTTTTCTGTGATATTCATTTATTCCATCTTTCCAATGTCCATGTTTTTATTTACCAATAGTACCTATTTCCTAAAATAGGGTAAACTAACAATTGTGAAAGCATTTGACACGTGTTGTATATAAATGCAAAATATTATTTTACTGAGTTTTTTTATTTAGTAATCACTTTAGGACTATCTTTACAATGATGGCTAATTTATGCTGATTAAATTCTCCAAATTCCCTGAGGTTATAAGGATATTGCATGTTGAGGAAACTGAAGTCAGAGATTTTTATCTAATGAAACTTTTAGAAATGGAAGAGAAGAAAAAATAAGTCAAAAGTATCATAGGTTGATCACGGAGAAGAAAAGAGTAGTACCAGCTCATGTGTAACCCTTACTGGGTTTTAAAATGTTACCTCCAAGACTGAGTCAAATGTAGAAACATAGAACAATGAAGGCTCAGGATTCCTGTGTAGCCAAAGCTCTGTATTCACATCTTCTCCTAAGCAATTGAAGCTGAAATTCTGGGAACTCTATTTTACAGAGACAGCTTTAGTAGTTGTTTTCCAAAATAATATCTATTTTTCTGAGGAAAAAAGAAATCTGCCAAAGTCATGTTGTGAGAGATTCTTCCAAGTCTATTTAAACACAGTCTAATTAATGGCAGAGAAATAGAAAGAGAAGGCGGGAGGCTAGTCTTGTTGATTACTCATAGACTCATAAATTTATCATCCTGAATACTGGATCTAAACTTTTGAAGTAAAATTATTCCAATCATTTTTCTCTGAATTATAAATCAAGTTCATATTGCTCTTAAGTGCAAGTGGTTGTTTGATATGATTTACAGGATGTTCATGATGATGGCATTTAGCAGCATAAAAGATCACTTTTTACACTCCTAAAAAATACCATTTATTGGCTCTTCCAAATGGAGAAAATCATTTGCTTTTGCATTTGTTGGGGTCCATTTATTCATTTATTTATTTACATTGGAAGCATATTTAATTCATAGTTTATAAATAAATCATGAATAGTTATAATTAAAGAAATATCTGGGCATTTCAAATTTAACCGTTTCTTACCTTTGTAGTATAATTTTGTGCATTATGAATGAATGTCCTAAGAGAAAGAAACTTATATTTGTTGTTCATCATGTATAACCCCCTGCTGTCTTTTGCTTGATTCTTTCATTTTTGAAAACCTGCAGTAAGACATAAATGCATAATGTAATGCTTGCATTGTGAAACCGAATCATTACTTATGCCAGTTTTGTGATATTCTAAAAAAAAGGATTATTTTTAACATTTGTGTGGGGAGCAAGATAATAAGAATGATAAGAAATAAAACAGATATTCTGAGTCTCATTTTGATTTGCTCTCTGGTAGTTTGAAACCAAGTTGGCATCTAATGAACAGCCATAACCACAGACTGCATTTCATACCGTGAGCCGAGTAAAAAAATCCATCTATCAGGAGAGCTATTTTCATTGTCTCAAAATGTAGTGACAAAAAAACTCTTTCAAAAATATTAATAATTTATGTATTTATTTTCCAAGCTTGCACCATTGGAAGTAAAACCTTAACTAGTGTAATTATTAAAAGGAGATCTCATATTAATTAACCACAGTAAGGTCAACGGTGTTTCTATTTATTCAGGATTTTTAATCTAAGTCTCCCATTATTTTGCATTTGGTTTTACTTTTTAGTGACAGTTAGAAATATGCCACTGAAAGTGGTTGGCACCTATTTTAGGCTTAGTTCTTAATAGTCCCATGACCAGAAGTCGAAAAAAGCTTCTCTTCTGATTTATAAGTTGGACATTACCAAGGGAGAACCTCTTTCTCTGTCATAGATCATGTAACTCCTTCATTGCCCAATCACATGACTAATGGACTAAGATCTTCTAGTTAATGATGCTCAAGATTAATAAAATGACCAACTCATTGACCAACAGGGGAAAAGAGTCTTTATCATTATTATTGGTATTATTGACTACTATTGTTATTTATTCCATGGTTTCTAAGTGCAGTAATTTCTTTACTATTTTCTTAATAACAGTTGTGGTAAGCAGAATATTGGGCCTGCAAATATGTATAAATCCTGATTACTAGATGCTGTGATTATGCTATGGTATGGTATGTTGCAATTCAAGTTGTGGTAGCAGGTGGAAATAAGATTGCCATTCAGCTAAACCTTAAAATAAGCAGATTATTTTGGAATATCCAGGTTGTTGCAAAACAGAACAAAACAAAACAAAACAAACAACAACAACAACAACAAAAACACAATTTTTTTTTTTTTTTTGAGACGGAGTCTTGCTCTGTTGCCCAGGCTGGAGTGCAGGGGCAAGATCTCGGCTCATTGCAACCTCTGCCTCCGGGTTCAAGCGCTTTTCCTGCCTTAGCCTCCTGAGTAGGTGGGATTATAGGTGCACACCACCATGCCTGGCTAATTTTTGTATTTTTAGTAGAGATGGAGTTTCAGCATGTTGGTCAGGCTGGTCTCGAACTCCTGACCTTGTGATGCACCTGCCTCAGCCTCCCAAAGTGCTGGGATTACAGGCACGAGCCACTGCACCCAGCCAAGAACACAATTCTTTAGATAGGGAATAGAGAAGCACAAAATCAACATCAGAAAGATGGCATCATGCATAAGATTTGACCAGCTGTTGTCTTTCAAGTTGGATGAAGGAGTCCACGGGCCAACATATGTGGACAGCCTCTAGAGCCTGAAAAAGACAAGAAAACAGATTCTCACCCTGAGCCTCTAGAAATCTTGTTGACAGCTTTATTTTTTTCACCCATTGAGACCTGTTTCGTATTTTTGACATTCAGAGCTATAAGACAATACAACTGTGTGTTATTTTAAGTCATTAGGTTTCTGCTAATTTGTTACAGCAGCAATAAACATTTAAACCACAGACTTTTGTGGGGTCCTTTTGTATTTTTGTTTTTTTTGTTGGGGGGTTGTGAGAGCTAATTTTCTAGTTCTGAAATCTCATCCTTATTATTCTAGAATGTTTCATGTGTAGCTGAAATCTAATATTTTTATTATGAAATACAAAAATCTTTATTATGGTCCCAGTCTATTTTCCAGCTATATCTTTTAATATTCTACCTTTCCTTTCCTAATTCATACTCCTGCTCACATTTGTCAAACATTTTATATTGCTTCACCTTTATATATTTCCTCTTTCTGTTGGAATGTCTTTTATGCACTCAGTGTACTCTTTCTACATGATCAAGCTCAAAGGACACAGTCTCAGAGAAGTCTCCTTTAATGCATATTCTATTCATATACTTCTTTATAATCCACTTATGTATATATTTGATAGTTTTACACTTGACTACATGGTATATTGTTTAAAATGCTCTTGCCATTTCTGGAAATATCAAGCTGATTTCTACCTCCAAAGCTTTACACTTTCTGTTACCTACATTGAGAATTATCTTATCTTGAATATGTATTAACCACTTAATTTGTTACTTGTTGGACTTTGTGTGATGACAAATAAGGCATTTATATTTTATCACCTCATAGCCCACAAGAAAACTGTGAATCCTTTCTTATTCCTGGATAAAATCTTGGGAAAAATCACACAGACTAACATTTTTTATTTGCTTTAATTTATTTTAGTTAAAAGTGAAACCCAAACTAGTATGTGAACTCTTACTCAATTCCAAACTTGGATATACCTTAGACTCTGAGTCCTGCCATGGCGAATGTGGAGAGGGTGTGTGATGATTTATTTGTCGTTTTAAATCCCAGTTCATTTTCCATCAGCAGTAGCTCTTTTCAATTTCTCCAAGAGGGAACTGAGGGAGAGGAGCAAGTGCAAGAAAGAAAGAAAAAAAAAAAAAAAACCTCTTACGTTTGTTATTGTTGTTGCTAAAATCTGGCACTGATGCCTTATTGGAGTAGTAGATATCAAGATACTTTTGTTGATTCTTCAATGATCCTCCATCTCTGTGGATCTCAGAACTGAACACAAGAATCTGCCAAGGAGAGAGAGGAGATCCAAAGCCAACTGATACTTTGCATGCCAAACCGTGTACTCTGTGTCTTGATTTGATTTGATTATTTCAAGAAGACCATGTGCTGTTCAGTCGTTTGCCATAAAATTTATCCAACTATAGAACACACAATTTTTTGATTTAAGAAAAAAATAAAAATCAAGAGCATCATCAGCTAGAAACCACCTAGGATCTCCCATCTGCAATTTCTTTGATGTTGGCAGTGTGTCTTCTGACTGACCTCTGAAGCTTGACAGAACATATTCACCTATTCTAGAGATCTAACACTATGTTGGGATCACTTCATCCACTAAGTGATTGTCTAGAACATAGGAACCACCAAAATGATCCATATCCTATTTCATTTTTTCAGGCCATGTACCTGGATTATAGTAACCACACAGGGTCCCCGCCTTTCTAATGCAGCCCTATATCTTTGCTATGACATTTGCAATGCCAGTCCAGCCACTGTTGTATTTCACTAAATTTGAGATGAGACCAGCCTGGCCAATATGGTGAAACCCTGTCTCTACTAAAAATACAAAAATTAGCAGGGTGTGGTGGCTGACGCCTGTAGTCCCAGCTACTAGGGAGGCTGAGGCAGGAGAATAGCTTGAACCTCGGAGGCAGAGGTTGCAGTGAGCCGAGATCGTGCCACTGTACTCCAGCCTGGGTGACAGAGTGAGACTCCATCTAAAAAAAAAAAAAAAAAAAAAAAAGAACTATGAGTCTTGGAACTAATAAAATAGAGTGGTATAATGAACAGTAATTTCACATGAAATATCACTTCTAGTTCTTATGGTAGTCATGGTCAAAGAACCTTTTTTTCTGAGTTGGAGTCTCACTCTGTCACCCAGGCTGGAGTGCAGTGGCGTGATCTCAGCTCACTGCAAGCTCCACCTCCCGGGTTCACGCCATTCTCCTGCCTCAGCCTCCCCAGTAGCTGGGACTACAGGCGCCCGCCACCACGCCTGGCTAATTTTTTTGTATTTTTAGTAGAGACAGGGTTTCACCGTGTTAGCCTGGATGGTCTTTATCTCCTGAACTCGTGATCCGCCCCCCTCGGCCTCCCAAAGTGCTGGGATTACAGGCGTGAGCCACCACGCCCGGCCCAAAGAACCTTTTTTAAGGGTCCATGGTTATGGTATTAGGAATTGTTATGTTTAATTTAAATGCTAGCTTGTTCCTGCTCTGTATGAATTCACAAAAATTTAAAGAGTTCTTTATAACATTGAAACACTTATAACTGTCATTCACTGATCATCTCCTACATGCCAGGTGACATTATATACTTGGCAAACATTGTCTTTTCAGACTCACGACAGTTCTGTAAGATAAGTATTATTGTTATTATTGAAATAATATGGAAATGGCGTTTCAGTCTGATTATATAACATACCAAAGTATGTGTAACTCGGAAGCTACCATATAACTCAAATGCAAGTATAGCAAATTCTAAAGGACATGATCTTAGATACTATTTTACACTAAGTTGGAAACATAATTTTTGCATATTGTTTATTTTTTATTCCATAATATTTTGCTATCTAATCTTTAATTTTAACAAGTTGAAGTTATATTCTTTTGTCTCTGTTTTCAAATTAGACCTACATTGCTTTTCATAACCCATGAATTTTAAAAATCCTTCCACTATAGTATAGATAACATGGAAAATAATACAAATTAAGTAAAAATGACAAAACATGATTTAATCTAAATTACAGCAACAATAAAAATAAGTGTTGATGTAATTTTTATCTACAGATTATAGTTCATAAAGATGATCTGGGAGGACAATAGTAGCTATAAGATTCAGATGCATATTTAGATACAAAATTGATCTATATTTTCTCACTCTATCTTTTCCTGGTTTTGGTATCAGGGCAATTGTCATTACCAACTAAGGATTCCTAGTTATTATGTCCTCCATAAAAGTTTACCTAATAATGAAATAATTTGTTCCTTCCGTATTTGGTGGAATTCATACGCAAAACCATCTGAGATGAATGTGTTTCCAATTCTGTGAAATTTTAAGTTACTATTTTAATTAATGTCAGTGTAGAAAGACCTCAGTGGATTTTGATTTTATATGTAAGTATATATAAAAATTGAAATCTGCTTGTATAACTAGTTGAGATTAGCCTCTTACTATTATGCCTTCCCTTTGTTTGTTTGTTTGTTTGTTTCCTGAGACAGAGTCTCACTCTGTCTCCCACGCTGGAGCGCAGTGGTACGATCTTGGCTCACTGCAACCTCTGTCTCCCAGGTTCAAACAATTCTCCTGCCTCAGCCTCCAAAAGATTAGGGAGTACAGGAGTGCAAAACCATGCCCTGATAATTTTTGCATTTTTAGTAGACAGGATTTCACCACGTTGGCCAGGCTGATCTTGAACTCCTGACTGCAAGTGATCTGCCTGCCTTGGCCTCCCAAAGTGTTGGGATTACAGGTGTGAGCCACTACGGCAGGCCTATTATGCCTTTCTTCTGTTTGAATATGTTTTGTGTACAATCGTTTATCTTTTAATACCTTGCTAATATTCTAATGTGTTGTTTATTTTGAGTAAATACTTTTTTTTTGCAACTTCTCTCCTATTATTTAGTTATCTATTTTATTTATTTATTTATTTATTTGAGACAAGGTTTCAGTTTGTTGCCCAGGATGAATTGTGGTGGTGTGATTATGGCTCACTGTATCCTCAAACTCCAGGGTGAAAAACAATCCTGCTGCCTTAGCCTCCTGAGTTGTTGGGACCACAGACACGTGCCATCACATCTGTCTAATTTAAAGGATTTTTTTTTTTTTAGAGATAGATAGGGTCTCACTATATTGCCCAAGCTGGTTTCAAAACTCCTGGGCTCAAGTGGTCATCCTACCTCAGCTTTCCAAAGTGCTGGGATTACAGGTGTGAGCCAATGAGCCTGTCCTGTTACCTATTTAATCGATTTTAATCTTCATCGTTGTTTTCTTTTTTTCTAAACTATTTGGCTTACTCTGTTTGTTTGTTTTTAACTGATTAAATTTTATACTTAGGTCATTTATCTTTTTTCCAAGTTTACTTCAAAATTCACAACAGAACACTGGGTGCCAGAAAGCAGAGTGATATTTTTCAAGTATTAAAAAACAATTTAAATTTGGAATTTTATGTCAAATCAAATTTAGATTTCTAACTACTTTGTTTTTCCTTGTAACTAAATTAGTCCATGAAAATATTAGTAAATTTTAATACAAGGAAATATCTCAGATTTTTATGTCTATTTTAACAATACAAATTTTTGCGTTAGCTAAGAACCCAGATCAAGCATCCGATTTTGTACATAATTTGTGTTGGCCATATACATAGAACATAATACATGAAGCATACATAATAATATTTAGAACTATAGGTGATTTTTATTTTTTTAATTTGAAACATTCATTTTAACATTTTGTTCGTGACATAGTTTAGTCTGTCTAATTTTACTCTCATTATTTTCACTGTAAGTTAATAACATCAGTGAGTTTTCAGGTGGAAAAATTCCCTCTTACAATTTTTAAAAAATATTTTTAAATATTGTATTAATTTTTGATTTCTATGAATTTAAATTACTTTGATGGCCTTCTCACTGGAACTCTCTCATACAAATGTTAGAAATACACAATATATGGACTGCATTATTAACTCAATAACTTGAGAACAAGTTTATAATTTAGAATGAGAGAAAATAACTTGTTTGGAGGATCTCAAAATTTATTGTATTAAAAAAGTATATTCTTATAACTAACTATGGTCATTCCTTGCTTTGGTAGCAAAGTAATATTAAAACTAAATTCATTAAAATCTGAATTTGGGGGCCCTTACTTGGAAGGTTGAGTTATTCCTAATATAATAAGAACCTGTGTATGGAGAATTTTTTTTTTCTATAACATGTCTTCATATCTTGGATAAATTTAGAAAACATACAAAATCAATTTAATTTAAATTATTGCACATTTTATAAGCTCTTATTTTATAACAGGTTATAAACTTTGTTTTGGGAAGGCACAATGTAAAATATTCCCATCCTAAGAAGAATAAATTTAAAATCCTTATTTTGTCTGTGCCAAAAAGTAACATTTTATAATTAGCTGAAACTTAAGCATTTAACTTCTAATTATAAATGTTATTTTAGCATTCTGTTATATCTATAGATAACTGTTCATTTCAGATTTAATGACAGTAGCACGTCTTCTATATCCTTAATTTCATACCTCAAGTCAATTGCCTTATTAATTTTTTTCTGTATGAAGTCTGTTCTGTATGTTTTGCCATAAAAAAGATCCTTCCATTTGGTTGAATGATTTCAGGATCACCATCTAATCATTTTCATACAATACAAACACACATTTGCATCCTGAAATTGAGTTTCTGATAGTGCCAAATTAAGGACAAAAGAAAGGCTATGAGAACTATGGGGTCCCTAATTGACTCTTGGTGTCATGACGTTTAGAGAAGACTTTGTAGTAGAAAAAACTTCCTAGTCAAATCTTTCCATTACGTACATACCTACCACATAATTAAATCCTCCAGAACCATTTTCCCTCAATTAAGGCTGAGGCAGAAAATACATCCATGTTAAATGATCTAGTTATAACAATTTAATGATTAAGATAAATGCACCCATGCAAACTATGTGTTTGCTATCTCATTCTGGTTCATTATAGACTGGTTCATTATAAGTTGATGATTATAATGGAATGGAAATAAGCCCATTAAGCCAATAACCCACAGGCATATAAAGCAGAGTACAGTTCATTTGCTTATACCAAACTGTGACTTAGTACAAAAAGTCAGAGCCTTCTAAAATAGATATCTTAATATATTAAGGGAGATTATTATTTTCTGTCTCCTTAAAATATAAAAGAAAAAAGACAAAATATTAAAATGAACATAATCGGGAGAACTCTTATTAAAGGTACAAAATTTGGGGCTTTTTTCCTTTACAGCATTTTTTAAATTTGCTAATTCCCCACACCATCTCAATTACTGATATTAACCTGATTTTAAAAGTCTTTTAAACAATTGTTAATATTTATAATATTATTTTTTATTTAGAAAATGATATTAAATTCAATTCTCACTATATTACAATAACATTAATATATGTAGTAACAATGCTTTCACTCACATTTAACAGATCAGATCATTCAGATTGAGAGATATCAATTAATTTGTCTATAATAAGAGAAAGATTAAAGGAAAGAATTGGAGCTCACAATTAAGAACGGCAGAGAAAATCCCATTCGTTTCTTTTCTACAGCATTCAGCATTGTACAGCTATTATAAGTAGTAATGTAAATGCATACGTAAGAATGTATGTAACTTAAAATTTGATGTTCTTTCTTCTGTTTTTACCCCATAAAATGTTGTCCAGGATTTCTTTTAACTACAGGCATACCTTGAAGATATTGTGGGTTGAGTTCTGACTACCAGAATGAAGCTAATATTTCAATAAATCAAGTCGCAAAATTGTTTGACTTCCCAGTGTATATAAAAGTTATGTTTACACAATGCTGTAGTTTTTAAAGTGTGCAAGAGCATTATGTCTAAAAATGTACCTACCTTAAATAAAGAGTACTTTATTGTTAAAGAGTGTTAACAGTCATCTGAGCCTTCAATGAGTTCTAATCTCTTATAGTGGAGAGTCTTATTTCAATATTGGTGACTGCTGATGGATCAAGGTGGTGGTTGCTGAAGGTTAGAGTTATGTGGTAATTTGGTAAAGTAGGACAACAATGAAGTTTGCCACATTGATTGATTATTCCTTCATGAAACATTTCTCTGTATCATACAATGCTATTTGAGAGGATTTCACCAATAGTAGAACTCCTTTCAAAATTGAAGTCAATCTTCTCAAATCCTGCCATTGCTTTATCAACTGCTTATGTAATATTCCAAATATTTTGTTGTAATTTCAATGATCTTCACAGCATCTTCACCAGGAGTAGATGACATCTCAGGAAGCCACTTGTTTTGTTCATCCATAATAATCAGCTGCTCATCTGTTTAAGTTTGATTATGGACAGAAGAAATTCAGCCACACATTTAGGTTTCACTTCTAATTCTAGTTCTCTTGTTATTTCCATCACATCTTCAGTTACTTTCTCCATTGAAGTATGGAACCTCTCAAAGTCATCCATGAGAGTTAGAATCAACTTCTTCTCTAAGAAGGTTAATGTTGATATTTTGATCTACTACCATGAATTCCATATGTTCTTATGGCATCTAGAATGGTGAATCTTTTTCAGAAAGTTTTGCCTTCATCTTATTGGATCTGTTAGAGGAATTACTATCTATGACACACACAGCATTACAGTATGTATTCCTTAAATAATAAAACTTAAACGTTAAAATGACCAATTGATTCTTGGATGCAGAGTTGATGTTGTGTTAGCAGGGGTTAATCTCCGTATACATCTCCATCAGAGCTCTTACGTGTCAAGCTGGTTTGTCAATGAGAAGTAATGCTTTGAAAGGAATCTATTTTCTGAGCAGTTACTCTCAATGAAGGGTTTCAACTATTCAGTAAACTATGCTGTAAATAGATGTGGTGTTACCCAGGCTTTGTTGTTCCATTTATAGACCATAGGCAGAGTAAATTAATCATAATACTTAAGGGTCTTAGGATTTCAGAAATGGTCAAATGAGTATTGGCTTCAACATAGTCATCAGCTATATCAGCTCCTAGTGAGAGTCAGCCTGTCCTTTGCAGTTATGAAGCCAAGCATCCGCTTCTCCTCTTTAGCTATCACAGTCCTAGATATCATCTTACTCCATTATAAGCCTGTTTTGTCTACATTGAAAATATGTGGTTTAGCTTAGCTACCTTCATTAATTATATTAGCTGATCTTCTGGTTGAGTTGTTCCAGCTTCTACAGCAGCACTTGCTGCTTCCACTTGCACTTCTATGTTCTTTAGATACCTTCTTTCTTTAAACCTCACAAGCCAACCTCTGTTAGCGTCAAACTTTTCTTCTGAAGCTTCCTCACCTCTCTCAGCCTTCGCAGAATTGAAGGGAGTTAGGACTTTGTCCTCATTGGGCTTTGGTTTAAAAGAATGTTGTAGCTAGTTTGATCTTTCATCCAGACCACTTTCTCCATACCAGCAATAAGTCTGCTTTATTTTCTTATCATTTGTGTGTTTACTGGAGTAGCACTTTTAATTTCCTTCAAGAACTTTTCCTTCATATTTACATCTTGACAAACTGGTGCAAGACACCTAGCTTTCAGCCTATCTCGACTTTTAAAATGCCTTCCTCACTAAGTGTAATCATTCCTAGTTTCTGTTTTAAAGTGAAAGACAAGTGGCTCTTCCTTGCACTTGAACACTTATAGGCCATTGTAAAATTATTAATTGGGCTAATTTAATATTGTTGTTTCTCAAAAAGTAGGGAGGCCCAAGGAGAAAGAGACATGTGGGGGAAATGGCTGGTCAGTGGAGCAGTCAGAACACACACATTTATTGATTAAGTTTGCAGTATTATATGGGCATGGTTTTTGGCACCCCAAAACAATGTTGATAGTAACATCAAAGATCACTGATTGCAAATCCACACAACAGGTATGATAATTAAAAAGATTGAAATATCGTGAGAATTACCAAAATGTAACAAGAAGACATGAAGTGTGCACATGCTGTTGGAACAATAACACTGGTAGACTTGTTTGATGCAACGTTTCCACAAACCTTGAATTTGTAAAAAAAAAATGCAATATCTGTAAAGCTCAAAAAGCAAAGTGCTATAAAATGACGGATGCCTGATATGCACACACATATATATACATTCAAATATATGACTATATTGTATATATATTCATATGTATATATAAAATATTTATATTTTGATTTTTGTTCTAATTTACTCATTTTACTTCCACTTCTAAACCCTAGCTCCTGCTTCTGATCAGTTCAAAATGACCAATCTAAAATATTCTCTCTCCAACCTCTAAACCCCTTTCAATTCTAGTGGCTTTAAACAAGTATTTCTTCACTCAGGCTTTTAGTGCTTTCTCAACGGTGCTAGGATCAAATACTAGCATCTAACTGTGGCCATCAAAGCTGTTCACCTTCTGGCTCCATTCTTTGTGTAGCCCCTCCACCCTCACTCACAGACAACCTATATCTTGCCTGTTTGTGTTCTAGACCTTTTCATTTGGTCTACATCTTTCCTCTTTATGTCTGAGTTTTATCTCAACTCTTCATGTTTATGAAACTACTTTGCTGCCCAATATGAAATTAGATTCCTTCTTTTTCTTATATCACTTGATAAATGACGTTGTTTTAGGCATATTTTACATAATATTCACATTATTTTCACATATTGTAAATTTAATACCAAGCTTTTGTTTTCTGTATTTTTATTCACTCTTGAATTGGTTGTCAACGTGAAGGTTTATTCCATGTTATTCATGCTTTTCTTCTCCTTTTATTTGAAGCTTCCTAATGGTAGGTATTTTGATATCTGTTATCGAAAATATATTGTATATATGAAATAACATTTGCCATCAGAGCACAAAGTTGCAGATATCAAATGCATAATATTATACAGAATAAGAAATAAAGAATAGGGGTGCCATAATTTTATATTGTATTTCGTGAGCTGATAGGGAAATTTTAAATATATGGGAGAATAAGAAATAAGAACAAAATATTTTAATAAGTTTTTAAGATAAAGAAATTATCTTTTGATTGACTGTGGTTAAGAACATGTTGAGCATTGTTACTACTGTCAAAATCATTAGGAAATTTATGTAATGGCAATAGATCACATTTATTCATTGGAACTCAAAATAAAAACACTGTCTAGTATTTTATTTAATAGAAAGTACTTTGTTTTCCAGGTATAAGTTACTTAGATAGCGAATTCTTAGTTGAAAACCAAATTAAAATATTTGCTGAAAAATTGGCAGAAGAAAGAATGGAAATTAAGAAAAAAAAAACATTTTCAGGAATTTGTTTACACATGTTCCTGAGAACTAAAAGTGGCATCCTAGCATTTAGCCATATTTTTCTCTCAAAGATTTTAAAAATTCTCTTAACTCTAACCATATGTGAAATAGATGAGAACATTCTAGTTATGCTACAGTTCTGGCACAAATAGAGATTTTAAAGACAGAATTGGTGTGAAAACAGAGAAGTCACTTTGAAGAGAATGCTTTTTTAAAATATGCCAAATACCAAGGACAGCCTTTATTAATTAAACATTTATTTCTGGCTGTACATAACTCCTCCATTTATATTTTCATGTGGTAGTTTCCTGATACTCAGTGTAGAGGTAAAATGAGACTCTTTTTGTTACTCTAGATTCAGTCACTCACATTAGTGGGAAGAGGACTTCAGGAAGCAAAACTGTCCATTTAAGTCTCTCATCGGGCATAGGGGCAAGAAAGAAAATTGTAAGATGAAAATTGAATGCAGAAGTAACATTATTTTTTCACATAATGAGAATTTATACCATAGAAGTAAAATATTTACAGATATTATCTGCCTAAATGATAAATGATCTTAGTGTTTTCTCCTGTAT
Organism: Homo sapiens; assembly: GCF_000001405.40. NCBI lineage: Eukaryota > Metazoa > Chordata > Mammalia > Primates > Hominidae > Homo > Homo sapiens. The sequence continues at coordinate 29,681,909 of NC_000004.12, read as the reverse complement.
TCTAAACCATGGATGACTATATAAAACAAAATCAAATGTATTAATTATAGGGTATCAGGTTTCTGATGCCCTTTATGAAGATGTAATTTGGGGAAGTAACTATTCAAATACAGCTTTAAAATCCCTGCAGTGGAATCATAAATAAAGTCAATTTAAAAAATAAAAATAAAAGGTAGACCCGTCTGGGCGCAGTGGCTTATGCCTGTAACCCCAGCATTTTAGGAGGCTGAGGCTGGCGAATTACTTGAGTCCAGGAGTTTGAGACCAGCCTGGCCAACATGGTGAAAACCTATCTCTATTAGATATAAAAAATTAGCCAGGTGTGGTGGCATGGGTCTGTAGTTTCAGCTATTCAAGATGCTGAGGCACGAGAGTCACTTGAACCTGGGAGGCGGAGGGTGCAGTGAGCCGAGATCGAGCCACTGTGAGACTCTTTGAGACTCTGTTTCAAAAAATAAAATAATAAAATAAAATAAATAAAAATAAAATTAAAAATTTAAAAAGCAGACACTATCCTTTTTTAGTACTTTCTAGTACTCCTTTTTATTACTGGGGTTTTGTATGTTTTAATTATTTGGATATTCTAGATTTGTGTAGTTTTCTCTTCAAAATGGCTAATTATTCAGTCTTGTTTTTGTTTTGAGTTGATGGAAAACATTAGGAAAGGCAATAACCATATAGACACAACTAATCAGAGACAATATTTTCTTGTCACCAATTTTTTATCCCTTCTCTCACCTCTTCCCTCATCAATTTTCTGTGTGTGGTGAGAGGTTAGAAGCGTGTGGGAATGTGTTGGTGAAAGTAGACTTTTTGAGAAATCTTATAATTCACTAATAATCATATGTCTTTCTGGCTCAAAACGATGTATTTCACACCCTGAAAGGCTATATCCTTTGATAAGTAGATATGTAATATAGAATGAAAAAGCTTAAACGTGTGTTTGAAATGTTGCATTTTAATTTAGGGGATGAACCAGAGCAGAAAGAATTGAAGTCTCTGGGAAAACCTGTCTTTTGCTTTAAATATACATAAAAACAAGACTGAACTAATCAGGAGTGCTTACATCAGCCACTGCCATTATCATGATTAACTATCATTAAAGCCATCACTGAAATGAATGAGCTCCTTGTTAAAAGGGGCACTATTTTCTTTCTGTTAAATGACAAGAAAAAAAATCAATTTTTAATGACATGTTTTCCTATTTCTAAGTGTAAACTAGCACATTTACAAAATATTTTATTGCTAAGCTAATTGTTACTACACTAAACAATGTTTCAAGACAGAATGTTTTTATTATTCCCTGCAATTTTTATTTCCTTTCTATCTTTCTCCTCACATACTTCATTGTTTGCTCATTTTGAAACTTCATTGTATGTCATTTATAAATATATCCACCCCATTGATTTCCAAATGCCTTTTTTTTTCATTTGCTTTTCAATTGGAATGCATAATGGAAATACATCTTTCATATAAGACAAACACTTCTGATGTTTTTTGAACTCTTTATTAAATCTTCATCTGATCAAAGAGACCATATAGCCTAACAGTGAATTTTCCTTAAAATTTTGTTTGCTAGAATAATTTGAGAATGCATTGATGTTACTATTATGCCATGTACTTATATCTTTTCTATCTAAAACAGCTCTGTTATATTTGCTTTATCCTGCCTTTGCTTTCTTAAAACCTTTTCAATAGCGAATGATTATTATGTTAACAGATTTACTAAGTGTTAAAGAAAGATGAACACCTAATGATAATCTATCTAGTATCCTTTTTGGAAAGATTGGAATATCAATGCTCCCTTCCCACGGAATCCACCCATCCCCCCAGTCCAGGTCACTACAAGCTAACTATTCAATCCACTTAAGAACAGTGTTGGTTCCCAGCCGGCCATTTTTGTATTTCTAATTTTTTATGCATATTTTTTTTAACAATTGGACTTTGGATTAGCAATACTCCTGCTTATGTAAGAATATATTTTATTTATTTTATTCTGTTTTTATTTAAACCTCTCTATTTTATGAAAGTATTCCATTATTTGACTTTTTGCTGTTATCATTTTACATTTATATTCAAATCCCATTTGATTATCTTAGTATCTTAATTTTGAGAGTGCAGAATTTAATTCCTAAGTTTTAAATGTATTAGCCTTCTTAGTGAAATTTTCTTCATTTGATCTGTGATTTCTCTCTCTCTGTATTTGTCTCTTTGTCTTCCTCTTCCTTTCCCCATTTTAGTTTCTCATTAATGGTGTCTGAGATTTCACACTTCCTGAAATGTTGGCAGTTTTCTCTTATCTGGCATTTTTCGTCTCTGTCTAGTATTGCCGGGTCTTATAAGGGCATCTCAGAGCATCTTGTAAGTGACTATAGCAGGGAAATCAGAGAAGTAATCCAATCTTGGTTGAAATCCAGGCCACTGATTTGTAACTGTGTTCTCTGGCTTTCTTTCATATATAAGGCTTAGCAGCAATGTTCTGTAACAAATTTTTAAATTAATTTACTTACAAAAACAAAGAGGATCCCAAATTAAAACCATAATAAATAGAAGACCTGCTACATCTTTTATTCTATTACTCATATGAGCCAAACTCCCAGTTTCCTTAGCTGCTTTTGAAACCAGAATCAATAAAACATATTTCACCATTCCTGATACCCATTTGTGTTTTGTTCATTTTTCCCTTCTTTTGTTCTTGTTCAAGAGAAAAGCTATTCCTTTTAATTATATTTTATTGTAATGTGTCTCTCATTATTTTATTTTTTCTCACATTGCTATGTGTGCAGAGCCAAGGGAAGGCTTCAAAACATCAACTTCAAGACCATCTTGACTGAAATTATATTAATGGCATTTTTTTCTTTTTTTATTATTATACTTTAAGTTCCGGGATACATGTGCAGAACGTGCAGGTTTGTTACATATGTATCCACGTGCCATGGTGGTTTGCTGCATCCATCATCCCGTCATCTATATTAGGTATTTCTCCTAATGTTATCCCTCCCGTAGTCCCGCGCCCCCCAACAGGCCCCGGTGTGTGATGTTCCCTTTCCTGTGTCCATGTGTTCTCAGTGTTCAACTCCCACTTATGAGTGAGAACACGCAGTGTTTCGTTTTCTGTATCTGTGTTAGTTTTCTGAGAATGATGGTTTCCAGCTTCACCCATGTCCCTGCAAAGGACATGAACTCATCCTTTTTTATGGCTGCATAGTATGGCATGGTGTATATGTGCCACATTTTCTTTATCCAGTCTATCATTGATGGACATTTGGGTTGGTTCCAAGTCTTTGCTATTGTGAACAGTGCTGCAGTAAACATATGTGTACATGTGTCTTTACAGTAGAATTATTTATAATCCTTTGGGTATGTACCTAGTAATGGGATTGCTTGGTCAAATGGCATTTCTAGTTCTAGATCCTTGAGGAATTGCCACACTGTCTTCCACAATGTTTGAACTAATTTACATTCCCACCAACAGTGTAAAAGCGTTACTATTTCTCCACATTCTCTCCAGCATCTGCTGTCCTGACTTTTTAATGATCGCCATTCTATCTGGCCTGAGATGGTATCTCATTGTGGTTTTGATTTGAGTTTCTTTAGTGACCACTGATGATTACCTTTTCTTAAATATGTTTGTTGGCCATATAATGTCTTCTTTTGAGAAGTGTCTGTTTCACCCACGTTTTGATGGGGTTTTTTGTTTTGTTCTTGTAAATTTGTTTAATGTCCTTTTAGACTCTGGATATTAGCACTTTGTAAGATGGATAGATTGCAAAAATTTTCTCTCATTCTGTAGGTTGCCTGTTCACACTGATGCTGGTTTCTTTTGCTGTGCAGAAGCTCTTTTGTTTAATTAGATCCCATTTGTCAATTTCTGTTTTTGTTGCCATTGTTTTTGGTGTTTTAGTCATGAAATCTTTGGCCATGTCTATGGCTTGAATGGTATTGCCTAGGTTTTCTTCTAGGGTTTTTATGGTTCTAATTCTTACATTTACCTATTCTATCTTGAGTTAATTTTTGTATAAGGTGTAAGGAAGGGGCCCAGTTATAGTTTTCTGTGTGTGGCTAGCCAGTTTTCCCAACACCATTTATTAAACAGAGAATCCTTTCCCCACTGCTTGTTTTTGTCAGGTTTGTCGAAGATCAGATGTTGTAGATGGGTGGTGTTATTTCTGAGGACTCTATTCTGTTCCATTGGTCTATGTATCTGTTTTTGTATCAGCATTATGTTTTTTTGGTTACTGTAGCCTTGTAGTATAATTTGAAGTCAGGTAGTGTAATGCCTCCAGCTTTGTTCTTTTTGCTTAGCATTGTCTTGGCTCTGTGGGCTCTTTTTTGGTTCCATATTAAATTTAAAGTAGTTTTTTCTAATTCTGTGAAGAAAGTCAATGGTAGCTTGATGGGGATAGCATTGAATCTATAAATTACTTTTGGCAGTATGGCCATTTTCACAATATTGATTCTTCCTATCCATGAGCATGGAATGTTTTTTCTATTTGCTCGTGTCCTCTCTTATTTCCTTGAGCAGTGGTTTGTCATTCTCCTAGAAGAGGTCCTTCACATCACTTGTAAGTTGTATTCCCAGGTATTTTATTCTCTTCATAGCAATTGTGAATGGGAGTTCACTCATGATTTGGCTCTCTATTTGTCCATTATTGGTGTACAGAAATGCTTGTGATTTTTAAACATTGATTTTGTATCCTGAGACTTTGCTGAAGTTGCTTATCAGCTTAAGGAGATTTTGGGCTGAGACTATGGGCTTTTCTAAATCTACAATCATATCTGCAAACAGAGACAATTTGACTTCCTCTCTCCCTATTTGAATGCCTCTTATTTATTTCTCTTGCCTGATTGCCCTGGCCAGAACTTCCAACACTATGTTGAATACGAGTGGTGAGAGAGGGCATCCTTGTCTTGTGCCAGTTTTCAAAGGGAATGCTTCCAGCTTTTGCCCACTCAGTATGATATTGGCTGTGGATTTGTCATAAATAGCTCTTATTATTTTGAGATATGTTCCATCAATACCTAGTTTATTGAGAGTTTTTAGCATGAAGTGGTGTTTAATTTTTTTGTTGCTGCTGTGTCTCTGCCAGGTTTTGGTATCAGGATGATGGTGGCCTCATAAAATGAGTTAGGGAGGAGTCCCTCTTTTCCTATTATTTGCAATAGTTTCAGAAGGAATGCTACCAGCTCCTCTTTGCACCTCTGTTAGAATTCGGCTGTGAATCCGTCTAGTCCTGAGCTTTTTTTGGTTGGTAGGCTTTTAATTACTGTCTCAATTTCAGAACTTGTTATTGGTCAATTCAGGGATTCAACTTCTTCCTTGTTTACTCTTGGGAGGGTGTATGTGTCCAGGAATTTATCCATTTCTTTTAGGTTTTCTAGTTTATTTGTGTAGAGGTTTTTATAGTATTCTCTGATTGTGGTTTGTATTTCTGTGGGATGAGTGGTGATATCCCTTTATCATTATTTATTGTGTCTATTTCGTCCTTCTCTGTTTTATTCTTTATTATTCTGGCTAGCGGTCTATTTTGTCAATCTTTTCAAAAAACCAGCTCCTGGATTCATTGATTTTTTGAAGGGTTTTTCGTGTCTCTCTCTTCTTCAGTTCTGCTCTGATCTTAGTTATTTCTTGTCTTCTGCTAGCTTTTGAATTTGTTTGTTCTTGCTTCCCTATTTCTTTTAATTGTGATATTAGGGTATTGATTTTAGATCTTTCCCACTTTCTCCTGTGGGCATTTAGTGCTAAAAATTTCCCCCTAAACACTGCTTTAGCTGTGTCCCAGAGATTCTGGTACATTGTGTCTTTGTTCTCATTGGGTTAAAAAAACTTATTTATTTCTGTTTTAATTTTGTTATTTACCCAGTAGTCATTCAGGAGCAGGTTGTTCAGTTTCCATGTAGTTGTGCAGTTTTGAGTGAGTTTCTTAATCCTGAGTGCTGATTTGATTGCACTGTGGTCTGAGAGACAGTTTGTTATGATTTCCGTTCTTTTGCATTATCTGAGGTGTGTTTTACTTCCAATTATGTCATCAATTTTAGAGTAAGTGTGATGTGGTTCTGAGAAAATGTATATTCTGTTGATTTGGGGTGAAGAGTTCTGTAGATGTCTATTAGGTCTAGAGCTGAGTTCAAGTCCTGAACATTCTTGTTAATTTTCTGCCTTGCTGATCTTTCTAAAATTGACAGTGGGGTGTTACAGTTTCTCACTCTTACTGCGTGGGAGTCTAAGTCTCTTTGGAGGTTTCTAAGAACTTGCTTTATTTTTTTTCCATCTGGGTGCTCCTGTATTAGGAGCATATATATTTAGGATAGTTAGCTTTTCTTGTTGCATTAATCCCTTTACCATTATGTAGTGGCCTTTGTCTCTTTTGATCTTTGTTGGTTTAAAGTCTGTTTTATCAGGGACTAGGATTGCAACCCTTGCTTTTTTGTGCTTTCCATTTGCTTGGTAAATATTCCTCCATCCCTTTATTTTGATCCTACATGTGTCTTAACATGTGAGATGGGTCTCCTGAATACAACACACTGATGAGTCTTGACTGTTTATCCAGTTTGCTAGTCTGTGTCTTTTAATTTGGGCATTTAGACCATTTACATTTAAGGTTAACCTTCTAATGTGTGAATTTGATTTTGTCATTATGATGCTAGCTGGTTATTTTGCCCGTTAGTTGGTGCAGCTTCTTCATAGTGTCAATGGTCTTTACAATTTGGTATGTTTTTGCAGTGGCTGGTACCAGTTGTTCCTTTCCGTATTTAGGGCTTCCTTCAGGAGCTCTTGTAAGGGAGGCCTGGTGGTGACAAAATCTCTCAGCATTTGCTTGCCTGTAAAGGATTTCATTTCAGCTTTGCTTTTGAAGCTTAGTTTGGCTAGATATGGAATTCTGGGTTGATAATTCTTTTCTTTAAAAATGTTGAATATTGGCCCCCATTCTCTTCTGGCTTGTAAGGTTTCTGCAGAGAGATCCACTGTTAGTCTGATGGGCTTCCTTTTGCGGGTAACCTGACCTTTCTCTCTGGCTGCCCTTAACATTTTTTCCTTCATTTCAACCTTGGTGAATCTGAAGATTATGTGTCTTGAGGTTGCTCTTCTCAAGGAGTATCTTTGTGGTGTTCTCTGTATTTCCTGAATTTGAATGTTGGCCTGCCTCGCTAGATTGGAGAAGTTCTCCTGGATAATATCATAAAGAATGTTTTCCAACTTCATTCCATTCTCCCCATCACTTTCAGGTACACCAGTCAAATGTAGGTTTTGTCTTTTCACATTGTCCCATATTTCTTGGAGGCTTTGTTTGTTCCTTTTCATTTATTATTTTCTCTAATCTTGTCTTCAAACTTTATTTCATTAGGTTGATCTTCAATCTCTGATATCCTTTCTTCTGCTTGATCAGTTCAACTATTGATACTTGTGTATGCTTCATGAAGTTCTCATGTTGTGTTTTTCAGCTCCATCAGGTCATTTATGTTCTTCTCTAAACTGGTTATTCCAGTTAGTAATTTCTGTAACCTTTTTTCAAGGTTCTTAGCTTTCTTGCATTGGGTTAGAACATGCTTCTTTAGCTTGGAGGAGTTTGTTATTACCCACATTCTGAAGCCAACTTCTGTCAATTCGTTGAATTCATTCTCTGTCCAGTTTTGTTTCCTTGCTGGTGAGGAGTTGTGATCCTTTAGAAGAGAAGAGGCATTCTGGTTTTTGGAATTTTCAGACTTGTTGAGCTGGTTTTTCCTCATCTTTGTGGATTTATCTACCTTTGGTCTTTGATGTTGGTGACCTTCAGATGGGGTTTCTGTGTGGACATTCATTTTGTTGATGTTGATGCCATTCCTTTCTGTTTGTTAGTTTTCCTTTTAACAGTCAGGCCCCTCTGCTGCAGGTCTGCTGGAGTCTGCTGGAGGTTCACTCCAGACCCTGTTTGCCTGAGTATCACCAACGGAGGCTGAAGAACAGCAAAGTTTGCTGCCTCATCCTTCCTCTGGAAGCTTCATCCCAGATGGACACCCACCAGATGCCAGCTGGAGCTCTCCTGTATGAGGTGTCTGTTGATCCCTGCTGGGAGGTGTCTCCCAGTCAGGAGGCATGGGGGTCAGGGACCTACTTGAGGTGGCACTCTGTCCCTTAGCAGAGTTCGAGCTTTGTGCTGGGATATTCACTGCACTCTTCAGAGCTGGCAGGCAGGAACACTTAAGCCTACTGAAGCTGCACCCATAGCTGCCCCTTCCCCCAGGTGCTCTGTCCCAGGGAGATGGGAGTTTTATCTATAAGCCCCTGACTGGGGCTGCTGCCTTTCTTTCAGAGATGCTCTGCCCAGAGAGGAGGAATCTAGAGAGGCAGTCTGGCTACAGCCTATTAATGGTATTTCTACCCCATAGTATTAATAACCAGCTATGAGGTTGGGAATAAAGTGTTTATATTAATAGTGACCTAATACCTGGGGAGATGCAAGAGGTAGCATTTTTTCTGTTACATTGTGGTCCCCAAAATATAGTTTAGTTTCAAAATTAATAGGCCAAATTTATCCTGGAGGAAAAGAAAGAAAAGAATGGAATAGCTAATATTTTTCTAACAGTTTCCCTTTGTTCTATATCTAATAGGTAACCCTCTTTTGCTATTTCAATCCTTGCCAACTTCATTAGAGCAAGGTAATGAGTATGCCAATTGCTACTTTAGATTTGAAGAAATGATGGCTGAAGACACAAGACCCACTCCTTTGTCTTTGTTTCACAAATTATATTGAACATCCATCAAACCAAGCACTTTTGGCCTCTACTAAAATCTGCTGGATTTGAATTGGCCACTATAAAAGGCTTTGGTTTTAATTATCAAAGATCTTTGCCGTTCTATTCCTCAGAGACTTAATTTTCTTACTCTACTGCTGTCATTTTCTAATCACAGTTCTGCCATTGAACCACATTCCGAAAAAAAAAAAAAAAAAAGATTTTTACTCTTCAAAAAGTCAGGAATTGAAACAAAAAAATAAATGCAACTTTCTTTCTCTTACTTTACCATTATGGAAGATCCTTAATTCTTGTTAAAAAAAAGCTTATGTTCTAATTAAAATGTATCGGTCTATTTATTTACCCATCTTATTTACATCTTTGCTAAATCTTTAGACAGGTGGAATATAGTATGTTGCAGTATACTTCAAATTGGCACAAACTCATTAGGGTAACTGGCAGAAAATATTAAACAGCAGGACATTCATACTGTAGATAGATGTAAATCATACTACAGTAGATAAAATAAGCCCCAAATCTTACTGTAATCCATTTTTATCTAGGCTGAAGCACTCAGCACACTTTTATCATGGTCTAAAGATGTCTTAAGACCTAGCAACAAAGCAAGGTGAAATTTCTAATTTTGTATCCTTTGCATGAAATAAACATAGGAATCTTGGACCTCAGTGCTTTTTATTAGCTTGGTGCAAAACTCATTGTGATTTTTGCAGTTGCTTTTAATGTCAAAAAACGCAATGATTTTTGAACCAACCTAATATAACAATGCCAACCCATAACTATTCAACCTGTGAAAGAGAATGAGCTTTTGTCACATTTCAGTAAACAGAGACATTTCATGCTCAGAGGCCTTTTCAGGACAAAAGAGAGGTAAAGATGATGAATAGTAGTGTCCTCCCAGAACATAGTGCATGTGAGCCAGCCACATAATGAAGAATAGCCAGAGAAACATAAGTGTGAAAGAACACGAGTTGGGCCTTCCTGGGAGACATCTAGCATCCCATTACACATCAATCCTACTAGAATGCAAAGAAAGATTATTCTATTAGATAATTGGTAGAAATTTCTAGCCCTGAGGTTATTGCCCACTGCAACACAATTAAATGTCTAACTTTGAATCTACATTGCAAATTCCGGAAATAAAAATAACTCTTCCCTGTTTCTTTAATTGGCCAATCTGATATATCCCAAACCACACTTGGCTAACAGGAGGTAATAAATACATACTAGTTAAATGCTAGAATCAATCAATAGAATATCAAGCTATTTTAACATTTATTTTTACTTCTGTATTAGTTAGGATTCTCCAATGAGATAGAACCAATAGGATAGATAGATAGATAGATAGATAGATAGATAGATAGATAGATGAGAAGGAATATTTTTAGGAGAAATTGGCTCACACATTTATGGAAGCAAAGCCCCAAGACAGGCTGTCTGCAATCTAGAGCCCTTAGGATGCTGGCAGCATGAGTCAGTCCAAGTCTGAAGGCCTTAGAACCAAGGAGGCTAATGATGTAACTCTCACTTTGAGGCTAAAAGCCCAAGAACCTGGGAGGCCACTGGTGCAAATCTTGAAATCCAAAGGCCAGAGAGCCTGGAGTTCTGATAAAGTCAGGAAAAGAAGGGTATACACCAGCCTCCAGAGAGAAAGAACAATTCCCCTTTTCTCTGTTTCTGCTCTATCAGGGCTCAAAGTTGATTGGGTTGTTCCCACCAACATTAAAGGTGGATCTTCCCTGCCTAGTCCATTCAGACTTATGTACTACTCCTGTAAACACCTTCATTTAGGTATTCTTTAATCCAGTCAAATTGACACCTAAAATTAAGCATCACAATATCTTAATTCACTGTTGGCATTCTTGCTTAGTAATACAAAGCCACAGTATAAACCCACATAAGATACTGTCTTATTTTAATATATTGCTTTTAGCAGTACAGTATAACTTGCTTTCCAAAACAATAATGGCCAGGTTTTTTTTGTTGTCATTGTTGTTGTTTTTTGGCTTTTCAATAATCTCCTTAAAGTTAAAAAGTATTCATCTCTGTCTTTGTTGAACAGTACCTGATAAGTTTTCAATAAATATGATTTGTACAAATTAATTAATCCAGGGCATATGTAGTCACCAAAATCTCAAAAATACCTTTTACAACTATTTGTTTTGTAGTTTATTTTATCTTAAGTTGAAAACTTCTATCTTCAATTATTTTGCATGGCAGTTAAAAGAAGGAAGTTTATCCTTTTTAAAGTTATAAACTTATAAACCCTAAAACCATATTCATTTCTTTAAATCTTCTTGCTGCTAAATAAATACATGAAAAAAGAAAAATAATGACTAATCTGACAACTTTCTGTATCAGGATATCTGATTGACTCTATAGCTCTATCAACATTACTGTGGAATATAGTTTATAGAATGATTCTTATTATAATTGCTTGTTTATTAAAATTTATCAAAGGAAATAGTGACATATCTACTCAAACACAAACTTCCTGGTAGTGACTTTTCAGTGAGACTCCGGCCATCCACGGAAGTCCACAAGGTCTTCTGATATTCTAAGGTTGTGAAAACTATATTATTGTCAGTTAATTGCTAAATATTTACAGCATCTAGAAATTGGATTGCTATCAGAATTGTCAAAATGTGTAATTAGATTTATATGCTTTTTTTTTTTACTTTATAGGGCATTATACTGCTTTATAAAACCATCCCACACAACAGTGTTACATTTTTAAGAATAATTTATTTTACAAAATTTTGGATGTGTATAGCCTTACTTTGTTTTAACACTATATTATTATAAACTTTCAACGTAATAAAAACAAATTCACCCATATGGAAATTCTCAAATCAGAGCATTCAAATATTTGTGGAAATCACTTAGGCATGTGCCAATAGACAGACGCAGAAAAGGGAATAAAAGAGTGGGTGTGTACTGCACAAACTCAAAATTAGTGCCTCTTTGGGAGGCCGAGGCGGGTGGATCACAAGGTCAGGAGATGGAAACCATCCTGGCTAACACAGTGAAACCACGTCTCTACTAAAAATACAAAAATATTAGCCAGGCGTAGGGGCGGGCGCCTTTAGTCCCAGCTCCTCGGGAGGCTGAGGCAGGAGAATGGCGTGAACCCGGGAGGCGGAGCTTGCAGTTAGCTGAGATTGCTTCGCTGCACTCCAGCCTGGGGGACAGAGCGAGACTCCGTCTCAAAAAAAAGAAAAAAGAAAAAAAATTAATGCCTCTTCAAAGAGAGTGTGTTGGCCCTCCTCTGCACACTAACCAACAAAATAAGAAAGAATTCCTTAAAAACAGGCACAGAAAAATAAAAATTTGTGTGAGCAATTTTAGTTAAATCTTTATCAAATTCATGTGACAAAATAAAACTTCAAAATTTTCGGCTAGTCAGACTGGAAAGGAACAAATTGCACTGGAAAACTATTAAGTGGATTACTGAAGTGGTCGTAACTATTTATTTGTTGTATGTTCTATTAGGTGAGTCCATTTACCTGGATATACAGGTTATGATTTGAATTAAGAGGCTCAGGTAATATATGCCTAGATATTTTACTTTTCTGAAACTTTTCAACACTCTAATATATTCTTTTGAAGAATACTGACACCTTTTTGGGATTTTAAACATTTAAAATAAAAACATACACATGGGAACTCATCTTACATTAAATCTAAATGGAAAGGCTTGTTTTAGTCATCTTTTATGGCAATGTTAATTTGAGATAATACTTGCTTAGGTTAAAATCTTTTACTGTTGCTCAAATATTACACACTTATATATGGAAGCACTATGATTTTTAATTTTTTAAAATAGGAATTCATAATTCCTCAGGTTCTTATTGTAATATTAGTGATCTTTAGATTTAGATTACATGTTCAATATTTATTTTTGCATGCTTATTAGCATGACACTTGGCCAGGCTCTTGTTTAACCAGGATACTTCTGCGGGGATGTGTCAGTTTATTATGGCTGGTGCATATTCTGATTGGTTCGGGCCTGGCTGCTGTTGTTCGATATTTGAAATTACTTCTTCACCAAACCATATTAAAGGGATGTAGGATGTCCATATGTGCTCAATAAGGAGGTTAATATAAAAGTCAATGAAGGTTTGAAAAACTGTATACATGCCAAAATCCAAGATAAGGCATTATATATTTGGTTTGTGGAAGCATGTCATATCCACAAGCTATCTTTTAATTTTGGTATTTACTCTTGTCCTTCTCATTTAAAATAAAATATAATTTGACAGCTCTGTCTAAATAACTGGATTCTCTGAACTATACCTTTTTCAATCATTTATCTTGTCTCCTGTTCTCTATTATGTTGATGGAAAGGCTACTTTTAGATATTATATCTTCATTAATAATCAAATATCAATTTCACAGATTATACTGTAAACTGTGTATATTAATCATGGAGGCTTCATTAATTTCATTAAGCATTAGCAAAAATAATGCTTTTTACAGTAGTCTATATGGGACATAGTAGTTTGTTTCATCTGTTTTAATATTTCTCTTGAAATACATAAGAAGTAGCAAATCTTAAGTGTGCAGCTCAATTAATTTTTACAAAGTAAATATTCCCACAAAACAACCACTCAGATTAAAATATGAAACATGTCTGGCACTCTGGAAACACCGCTCTGTCTCATTCTCACTTTCTGTCTCATAACTACTGTGGCCCTCTCTATTTCGTGACTAAATAAGCATATCTTTTGCTTTTGTTAATGTATTTGACCCTTGCCTTCAGTTCCTGAAGCATCTTCAGAACAGATTCAGAGCCATAAAGGTGAATGACGGTCTTTGGTTATAATGTTGGGGTGCTTTAGACCCAGAAGCAGGCCTCAGAAAACAGATTCTCTCTCTCTCTCTCTCAACTTCTCCTGCTCTCCTTTTACTTGCTCCTTTTTCTTCCCAAGGCAGCATTCTAATCTTTCCTTGCCTTTCTGTCTTGGAGCTGGCCATAAAGAAATTATTTGATTTACCTTCTTTGATTGTGAGTCATAAGACCCTCACTTCAGAAGGGGTCTCGCCCCATAGTGAAATGGCCTCATTGTCTGGACTAACACCCGAGTTCGTTGTCTCATAGCAGCAGAAAACTAGGACATGAACACACAAAGAGTGAGGTTGAGAGCAGAAGTTTAATAGGCAAAAGAATGAGAAGAGCTCTTTGCTGCAGAGAAGTGTCCCAGAAAAACGGATTGCTGGAGCCCTGGTGAAATGCAAGGATTCCGTGAGGAAGCCGTGTCTGATTTACACAGGGCACAAAAGATTGGTTGGACCAGGTGTTCCATTTGCATAGGGTGTGGAAAACTGGTTAGGACTGGCTATGTCATTTGTATGGGGTGCAAATTTCTTGCAGCACCCATCTTAATCTTTTATTATGTAGGAGTGTCCTCTACCAGAGCTGTGCCATGTTGCCCATTCCTTTGCTGTACACATGGTAATAACAACAAAATAAAGGGAAGCAGTGGGCAGAGGTTGCAATGAGCCGAGATGGCACCACTGCACTCCAGCCTGGGTGACAGAACGAGACTCCGTCTCAAAAAAAAAAAAAAAAAGGAAGATGGAGCCTCCATATTGGATATGCCTGGCCCCGACGTAGCCCTTTTCTATTGGCCCAGTTTCCGGCATTCCCAGTGCAAGCTTCCAGGTTGCTTATCTATGTTTACAACTCAATTTTTTAGGCTTATCTTTCTTAGAAAAGAAATGATTTGGGGAACTGCTTTTTGTTAGAAGAGAAGTTCTGCTAAGAACTCTGTTGCCCTCACTACCTGCCTAAATAATTTCTTTAGCTCCTGTATCAATGCCTGGGAGGAAAGAATGCTGTACAGAGAGGCCAAGAAGAATCTGGTCTGGCCTTGCTGGCTTTCCCCACTCAGTCGATTAGCATTAGATGATATCCTGTTTTTTTCTAGTCACATTTCTTTCTTTCTTTTTTTCTTTCTTTCTTTTTTTTTTTTTTGAGACGGAGTCTCGCTGTGTTGCCCAGGCTGGAGTGCAGTGGCGCAATCTCGGCTCACGGCAAGCTCCGCCTCCTGGGTTCACGCCATTTTCCTGCCTCAGCCTTCCGAGTAGCTGGGACTACAGGCACCCGCCACCAGGCCGGCCAGCTAATTTTTTGTATTTTTAGTACAGACGGGGTTTCACCGTGTTAGCCAGGATGGTCTAGATCTCCTCACCTCGTGATCCGCCCATCTTGGCCTCCCAAAGTGCTGAGATTACAGGCATGAGCCACCGCGCCCTGCCTTCCAGTCACATTTTTACACGATTGTCCGTGCTTCAGTCATGCCGTATCTGCTGAATTCTCCATAAAAGGCCCAAGAAAATGGGTTACAGGGAGCTTTTAGACAGCTGAACTTCTAGAGGCTTGCAGGAAGGTGGACAAGAACTCATCCACATACCAGGTACACTCCAACTCAAAACTAGAAGAAGCTTCTGTGCTCAGGACCCTTCAGACCTCACCCTGTGTGTCTCATCATCTGGCTGTTTATTTGTATCTTCTAAAATATAATAAACTGGTAACTGTAAGTAAATGTTTCCCGGAGTTCTGAGAGCCACTGTAGCAAATTAATTCCGCCTAAACAGAGGAATGTCAGCTTGAAGCCGGCCAGTCCGTAGTTGTGGAGGCCTGTACTTGGGACTCGTGTCTGAAGTGGGGGCAACCTTGTGGGACTGAGCCCCCAACCTGTGGTATCTGACACCCTATCCAGAATTGAATTGGGTTGGAAAATACCCAGCTGGTGTCCCCTGCAAAATTAATTGCTTGCTTGATGGTGAAAAGTCCCCACACGTTTGGTCACAGAAGTCTCCTGTGTTGATTGTTGAAGTATAAGAGCAGGGGAAAAACACTTTGTTTTTTTCTACACACTATGCCGGTGAGAGGAAAGTCTAGATTGCTGCTTTGTGTTCAGTCTTTTAGCATTTTTCACTTTATGCCTTTCACAGAGAAGAAACAAATGTCCAGTGGTGAAGAAACCCTGGAAGGAGTTTGTATCTTTTATATATATATATTTATTTATTTGTTTATTTATTTTTGAGACGGAGTGTCGCTCTGTCGCCCAGGCTGAAGCACGGTGGCGCCATCTCGGCTCACTGCAAGCTCCGCCTCCCGGGTTCACGCCATTCTCCTGCCTCAGCCTCCGGAGTAGCTGGGACTACAGGCGCCCACCACCACGCCCGGTTAATTTTTTTGTGTGTTTTCAGTAGAGACGGGGTTTCACTGTGTTAGCCAGGATGGTCTCGATCTCCTGACCTTATATCTTTATTTTCATATTGTACTTCAAGTTAACTCCTGAATTGTGATAATTGAGATTTACATAACTTATTTTTCTTCACAAAAACATTAATTACAGTGGTTTTGTTGCCATTATTTTTAACTATCATGGATGTCATAAAATTTCATTTTTAAAATTTTACTTCTGCTTATTCCATATAAATCCCATGTATCACTGTTATTCACTCCATACTACCTGAAATGTAAGATACTCTAATATGAAATATGACACCAGAAAGATGTAAATCATGTTTTAAATCAACTCTTAAAGTAGAGCTCTACTTTATTTTAAAAGAATTTCATATTTTTAGAAAAATTTAAAACGCAATACAGACATTCCCTATATTTTCTTCACACAGATTCCCCATATGCTAGTATTTTACTATGTTTGCTTTATCATTTCTTATAGATACTATTTTTAACTATTTGAGAGTAAGTTACATATTTGATGCTAATTTACATCTAAATACTTCAATCTATAGTCCTTAAAAACAAGGGCAATTTCTTACATAGCCACAATCCAGTTGTAACTATTAGGAAATTAGCAAAAAAATAGGCACTGTTTTCTAATCTGTTGGTCTTATTAACTTTTTTTTTCCAATTGTTCTAATAATATTTGTCTTTTAAATAATTTTATTTTCTGGTTTAACATCCAATCCAGGATCACATGTTGCATTTACTTGACACATTGCTTTAGTCACCTATGATTTGTAATATTTCCTCGGTATTTGTTTGTCTTCAGTTACCCTGATATTAGTGTTTTTGTTTGTTTGTTTGTTTGTTTTTCAGACAGAGTCTTGCTCCGTCGCCGTCGCCCAGACTGGAGTACAGTGGTGTGATCTCAGCTTACTGCAACCTCCACCTCCTGGGTTCAGGTACTTCTCCTGTCTCAGCCTCCCGAGTAGCTGGGATTACAGGCACAAGCCACCATGTCCAGCTAACTTTTTTATTTTTTTTAGTAGAGATGGGGTTTCACCATATAGGCCAGACTGGTTTCGAACTTCTGAACTTGTTTCCCACCTGCCTTGGCCTCCCAAAGTGCTGGGATTACAGGCATGAGCCATTGCGCTCAGCCACCTTGATTTTGTTGAAGGGCACAAACCACTTATTTTTTGGAATGCCCTTCAGTTGGAAAAATCTAATAATTGCTTCTAATGAGAAATATAGTATACATTTCTTGCAGCAATTCTACAGAAGTAATGCTAATTTTTTCAATGTGTCATAACAGGAGTAATATGCCATCCCTTAATCCCTTTCCGGGAATTATTAATGTCTATTGTTTGGTTAAAATTTTATCTGTCTATTGATTTCACTTTAAAGTTACTATTTTATCTTTTATAATTAATAAGCACTTTAGAGGATGATACTTTTGATACTAGGTAAATATCACATTACTCCTAAAACTTTTACTTAATGGTTTTCATGTTTAATGAATTTTGCCTGAATTACCATTTTGATGGTTAACAAATAGTGATTTTTCTCTATTTATAATTTATTTTACATTTCTTAGCATTTTACTCTAAGGATGATTGATTCTTTGATTTGTAAAGTTATTTATTTGTTTATGTCAATATGGACTTGTGGATTATTGTCAGATTTTATGAGTTGTAATCTAATACTGTGATTGTTTTCATACTCTGGTCCCTGTTAGTCTGTTTTGACATTGTTGAGTTTGGTTTGCTAAAATTTTATTTAGTGTTTTTACCTTCACCTGAGAAGTGATATTATTGTGTCAAGGTAATTACCTTTTTTGGTATTATTTTTATCAAGTTTAGATGATAAGTTTGTACTTGCTTTATAAAAATACTTTTGGCAGTTTTTCCCTCAATTTTCTGTTTTTGTATTTGTTAGAGTTATCTAGAGAAACAGAACTCTGTGTGTGTGTGTGTGTGTGTGTGTGTGTATGTGCATGCATGTTAAATGTATTGTGAGAAATTGGCTCACATAATAATTATGGCGGCTAAAACATCCCATGATACATGGGGTAAGTTTGCAAGATAAATACCCAGGAGAGACAATATTATAGATCCAGTCCAAAGGCCAGCAGGCTCAAGGCCCAAGAAAAGCCACATGTTTCAGCAGGAAAAAGGTCAATGTCCCAGCTTGAAGGCAGGCAGGCAGGAAAATTTATTTTATTCTAGGGAGGTTCAGTCCTTGCATTCCATCCAGGCCTCAGTTGATTGGATGAGCCCTATCCACACCAGGGACAGAAATCTGGTTTACTAAGTGTACTGATTTAAATAATAATTTTAACTACAAACAGTCTCACAGAAACACCCAGAATAATATTTGAACAAATATATGGATAATAATTGGCTCAGTCAATTTGACCTATAAAGTTAACCATCACCATTTTGTAAAAGCTTGAAGATTCTTTGAATCCCATTTTGAAATCATCTGTTCTTGTTATTGTTGTTGTTCTTAATGAAGTAGTTTCTTAAAAATATTGTTTCCACTACAGATATTATTCTGTTTGAACTTTGTATTTCTAATAAAATAATTTTAATATTCCTAGCATATTATCTATGTTATGCAGGGTTTATGATATCTGAAGAATAATTTTTTATTTTACTTAAGAATATTATTTCAATAGTTATTTCCTCTTCTCATACCTTATTTTGTTAATTGTACTTTTCTGTTCTCCTTTTCATTAAATACACAAGGCACGTATCTACTTAATTTAATCACTATTTTTAAAATGCAGAATATTAATCCATTAAGTAGGTCTTATAATGTCTGTGTTCCTTACATAATTGAATTCTTTCTTATCTTTATATATATTTTTCCACTTTCTTGATTTGTTATTGTTTTTGTTCTTTTCTTAGCTTATTGAGCTGAGAATTTATTTCAAATATTTTTACTCTTTTATTTTTATAAAAATGTTTACAAGTAAATTTAGACCTATCACTGTTCTAGGTAATTCAGTTATATACTAAAATATTTGGTGTAGCTTATCATTATTTTGGAAAGTTGGTAATTTTTGTTGTCTTTTTTCCTTTGTTCAACAGGTTTTTAGCAATTTTTAAGCATTTTATTTTCTCAATTTTAATGTTTTGGTTGTTTCCTTGCATTTCTACCATATTTCTTGTGAAGTTTTTATTTTAATCAATAATTTCTTGGGCACCAGGTACCCAACTCTTTGTTTTTAACATGATTTTCTTTTGCTCTTCTATTTCTTTCATGAGTTAAATTAATTCTAATTTTACTTCCTTTTTTTGGTCAATTTTTGTTTCTAGTTATTTTGAAATATTTGTTTTTTAAATGATTTCATATATATAAATTCTTTTGTAAGCGTAATTTGGAAGTGAAACATACTCTTCTGTCAGTTTAGCAGATCAGGTGTTTTTACTAAATGACTAGGGGCAAAGGGAGATATGGATGGTAGAGGAGGTCATAGTGAATATGTTCTAATATTTTACATTGGCCCCTCTCTTTTTATTGTAGAATTTGTAATTCGCTCTGTTTTTTTCACTCTCTTGACACAGTGCAAGGTTTATGTTTTTGCATTGTTTTTCAATTATACTGAAGATATATCTTTAGGTTCATGGTTTTTTTTGTAGTTGTTGTTGTTGTTGTTTGTTTGTTTTTTCATTTTTAACTTCTTTAAAAGATGCTTTTGTGAAATTCTGCTTAAACAGCAACCATTCCCCTCAGTCATCTCTGAAAGCTCCCAGCATACAGTTTATTTTGACTTCTTAAAATTATAATCTTTTAATAAAAACCTCACTTTTTTGAAAAAAAGCATTTGAAAAAACGTAACTCTATTATATCACTATGCCACATTTCACATTTGTCTTGACTTGCATCAATAAAAGTATTGAGAATGAAATTAAGAAAGATAATAAAAAATGCATAAAATATTTGCAGAAGGTCCACACTGTCTTTATATTAAGAATTAAATAAATCATAAACATTATCAGCTGTCCATACATAATGTTGAAATCATTCTACAATGGCATAAAAACTAATGAGAGATTTGAATATTCAAATTTAAGAATATTTTTGAAACATATCTTCAGTTTTACATATACATATACCATTCTATGTAAAATAAAAAGGCATTTTGAGGAGTTGGTTTGTACCCAGAAGAAATTCTTTGAGAATTTCAGATTTTTAACAGGCTTGTAAAAATGATGGAAGAATGAATGTATTGCCTAAGAGAAGTATACACGTTTCAAAGAAATCTATACAAAAAACAAACACAAAATTGAAAATGATTTATAAAAATGTAGGAATGGTGAAATGACAATTTGTCTCATTTTTAAAGTAAAAACAAAGACATGGTAAATTGACATTTATTTTAGAGAAGACAGAAGAATATCAATGGGCACATTCATTTAATTTTTAAAATTTTTACTGCACATATATTGTGTTTCAAACATTATAATAGGCACTTGGACTGCAGTTTTTATTCTCAAAATTTGAAGATCATCATGAAGCCTATCAAAATTTATTACTTATTGTGAATACTTGTTAAGTTAATTTGAAGGCACTGATAGTGGGTTAGATATGAAAGGGCAGTGAATTGAAAATGTAGTACTCTGTTTTGCATTCCCTGGGGAGAAATGTGGTTATTGCTGTTATATATATATATATATACACATATATATATATATATATATATATATATATATTTTTTTTTTTTTTTTTTTGGTTATTTTCCTGCTCTTAATATTTATTTCAAGGGAGTGTTTTCTGTTGTTTTCCTTTTTATCTTACATACAGGAGACTTTTAAAAAGAGAAAAATAGCATCTTTATGACATATATTAATTTCTCAGATATGCATAAAGCAATTTCCTCGTAAATCTTTATATATTACTCTATTTATGGCACTACATCTATACATAATAAGATTTTATCACAAAAATTAATAAAATTAAAAAATAAATTATAATTATGTTTACCATACCTAATTTAAGCATAAAAAGACAGAAAATATGTAACTTTTATAAATTTACCATAGAAACATTAAATTTTATAAAATCTCATGATTTATATTTCTATAGGCAATTTGAAATTATTAATGGAATTTTTCAACTTAACTATTATTCTATTTCATTATGAAAATAGCGAATATCTATAGAAGAATTGATTTCTGAACACTATTATGATTGAAATTCAGCAGGTTTTCCTTACCATTTTTTGTGTAAAATCTGAAGGCTGAAAAAAGAACTGCTTATCAGATTAACAAAGAAGTTCAGCATTCAAGGGAGGAATTTGCATTTTTTGAAGAGTCACTTTTTGATATACCCTCTCCATGTTACAGGAGTGAAATACCTATGGGGAATTAAATATTCATGGATTATAATTTGCCATATATTTGTTACTTGATTTTGCAAAAGGATAGTTAAACTAATTCGCCCCTTCTTTAGTAATTATGGTCTCTTGCCATCCATTTTAACAGTGTTTCCTGATTCAACTGTATAATCAGCTACCATACATTTTCTTACTCAGATATCTTCTTTTCCTTAACATCATGAGAAAATTATATTAGGGTATTAAGTATTTTGATATTTTTCTATAGAGACTATTTGGAGATGTTTTTAAAGAGAAAATAATCTTTCTGGGTGGTTGTCATGCAGCTCTGACTGAAGGTGCAACATGGAAGAAAATCTGCTGGCATTTCTTTGACCTCTATGATCAGAACAGCTGCCTAAAGGGCGCTGCGTTTTTCTTTTTTTTTCATGCATTTTTATAATTGCATCTGACTTTCATACAAAGTATAACTATGCTCAAAGGCCATGCTTCATTTGAGGAAGATTATAGACTTGTACTCCTGAATACACAGAAGCTGAGTTCATAAATGCACTTCAGCAAATTCTTTTTAAGTGGGGCATTTTTGATATGGTCCCTAAGGGTACTGGAATCTTCTACCAGGTAAAAATGTATGTCAAGAGGCTCCGTAATAAGCCTACTCTTGCAGTTGTTAAAATTTGAATGAGAGTTGAAATGAGGTGAACATAGTAATAGAGAAATAGAAAAGTTGGAAAAGAGCTAGCTTCCCTGGAGATTCCATATTGACTTTCCATATGACTTAAAAAATCTGATGGGTCTGCAATTATAAGAAAGGGCCCTGGCCGGGCGCGGTGGCTCACGCCTGTAATCCCAGCACTTTGGGAGGCCGAGGCGGGTGGATCATGAGGTCAGGAGATCGAGACCATTCTGGCTAACAAGGTGAAACCCCGTCTCTACTAAAAATACAAAAAATTAGCCGGGCGCGGTGGCGGGCGCCTGTAGTCCCAGCTACTCGGGAGGCTGAGGCAGGAGAATGGCGTGAACCCGGGAGGCGGAGCTTGCAGTGAGCCGAGATTGCGCCACTGCAGTCCACAGTCCGGCCTGGGCGACAGAGCGAGACTCCGTCTCAAAAAAAAAAAAAAAAAAAAAAAAAAAAAGAAAGGGCCCTTAGGGACAAAACTCCCCTGTCCTAGCAGAGTTTGTGTTTTGATGGATTTAACTGGGACAGTTTCTAAATACTATGTGAAACTAGGTTGAAACTAATGGGTATTAGCTATACTTATTTTAGATTTAATACACTGTTGTGCTTTTGGGGAGGGTGGGAGGAAACAGGGCTTGTGTAAAAAACTTTATAGCAATGTTAGAGTATTTTATATATCACAGAGTTATAGTTTTATCAGTTGCATTTCTGAATTTTTTGTCATGATATAAAGAAAATCAATAATGAAGGGAGATAAGCAACATGAATCAAATTCCTGTACAGTTGATATCAAGCATTTAAATATGTCTTTGCTTTTATTAGAGGATTTTATATAGCTTATTTAACTCAAAACAGAAATAAAATAAAAATAGAGCTCTTCACTCAAATCATGTGTAAGAATTAAATAGCATCTTTAAACAATAAAGTCAGAATAATAGATAACATTAAAGTCGACTCCACTTATTGAAAAATAAATAATTTACAGCAATATCAACTTGCTTCCACTCTGTTACATGTTGTATCTGTCTAAATTATAGATATACTGTACAATTGATCGATTCATTCAATTTTTTAATTTTAGCTCATACTTTTGATATGAATTTTATCTATGCTATCGATAGGATAGATAGAAATGTAGCTACATATATATGTGTGTGCATGTATGTGTATATACACACATATACACAGATATATATCAATTTTTCCTGGAGTATTTACTTACAAATTTGTAAAATATTTCATATGTTCTTAATTCTCGTGATATCCTTGTATAAGTTACAGCCTGTTTCCACTTTCATTATTCATCACTGAGACATTATTTTGTCACAGATGGAATTGTGTGTATGTTCAATTAGATATCACTTTTCTCCATCTAAGAACAATAGTCACTAGAGAGCTGTTTTAATTTGAAGCCAGATTTTGGCTCCATTGCTGCAGAGGCAGGCAGCTTCCTAGAAGTACAGCCTGCTTTTTTAAACCTTTACTTAGATCTGCCCTCTCTGGTGCTCAAAAACAAGGAGAATAAGGGTGCTTCTGCGATTTATGTGTGTTCCTATCCTCACTGCTCCAAATAAAGCAATTTAGGTTTTGAATCTCAGGCTGTACTACTGACCATGAAGAAGTTTGTTTCTAGATATATCTGAGGACAAACTCTGCCATCTTCTAGACACTGTCTCACATAACAGTTCTTTTAGATTTCCAATCTTTTTTTATTTTAATTTTCTAAAATTTCATTTCTCCTAAATATGGTATTTAGAATTTTAAGTCACTTCTAATTTTATCAAAATAAACTAATCATTTTCCTCTTTTTTTGTTATTGTATGTTTTTCAGACAAATGGTGGTCTACCACATACAATTAATTCTCAAATGGCAATGGATAATTTATATATTTTAAAGAGTAGAGTTGAATTAATTTATTTTTTTGAAAAAATATCTGTGTTAAAGTTTTACACAAAAACTTTTTATCACAAGTATCATATTTCCTGACAATAATTTATTTTAACATTAATAATAAAAATTTAAGAAGACATAAATTTTTGCAATGACAAAAAATTAAATAAAAATTGAATCAAAGAAAAGTTACATTTATTTGATACTAGGTAAACAGTTTTGTGGAAGGGATGCACACATATACAAAAGAAATTAATAAAAATATGATTTTGAGGTTGAAGAAAGCATTATAAATTAAATTATTCTTGGAACAAAAAGAAATAAACAATTTTGAGTGAAGAAACCAGAATTAGTGTCCACAAAATTTTGACATTTTAACTTGTTTAAAATGATGATTGGATTTCCAATGCTGAAAAAGTATACAAGGGAATAGAACATGACATTTTGCTTGATTTCTCTCTTTTTCAAAAAAAATGAGGCCTGATGAAACTTAAAACAGCATTTCTAATCTCTAAGTAAATTTGTTTGAAACTATATTACTGCATTTTTGAAATGTCTGGCTAAGTTTCTACTGAACCATATAAGCTGTATTTGTGGCCTCTGCAGGCTATCTGTGGACATTTGTAATCCTTTTAGACAGCTCAGGACCCATCCTCCTCATCATGTCTTTCTTATTAAATAATTGCCCGAGTTTTCTACTGATCACATAACATATAGCCACAAACTTTGTGGATAAAAACAACACAAATTTATTTTCACACAGTTCTTCAGGTCAGAAGTCCAGGTAGAGCATTGCTCAGCTCAGTCTCCATACAGTCTCAGGAGGCCAAAATGAAGGTGTTGGCCCAGCTGTGTTTCTTTCCGGAAGCTCTAGGGAAAAATCTGCTTCCAAACTCATTTTTTTGGTTTTAGTTGAATTAAGTTTTTTTTTTTTTTTTTTTTGAGACAGTCTCGCTCTTTTGCCCAGGCTGGAGTGCAGTGGGGCGATCTGGGCTCACTGCAAGCTCCGCCTCCTGGGGAATTCAGTTTGATTTAGTTAAGGGACCCAGGTCCCTAATACCTTGCTGTCTGTCAGCAACTGGTCAATTTTTGCTGTTAAAGACTGCCCCAATTCCTTCCACCCTTTTCCATGTGGCAAATGTGGGTGAAGTCTTTCTCAGCCTTTGAATCTCTCTGACATTTTCTGCTGCCACAATTTTTTTTATTTTTTTTCTGAACTTTAAGTGGAGAAAATTATTGGCTTTTAAGAGCTCTTGAAAATAGAATGCACCCAACTGGAAAATCCAGGATAATTTCTCTATTTTAAGGTCTGTAACTTTAAATATATCTGTGAAGCTCCTTCTGTCTTGCAATACAACACATTCATTGGTTCGAGGAACATCTCAGGGAGTGGCAGGGCAGAGAGAGCGTTTGCCTACCACAATATTATTTTTACGAATTTATACAACTTTTACTCTCTAAGTTTTATCATCCAGTATTATAAGGAACAGGTTTTTACTTTCATATCCCAAGTTCACAACTTCTATCACTAGAAAGTGATTGGACAATTACAGCAATAAGATAAACTTGAAATGAAATAAATTATACAGTTGCTTATTCAAAAGCATTGTGTAAACGGTATAAAAATATTTAGACCAGTATTTTAATTAAATGCATTCCCTTATTTCTTTATCCTTGCCCCAAACTCTCACAGCCCCTTTCTTTCTTACTCATGTATAGACACACTGGCTTTTATGTCAAGTGTTTATGTCTTTAAAGAAGAATTTTCTTGGAGACTACACATGAACATTGAACACTTCTTTCCAAACATGCTATGTTAAAAAGTTGAATTAACTGATTAGCTACCTGGCTGCTTGCCTAAAATTTTCACTACTCAATTTAATGGCCGCATTCACTTTATCTTATGAAATCTGTCCAATGTCATTAATCCATATAATTTATATAAGTAATTATTTCTAAATATTTTATGGAGAGCATAGCCTTTCAAGACTGTGGGTTCAACAAATCTTCCACCTCCATTTTCGACATTCGTATTCAGTTAAAGATACTGTGGCACAGAATAAGAAGCTGCTCAGCAGGCCTACTTTGACTTCTTCTGGGGTGTGGCTGGACTAAATTGTCCCCATTTCTCTTGCAGTCACATTTAGCAATTTGTGCCTGAGTACTTACAAATTATTGTAGATCCACATTCAAAACTTAATACCTGCTCTTTCCCTTCAGGATATTAATGCAAACTAGCTTGATGAATATGGAAGTTACATGACAAAAATGGAGGAACCATCAAAAAGAAGTTCCCTGGTGCTTTCATTCGCTGCTAGCAGGGAGCCATCCACCCAGGGACTCTGCCTCTTCTGGTTTCCACTTTATATGAGCAAGATATGTTGTATCAAGCCACTGAGAGTTTATCATTTATCTTTTTTGTCAAGTATCATTGCAATAATTAGTACAGATAATATGAAAAAGGAAGTTTAATCTTGCCCAATTAATGAAATATCTCAATAGCAGCCTATAGGTTAAAATTTAGGCTCTGCAATATATGAGACCATTAGATTGGTGCCTATTATGTTGAGCTTCAGCCAAATCAAATGTATGAAAGCAGTGGCTTCTCATAGGGCTCTCTTAGCATGAGTAGAACCTTCTTTTCCTATAGCAAGTTTAGCATTTCCACCAGGAATCACAACCATGTGCTACATTTGAGTCAGTTTTACTGAGGTCCTAAAGTTCTTTTTGCCTTTCTCTTGAGATGTGTCTCTTGGGGAAATAGATACTCCCCCCAATAATTCAAAGCACTAACTGAGATCTTGAAAGATGTGGACTGAACTGATCTGATATAAACCATTCTATTCCAAGTCCTATCTATTCCGTAAGAGGATTTCAATCAGAAAAAAAAAAAAAATAGCCTGAGCAGAACACACTGATCACCATTCATATGAAAAAGCAATTTGGGTAATTCATACTTTTCCAAAATGGATTATAAACAAAAACTGTAATGCTTCTTGATTCAAAAATTTAAAAAAGGAAAATAAGAAGACAAATAATTTTAATGCTGTACTGCTAACAAACAGAGGAAGATATACAATGCAATTTAAAACGGGAGAAGACAGCAATTATGGAAAAACTTGATACAAGTGGGAGAGAAGAGAGAAAATAAGATTCAAGGAAATGGAGGCTGAAGAGTGTAGTAGGAGATGCAACCTCAATGAAGAGAATAAAATAATGAGCAAGAAGAGAAAAAGCAGAGTGGACAATGAAGGCATGGAATTGATATCTGAGCTAGAAAATGACCAACAGAATAGAGAAAGCAAGCTCATTGGACTTGAGAATGGCATATCCTAGAGAGAAATGCTTCTTTTCACAGCTGATGCTTATTGGTATCTCAGACTTCAGAGTAATTTATCAAAGATGATTGTTGACTTGCAAACAGCCAAGATCAGACGAATTTTGGTCCACAAACCCGTAAACCTTCAACTACTTTTTTTTTCATTAAAAAATCTACAAAATGTCCAGACTAAGAAGAATGGGCTAAGCTAGTTACTGACTAGAGTAGAAATTGTTCTTAATATTTAGCTCATAATCGGAAACATATTTCTCTAGCTTTATTCTCTAGCCTGGGACTCATTAAGCTTGTTTCAGAAATATTGCTTAGTTTAAAATCAGTCAGAGATTGCATAAACTGGAGGTACGAGAGGATATTGGGAAATCCTTCTTACACATTTTCCATAAAACAATCAGAAAAATAACCTATATTTTATGAAATTATATTACAATTTCACATGCTTTTTGTAAAATTGTGTATAATGCTCTTTAATGGTAATTCCCATGAGCTTCTTTGGAGGAAGGGATTTTTTAATTGTACGGTCAACTTTTATTTTAGACTCAGGGGTTATGTGTGCAGTTTTGTTACATGGCTATACTATGTGATGTTGAGGTTTAGGATATGATTGATCCCATCACCCAGGTAGTAAGTGTACTAAGTACCCAATAGTTCATTTTTTAACCCTTATCTTCCTCCCTCCCTCTCCCTTCTGCTAGCCCACAGTGTCTATTGTTACTATTTTTATGTCCATGAGTACTCAATATTTAGCTCCCTCACTTACAAGTGAGAACATGTAGCATTTGGTTTTCTGTTCCTGCATTAATTTGCTTAGGATAATGGTCTTCAGCTCCATGTTGCGCAAACGATATAATTTTATTCTTTTTTTTTTATGTGTGGCTCCATAGTATTCCATAGCGTGTATCTATCACTTTTTCTTCATCCAGTTTACCATTGATAGCACCTAGGGTGATACCGTGTCTTTACTGTTATGAATAGTGTTGCAATGAACATACAAGTGTGGGTGTCTCTTTGGTAGATAAATATATTTTCTTTTGGATATAAATCCAATAATGTCATTGATAGGTCAAATGGTAGTCCTGTATTAGGTTATTTGAGAAATCTCTGAATTGCTTTCCACAGTGATTGAACTTATTTACATTTGCAACAGCAGTGTATAAGCGTTCCCTTTTCTCTTCAGCCTCATGCAGTCATTCTGACTGGTATGAGATGGTGATATGGTTTGGCTCTGTGTCCCCACCCAAGTCTCTCCTTGAATTGTAATGCCCATAATCCCCATGTGTCAAGGGCAGGAACAGGTGGAGATAATTGGACTATGGGTGTAGTTTCCCCCATGCTGTTCGCATGATAATAAGTGAGTCTCAGGAGATCTGATGGTTTTATAAGCGTCTGACGTTTTCCCTGCTTGCACTTACTCTGTCATGTCGTGAGGAAGGTCCCTGCTTCTCCTTTGCCTTCTGTCCATGATTGTAAGTTTCCCGAGGCCTCCCAAGCAATGTGGAACTGTGAGTCAATTAAATCTCTAGGGTATTTTTTCACAGCAGTGTGAGAACAAACTAATACAGATAGTAGCTCATTGTGGTTTTGATTTGCATTTCTATGATGATTAGTGATATTGAGTATTTTTCATATTTTTGCTGGCCACTTGTATGTCTTATTTTGAGAAGCGTCTGTTCACGTCTTTTGCCCTCTTTTTAATGGGGTTATTTATTTTTTTCTTGTTGTTTACATTCCTTATAGATTCTGGATATTAGATCTTCTTCATATGCATAGTTTGCATCCATTTTCTGACATTCTGGAGGTTGTCTGTTTGTTCTGTTGATAGTTTCTTTTGCTGTGCGGAAGCTCTTTAGTTTAATTAGTTCCCACTTGTCAAGTTTTATTTTCATTGCAATTGCTTTTGAGGACTTAGTCACAAATTATTTCCCAAAGCTCGTGTCCAGAATAATGTTTCCCAGGTTATCTTCTAGGATTCTTATAGTTTGAGGTCTTACATTTAAATATTTAATCCATATTGAGTTAATGTTTGTGTATGATGAAAGATAGAGGGCCAATGTCATTCCTCTGCATATAGCTAGCTAGCTATCACAGCACCATTTATTGAATAAGGAGTCTTTTTCCCAGGGTTATTTTTGTCAACTTTGTTGAAGGTCAGATGACTTCCGGTGTGCAACTTTTTATCTGGTAATCTATTCTGTTCTATTGGTTTATGTGTCTGTTTTTTCACCCATACCATGATGTTTTGGTATAGCTTTATAGTTTAAAGTCAGGTAATGTGATGTCTCCAGCTTCATTCTTTTTGCTTAGAGTTCCTTTAGCTACTTGGGCTTTTTTGGTTCCATATTAAATTTTAGAATACTTTTTTTTCTAATTCTGTTAAAAATGACATTGATAGTTAGATATGAATGGGGTTGAATCTGTCTATCACTTTGGGAAGTATGGCCATTTTAATGACATTGATTCTTCCAAGCTGTGAGCATGGAATGTTTTTTTATTTGTTTGTGTTTGTATGATTTCTTTCAGCAGCATTTTATAGTTCTCCTTGTTGAGACCTTTCAAATCCTTGATTAGATGTATTCTTAGATATGTTATTCCTTTTGTGGCAATTGTAAATGGGATTTCATTCTTGATTTGACTCTCAGATTGAACATTATTTTGTATAGAAATCTACTGATTTTTGTACATTTTTTTTTTATCCTGAAACTTTACTGAAGTCATTTATCAGCTTTTGTTATCTTGCCTGATTAATCTGGCGAGGACTTCCTGTACTGCATTGAATAAGAGCAGTGAGAGTGGGCATCCTTGTCTTGTTTCATTTCCAAGGGGAATGTTTCCAGCTTTTGCCTATTTGTTATGATGTTGGCTGTGGGCTTGTCATTGATAGCTCTTATTATTTTAAAACATGTCAGGAAGGAATTATTTTAGCCAGAGTAAAATTAATATTTTACTTTCTTATATTAAGAAAATAAGAAAGAAGAGAAAGTGTATTTACTATTCAGTAAGTGGAAGTGAATCATCATAAAGGTCTTCATTCTCATTGTCATCGTGTATAGTAGGCTGAGGAGGAGGAGAAAGAGCAGAGGCTGGTCTTGCTGTCTCAGGAGTGGCAGAGACAGAAGAAAATCTGCATTGTTCAAACCTGTATTGTTCACAGGTCAGATGTACTATTATTTCCACATTTATTTATTCCTTTTCCATAGCATGCAAAATCTCTTTAGTCAGGGTTGTAAAAACTTTCTGCTTTATGTTCACATTTCATACATGCAGTATTGACACCCATTTTTTCATCATTCTTAACAGCCAAATTCTCTAAATATTTTAAAAAATTTATTTCGAATTTATGCTCAGCATCAGTTGTTAACTTTTTTTTCTTTTTTAAACACAGGCAACTTGAATTGAGATGCAAAGACTGAAAGCAAAACATAAATATCCAATTATATGCAAACATGCCATTCTGATGTACGCTCAATTTACCTTGACATAAATACAAACATCTTACCAAATTGCATATCTTGCTCCAACTGAAAGTATAGATCAATATTTCTTAAAAGGGGGTGTTTAAAAATAATAAATTATTTACCATTAAAATAAGTTCAGAATTAATTCAAAGTAATATTTTATGATAACATGAATGTGTAAACACAAATTCATGCATTAAAATGATATGTCTATAGGTCAAGTTGTTTTACTTTGTGTTGTTATTTATAAAAAGGTTGCATAATTTTTAAATTTGTTGTTGGAATTGTGTCTTTTCTTAATAATTGCCTATTTATATACTTTGACTATAGATCTACTAAAATTCCCAGATGATTTATTTGGACTGAAAGTGAATCTAGTCTGTTTTAGTTACATGAATTCTGTTCAGGTTCAGATATTGAAAATGTAGTTTGTCATTTTCAATATCTGATCCTGAACACAAGTTAAAATATCTAATATTTTAATATTATTTATATTTTGGCTAAAGCAAAATATAGAACATTTTCCCATTATAATTTTTTTGCTTTTTGGTTTGGGAGTGGGGGGCTTTGTTAACAAAAAATACAAATATACTCATCTTACCTGAGACCAAAGAGATATGTATTTGCTTTTCTTCTATTGACTGTATAGATTTATCTCTAATAAATATTTTTAATTTGGGAAAGCAATTTACATGTGTATTCTGTAAAGGGAAAGATCATTTTTTAACAAGCCAATATTCTCAAGACATTAAAAAAGTTTAGATATTTTATCCAATCTTTCTGTCTCTTCCAGGCCCTCATTTTTTTAATGTTAGGTTTTGCACAATATCAGCTTTTCTTTTACTTCTGAGACAGCTGTAAGATAGTGAGACGTTGGGAATCCGCAAGCTATGCTCATTCTTTCTCTAATATTATCCAGAAACAGTAATTTCCATGTCTTAGTATTAAAATTAAGTAAAGGAAAACTGTCTTCTTTTATAACATTTTACTCAATTGTCAGACTATGTTTTGTCTTAAAATTGTTTATTTAGGTATTTATAATATATTTTAATAAGAAGTATGAGTAGAATGGTGCTTTTTTCCCTGCTTTGTGGTTTAGTAAATATTTTCTAGGCTGCAAATATGTGGAACAATTTGACCCCTGGCTGGTTAAAAAATTTCAGAAAACGTTAACATTTCAATGCTGTAAAAGTAGCTGATTCTTTGAATTTCTCCCTTATAATTTGAATTCTAATTTAAAGGAATCCAGAAAAGCAACAACAATATATAACATATTCTAAGCCTTTAGTTATAAACTTTTATTCCCTGGAAATCTAGACTCTGGTGGAAAAAAAAAATACAAATCAGCACTACATCAGTTTTATACAATTTCATAAATTATACATATATGTATGTATGCATGCATGTATCTATCATCTATATCTATTTATCTATCTAATCTATCTATCTATCTATCTATCTATCTATCTATCTATCTATCTATCTATCTATCTGTCTATACTTTTTCTCACTCTCAAACTTTAGCTTGCCCTTTTTTAATGTGTAGTAGTTCAGTCTGTCCTTGAGCAAAGGATTCTTTGGGATTCAACATCTGTTCTCCATAAACTAGACTGATTACAAAGTCAAATGTCTACTTTTGGGGAAGATTTTAATCATTTTAAAACCCAGCAAATATTTATTATGCTCTGTGAACTAAAACGTATTTGGAAGGCGCCAGAAACGAAAACACTAAGCATTTCTAAAAAATCCAAAATATTTTATTAAGGGTAAATAATATAATAAGCAAAAAGCAAACTCAATAATAAAAAAATTCATTAACTGTTCTTGACATTACAGCAGTGTATTAGACACTAGATGTTGGTATGTATGCAATTAAGAAGTAGTCACTATACTTAACAAATTTAGTAGTATTAGAATATAAGTGAGCAAGTAATACAGCCTCCACACTCTTGTCAAAGCCAACTTCCTCAACCTCGATCAATCTTGACCTGTTATAGTTGAAGAGTTTTAGTGGTTTCCCACAGATTTCAGGCTAAAGTGGAAGGTCATCAATATGTTATATAAATCTTTACCATCTAGACTCTAACTACATTTAATCCAGAACTTACTTATTTGTCATTTTCCATGAACAGCCTATGGCTTCTCCAAAAGAAAGAACGTACAGTTTCATGAACACATTATTTTGTATATGTCTCTCTGTTTTTGGTTCATTAAAAACAAAAATGACATATTTTAAGAAGATATGTAATACATACTTTAAGAAGCTACGTAATACAGGGAGTTAGATATATATAAACTAATGAATGTTTTGGGATAACAGCAGCCTTTCCTATAATTATAAAGTGCAGGGATTGCATGAAACTGCTACCAATTACTT
Source organism: Homo sapiens (assembly GCF_000001405.40). Lineage (NCBI taxonomy): Eukaryota > Metazoa > Chordata > Mammalia > Primates > Hominidae > Homo > Homo sapiens. The sequence goes on along the minus strand of NC_000004.12, from coordinate 29,648,895 downwards.
CAGTCACTCTAAGCAATAATCTAAGGGATTCTTGTGAGAATGTCTGAAGGTCACTGCAAAATTTTACATCTGCCTTCTGCCACAGCCCACATGCCTTCATATTTATTTATTTTGTATTGTTTATTTTATTTTATTATTTTATTTTTTGAGACAAGCTCTGGCTCTCTCACCCAAGCTGGAATTTAGTGGCATGATTACGGCTCACTGCACCCTCAACCTCCTGGGCTCAAGCCATCTTCCTGCCTTAGCCTCCCAAGTAGCTAGGACTACAGGCACATGCCACCACGCCCGGCTGATTTTTTTTTTTTTTTAATTTATTTGTAAAGACAAGGTCTCATAATGTTATGCAGACTGGCCAAATGCCTTTATTTTTTAAGGAGTAATAATTCTAGTCAGATTAGTCAAATTTTCCTACATGTCTCCTATTGAAGTTATCAAAATGAACCCCATTTGCCATAGAGTCTGGGAAATGTATTTTTCATGCTTTTAGGCCTTGAAAACAGAAAATAGTGTAGAAGAATTATAAATAGTGCTAAGATATGTAAACAGGCAACATTTTTATACATTTTATTTCCTTCGTTTAAAGACTCTTCATTGCTGCTTTTCACAATTTGCAATTAACTTCATATAATGCTCTTATACCTATTTAAGTTGTTCATTCATTTGTGGCCATTCCTTTGTGGACATAATCTTAAACAACCTATGACTTTATTCCCAGAAGTCAGCTATTTTCTCCCCTGTGCCACACACATGTATGCAACTTTATTATAGCAATAGGCTTTACATATATACACACTTGGTCCTAGAGTATGAATTTGTGTGGATCTGAATTCATCTTTGTATTAAGAAACTTGTCTACTCACTTGCCCAGAATAGTCTTCCTATCAATATTTTGGAAATAAACAAACTTGGATATAATTTAAAATTAAGTACTTAGTAAAATGCGTTATGAAATAGAGAGGATGTAATGATGATGCTAGGGAACATTAATGAAAACATCACAAAGGAAGAACATTTTTAAGCCAAACACTGAGGAATGGATGTGACTCTAACATGTACATCTGGGAGAGCCTGGGCTTCCAAGCAACAGTATCAGACATTGTCAGGTGAGAAGACAGCACAATAAATTAAAAATTGGGTGAAGACTCTACTGCCTTTCACAATCTTGAAAGAATTAGGTTATAAACTGAGTTTAAAATTTGAATGGACAGTTTGCCAAAGACAACCTCATGCCTCAATGGAGTTGTAGAGATAAAACATATCATCTTTCTGCCTTCAGTATATGCTCTGGACCTGGCATTAGGCACTATTCAGTAGAATTAGTATTTTAAGTTAATTGGTTTATTCATTGTCTTTTTTTTATTTGTACTACGCTTTATTCTAAAAAGAACTTTGGTAGTGCTCTTGGTTCATGAATTTTACTTTTATGTAATTGACACAAAATTGTCTATATTGCATTAGTCTTTTTCATAATTAAAGTGGATTCTACATTACTGTAGACCTATTGAACTCTTTAGAACGATAAAATGTATTCTTCCATGTAACCCATCTTCTATAGAGCTTATTGTTTTACATAAATGAATGGAATGCAAGCATTTAATTTATAGTCCAATTTGTCATAATACTTATTTTTGAGAGCTTCAATTATTAAGAATACTTAAGAATTTAATTATACTTCATCATGTTTCACTGTGCTATAATGACATTGACAGTTTTATTTTTGTTTTTTAAGGTAAATCTAAGCAAGAGCCACTTTTAAGATTTTCTAGCTCACAAAGAAGCAGAGTGAAAGCATGCTTAAGAAATATTAATGCAGAGAGATCACGGGTCTCTTCTTTTAAATTAATCATCAGTGAATGAATTTATCATAGTTAAAAGAGGTCAAGAGAATCAGAGGGAAATTTTAAAAAATCAAAGCTGAAATAAAAGCTGTTGATTTCTTCCTCTTGAAAAATTGCAGTTACGTTTTTGTCACAATATATTATTTTTAAGGGCAGAAATTAGCCATATTAGCATTAGTTGAATAATATATTATAAATTTGACATTGATAGGGATTTTTATGAATAAACAGATAGGCTAAATATATTAAATAGGGTTTCTTTTTTTCTTTCTTTCTTGTTATGCTTTCAGCCTTTCTTTCTTTACCTGAACCTACTGTATTCAATAAATATGTAAAATAGAGGCCGGGCATGGTGGCTCACGCCTGTAATCGCAGCGCTTTGGGAGACTGCGGCGGGTGGGTCACCAGATGTCATGAGTTTGAGACCATCCTGACCAACACAGTGAAACCCCGTCTCTACTAAAAATACAAAAATTAGCTGGGCATGGTGTTAGGCGCCTGTAATATCAGCTACTTGGGAAGCTGTGGCAGGAAAATCACTTGAACCTGGGAGACGGAGGTTGCAGTGAGCTGAGATCGAGCCATTGCAATCTGGCATGGGCGACAAGAGTGAAACCTTGTCTAAAAAAAAAAAAAAAGAGGTAAAGTGTATGAATATACTTTGAAGAAACAGAGTTTCTTCAGGGTAAATTTATTCTCTAAAGTACTTTGATCTCCTTGGAAATACAGCATGGTTACTACTAAGTATTAAAGCTACTCAGGACTTTTACTTTGGTGCTACATTTTCTCCCTAGGAAATCTCATCCTCCTCCGAGAGCTTCTTTTTTTTTTTTTTTTTTTTTTTTTTGAGACTGAGTTTCACTCTATTGCCCAGGCTGGAATGCAGTGGCGTGTTCTCGGCTCACTGCAACCTCCGCCTCCCGGGTTCAAGCAATTCCCCTTCCTCAGCCTCCTGAGTAGCTGGGATTACAGATGCGCACCACCATGCCAGGCTAATTTTTGTATTTTAGTACAGATGGGGTTTCACCATGTTGGCCAGGGTGGTCTCGAACTCCTGACCTCAGGTAATCCACCTGCCTCGGCTTCCCAAAGTGCTGGGATTACAGGCGTGAGCCACCTCGCCCAGCCCCTCCTCCCAGAGCTTCTATGAGTTTCTACATACAGCTCTCTCTGAACTGTATATTGCAGCCATAAACCTTTCTATAATACCAAAATCCAGCACTTTTATCCAACTATTTACAAGACATATTCATTCATTTCAACGTCTCAGAGAAACTTCAAATTTAACATCCATATATTTAAACAATTATCCTGATCTTCTAATCAAAAAAGGTATTTCAATATTGGAATATCAGTTAAATAGCACTATGTAACAAACCACTTTAAAGTTTGAGTCTCATGGGTCTATTGATCAGCTGGACAGTTCTGCCTACTTCCTCACCTCCCGCCTCCAAATTTGCAATAATTGCTGGGCATTCAGTTTAACCCTCCACCCGCATTTGTTCTCACCATTGACCAAATGGGCATTATTTTTTAAATGGATCAAAGCAATTAACCTCAACATAATCTCCAGAGTCCATTCTTTGACCATCTCCAATTTTTATTCTCTACTGCCAGAGATAATTTTAACATTTTAATACTATTTATGTCGCTACCCTACTTAAAGTCTTTTTAGTCATTCTAATACTGTCAGTATAAATTTAAAAATGCTTAAAGATAAACAGTCTTGATTATCCGAAAGGGTTGGGAATATTTCTTGCCACTCTTATGCTTTTACTGTTGATTTCAATAAATACAGTTTCACATGTTCTGCTTTCTCTGACAGTGGTGCTTTATGCTAATTCCACTTAATCTTTTTCTCCATGCTTATGCAATGTAGTAACTTTTCGAATTTTACCATAAACACAATTTTCACAATTTCTTTTTAACCATTATTTTCACATACTCATACCAGCTACAGAAGAATTAAATCCTCTTGAGACTGTTTCTGCACTCCCAAAATGTTCTATAGTTCTATTTTATTGTACTAATTACAATGTAATGTTGAGTTTCATGGCTGTACTGACTTCTAGTCCATTAATGCTCAATAAAGCTATCCGCAATGAAGGAAATATTCTATGATCTGAGTTGTCCAGTGCAGCAGTCACTAGCCATATGTCACTATTAAGTCATTGATGTAGTCATATAGCATGACCAAGAAAGTGAATTATTGGTCTTATTTTATTTTAATTTGTTTAATTTTAAATCGCCACAATAGCTAGTGGTCTAAGGTATGGCAAACTGTAGATTACATTTTTTTTTGAGGGTAGAATTAAAATAAGATTTTAATGCTGTATTGCCACAATCTATCAGAGCACCTAGTTAATATTTATTGAATGTACAGATGTGTAGCCCTCCCTTATGCCCTTAAACTTCTGAAAGGGCATGCCTATACAGTCTATGCTTAGAAAGAGTAAGGCCTTTTCTGCAGCTTGTTAGGAAGACATCTATAAATAATTCAAGCAGACTTTCTCATCAAGCAGAATCTGTATCATTTGGATCCTCAAATATTTCGACTTCCCTCTCCTTTTCTATGTACTTTATACAGCCTTCTACCCCATACCCCACTCTACCTTGAATCATTGATCTGTATTGTTCATAACTAGATTGTCAGAGCTGGTAACATCTTTTTCTTGTCTACATCTTGGAGAGTTCTTTCGAATCCTTACAGATATTATTGGTACTATTGACAGTGTTTGTAGCATTAAGGTATTTTATGCTAAAACCAGGCTCTTTCAGAAATTAAGGGCATACAGCAGGCATTAAATGAAAAACAAAGACAAAGGATAGATATTCATCCTGACTTTTTCACATTGTGTATCATAGCATCATGGAACATTCGAATTCAGAATGGTATAAAGATTGATATTTTATTAGTAGCATTAAGTTACTTTTTCAAACCGAATATATATGTAGCCCTTAAATATGTAATAGATATGAACAGAGCTAGTCAGATAGGTATTGGGGGGTCTCTAGTGACCTGATCATTTCCACCATCACCCAAATAAACCATGTGAATTCAAAACTTTGGGTTCTGTGGAGCACGATCTGAAAACACTAATCGAAGTAACCTCCCATATTTTATAAGTTAAAAATAGAGGTAAGAGATCAAAGGATTTGCCCAAATCAGCATTTTAATACCAGATTTAAGATTAGCTGACTTCCAATTCTTGTGATCCCTATATATTCTCCTTTGTTTGACATGATTTATTTTCTTTCATGTCTAATACTTTTTATGTTAAAAATAGCTTACCTATGTCCATTTTTCTTTATAAAATTTCCAGGAAGATAAAGAAATATTTGATTTAGTGCTTCCATATTTGAACTTTTTAAATAAAAGTAAGTTTATTTTATTTTTGTAGGTTGGAAGTTTCATTCTAGTTACTTTTCTTTCTAATCATTATATTATTAATATTTTTAAACATTTTACTTATTATATTTGCTTGGTGACTGGTATTTTATATGCATTTTTACCCACCCCAAATGTATACTTTGCGTAAGTCAGTCCATTTTTCTCTTGATGTCTGTGGATCCCTGCCTTCTGAAAGAGACTCAGGTTCATGGGTATTAATCAATAAATAAAAATTACATGAGATTGAATTGAAAACATGTTCTTAGATGTAAGGACATGAACAAAAATTAAGACTTGGTTTATAAATGATGACAGGAAAGGGATGGAAAAATAACCTCTAGTTTGCAAAATAAAGGGATGGTAGACAGCCAGTTTTCATGACTACTTTAAAATTGTCAAGACTGGTAGATTTATCTTTTGTTCAAAAATAATTAATAAATTAGAAGAGCTAAAGTTATAGTCATTCTTTGAGCCATGACATGTCTCCTGTAAGAGCATTCTGAGCAATGAAAAATAGAAAACTATATTATTTACTAATCTAAAGAGAGAAAGGGAAATAGATATTTTTATTGAACAGGAAGGGAGAGATGAATTTTACATTAAGAGTATATTCTAAAGACTAGTTAGCAGACACAATTTTATTGTTTTGTATCTCTCAAGGCCTTGAGTGTGACAGTAAAGTATAGAATCAAAAGAAAGATCAAGGCTGGGTGCAGTGGCTCACACCTGTAATCCCAGCACTTTGGGAGGCCAAGGCGGGCAGATCACGAGGTCACGAGATCAAGACCATCCTTGCCAACATGGTGAAACCCCGTCTCTACTAAAAATACAAAAATTAGCTGGGCATAGTGGCATGCACCTGTAGTCCCAGCTACTCGGGAGACTGAGGCAGGAGAATTGCTTGAACCCAGGAGGCAGAGGTTGCAGTAGACCCGAGATCGTTCCATTGCACTCCAGCCTGGAGACAGAGTGAGACTCTGTCTCAAAAACAAAAAACAAAAAACAAAAAACAAAAAAAAAACAAAAACAAAAAAACAAATATCGAGATTCCAATTGTTGTTCGAATGGACTGGATATGAAGCATACAGAACAAAGTAAATTAGTAATTACAGACTATGTATATTATTATAAAAAATAAAACAAATAATCATAGTAGTACATCTCTTATAACTAAGAGGAGAGAATACTTTATTTTCGTTCTTTATCTTATGCTATAGGGACCTCATGAATCCCTATCTAGTACACAAAAAGCCTCACTTTATACTAGCTGAAGGTTTGTGAACAATGCTACCAAATCTGGCAATAGTTTTCTTCCCCTTTTATTTTAATTTAGACTTTCTCATCTTGTTTCAGAACAAAATAGTATCAGATGAAATTTTTCAATTACACTGCTCAAATCATACTTCCAGAAACATGGAGGAGTAAAACTGGAATGAAATTTACGATGCTTAAAGGCCATTGTTAGTACATTTGAGAACTCTAACGTACATACTAGGAAATATGGAACTTCTGGAAGCATGTATGAGGGAAATAAAATTTTCATCTGTGCATAGATCAGTCATTTTGTAAGGCAATGGAGGTAAGCTTTCACCCTCATCAATTCTGTTTATTCAAGGAATTACATATAAGCATATTTATTGATTTCTCCCCAAGATTATTTTGAATGTTAGAAATTCACTATCCACAATCAATAGAAGAGTAACTGATTACTCTGAAATATACAACATTCTACATTTCAAATCTGTGTAAACATTTGTGGCTCACAGCTTTAGTAACATTATAATTATCAAATTTATCAAAAATTTGAGGATATAATGCTTTCATTGTTTTAGTATTTTTTATGATATATAAACATATATCCACAGATATATGTTTATAAACACAGATCCAACTTACCTAAAACAATGTGTAGGCCAGTCTCAGTGGCTCACACCTGTAATCCCAGCTCTCTGTGGGTCTGAGATGGGCAGATTACTTGAGTTCAAGTGTGCAAGACAAGCCTGGGCAAAATGGCAAGACCCCATCTCTACCAAAAATACAAAAATTAGCCAGGCGTGGTGGCGCATACCTGCTGTAGTCCCAGCTACTTGGGAGGCTGAGTTGGGGAGGACCGACTGAGTTTAGGAGGTTGAGCCTGCAGTGAGTAATGATTGTGCCACTGCACTGCAGCCTGGTGACAGAGCAAGACCCTTCCTCAAAAGAAAAAAAAAAAAAGACAAAAGAAAAAGAAAGAAAGAAAGAAGAAAGTAATTTGACAGCAACATTATCCCATAAAAGTAACACCTTGACTTACCAAGACACTCAAAGGGACTTAGACCCATTGTCAATAAGTCCTCTAATTATCCCTCTGTTCCCAATTACAGTAAACCCACCAACTTTCTCATTTTATGCTTGTACTCATTCCTGAATGTGGCTCATTAATTATAAGTGCCTAGGTGCTTCTCTCTTATGCATACTTCCAGCAGCAGTGGTGTTTAAAAATCAACCTCCAGTAGGAGTAATTCTGAATTCAACATCTCCTGAAAACCAAAAGTTAGTAAAGCACATGTTTCCTTTACTCATTCATTGTCACGAATATAGTCACGGTGTATACAGTTTCCTCCCAAATTTCCAGTCACATATACAAGCTTCTGATATCAGCTGTTATAAAATAATGGAACCAAGTTACATATATTAACATTTTTGCTACTTTGATCATCCCATTAGGCTTAAAATATTTATTGATACAACCAATTGCATAACATTGCTTTCCATTAGGGAGTATTCTCACAATTTGTTGGATTATTTAAAAAAAAAAACAATAAAACTTGCTTGCAGAAAGCATTTATTTTCATCGGTAGTAGATCTACTTATCTATATCCCCCACACTCTGAGGGATGACTCTTCCAGCAACCAAAGAAAAATGAGAATGATAATTTTCTGTTTTCTTCAGAGTATGTTTAGATGGCAGGAAATAAGAATGAGAATATGAATATGTGTGGGTTTGTGGGTGGTGAGCAAGTATTTGCTTATTAAGTAAACCAACAATGCATGACAAAAAATTCTCAAAGATTAGAAGAAATGCATTTGAGAAATCTGTGCTATGCTCAGGAGTTGTTTTATGATATTGTATTCACTTTATCTCATTTGTAGAATGAAGAAAAACTTTGATTCAGCCACTTTTCAATGGTTCATACAAACATTATTCATTTCATTGGAGTAGATAATAATTATCATTAGTCCTTCATAGTTAAGGTAAAACATAATTTCTTCCGTTGTTGAAAAAAAGGTAAGGTGACTTTGTTGTTGTAACAAAAGTGTCAGCTTTTAAAATATAATGCATTCTTCAAAGACATTTCCTAGTTCTGTCTTCTGAGACTGTTTCCTCCAGCACAAAAATCTGTCTCTCAAAACAAGTTAGTAAACACGGAGGCATTAATAGATTAAAATAAGAAAGATAAATTTTCAACAAAAATTATTTGTAAGTATAATTTATTTGTTTAACAGGATGAAAAATGTCTCTGATAACTGCAGAATGTAACCTAGTGGTTTGAATAATGTGTTATGTTAATAAGAATGTGGACTTTATCGTTTTATAAGTAAATACTATATTCATAAAGTATATACTTTATTTTAAGAAAGTAATTAAAATATCTGCATTCAATAAAAAAAAAACTTTTTTTATAAGTGCAAATGAGTAATGTTATGGAAACTTCCCTCTTAAAATCAACTGAACTTGAATTAGATTGTCTGGCATTATAATATTTTAAGTTTATAAAATGATCCATGAAAATGCGAGTGTCTTTGAACAACATGAGAAGGCACATGTTTGAATAGCTGCACAGTATCATCTTCATGACCAACATGGGTTGACTTAAATACTTTCCTTAATAAATTTGCATACCATCTCAAATTATCTACTTCTAATTCATTTATGCCATGTTGTTATAGCAGACGTATAGGAAACAAAAAAGTATATGTGTATATATATTTCATGACAATATATATAAACTGCAATCATATTTTTAACATAGTAATTTTTTCAATGATTTATTTTAAAGAAATTCATCATGTAGGGAATGCAAATATACCATATTTAATATCCAATTTTAGTTTTCTCTTGAACATGTTTTATTCACAATTTCTGTTAACTCAAAACCTAAGTCAACAACCTAGAACCCTCTAATAATCCTTTAGTTATAACAAAGATGTGCTTAAAGAATATTTGAATAAATCTTAAATACGAAGAGATGATTCTCAGTTAATAAATGAAAATAATATGCTGTTTTTCAGTAGTATGGAATTGCCAGACAGAAACAAAATAGTCAAATAGTTATTTGGGTTTAAAAATAATAAGGCTTTAACATTATTTTAATCAGCAAGTATTCACTGACCACTTACTTAAAACTAGGCAAGTACAATCTTAGAAATCATGGATTATTATCATACAATTAATTTATTCATATTGCCTGAGAAAATATATATTTGGAAAAGGTAAGATATTTGTTTTATGGCTAATATTAAGCTAGATTGTATCACTCTAAGCATATTCACCTAATCTTTGCTGATTTAATAAGTAGATTCATGCTTTTAGCCTCATAAACTTTGGATTTAGTGTATGTAATATGGATATACTTTATAAATAAGGCAAAGCATGAATTTCCACGTTAACCAAATTGACCTCATACCTGTTAAAATGAGGACATCAGATGGGGCTTTATTTGAAAAGTTAATTTGTGGCCACATTTGGCTGTAAGGGTGGTAAGCCAAAAGGAATTGCTGAGACTAAAACATGTAAAAGGACATCCCTTTGGCAAAGCTTCCATCAGCCTACTGTGATCTTCAGTCTTCAAAGTGGTCACCTAATCAGATAGCAACGACAGAGTCCATTTGTTGCCTAGGTGAAATATGCTTGCAAATCTGCATTTATGGTGTATAGAAAAATCCTCAGAGAGCAAATTACCCTGGTTCTGAAACCCTTGGATGTCACAGTAATTGGTGCTATCTCCTATTCGTGATGAAAGTAGCACCTTCTGGCAGAAAGCAAACAGGGCATCCGTCATCTTGTTTTTTCAAACAAGTTTATCATCATTAGTTGTATTACTAAAGAATATTAAAGCTAATATTTGGGAAAAATTTCAATGGGTTTATTTCTCTTGGCGAAGTCAAAATCCTATAGAGAATGTTATATCCTATTTACGTAATCATCAAGCAGTATTTGTAACTGAATATATTTTACTCTTACTTCTTCTTGTAAATTTCTATGATTGTTATACCTTTACACATTTGAAATTTGTAAACTGATAGGAACTGTTGTCACTACAAGCTTTTATGTATGTCAACGTGTAACTATGCGATCTGTAAAACCGAAGTAAATGTCTATACTTATATTTTCATTTTCCTCTTTTCAAAGATCAGGTTAAAGCAGGTTAATGACAAATTTTTAAATAGTCAGGACTAGAAGGAAAACGTGTGCATATATCACATATGTCTCCATTCCTTACTGTCATATTTGAGCATACTAATACAAATCGTTGAAATATAAAAATACTTCAAATTTTTTTGTAATAATGAATGTATAATATCACATTTATGATGTTTCAAATTACCCTCAGAAGAGTCATTACTTTCTATTCATCTGGCACCTTAGTTCTAAGGATTCTTACTGAGTTCTGAAAATAATATCTAAAGTTGTTCTCACTAAGTAAAATCTCAATGATTTTAAAACAACTTATTATAATAGCTAGAGATTAAAGAAATTGCTTTTTAAATATATATGATGAAAAATGAACTTATTGAAAAGAAAATAATTAAAAAACATGTTTCCAAAGATGAATGGGGAAAAGTCACACTAAAGTGTGGGAACGCCACATTAAGTGACTTTTCTCAGTTATTTAAAACTTTCAAGTTGTTGCTTACCATTATAAAGAGATTACTAATTTGAATAAGTGGCAGATCTAAAGAGAGCTCTGTATGAATTTAAAATCTGGAATTTAAAGATGAAAGCTCTCACCTATCACATGACCAGAATATAGGGGTAAAATCTGAGACAGATTAACACCATCGATGTATTAGAAAGCTGTGCAGTGTTGTAGCCATTTTAACAGCAGTCATTACCAACAATGATATAAGCAGAGAGGAAATATAGTGCAAATCCAGAATGATGACTTTAATAACAGATCTTAGAGAGCATATATGTGCATTTCAAAACATAAACATACAACAATGGCCATAATTAAACTAGGAAAATATTCTACATCATCAAAATGATGATCATCATTAATATTTACTGATTGTTCTAATGCTGTCAATGGATGTCCCAAAAAATATACAGGCATTATCCCATCTTTTTCTCATGGAGGAACCAATAAAACAGGTGACATTATTACACAGATGGTTCTGAATTTACCATGGTCCAACTTACGATTTTTCCAATCTTACAATGGTATGTTAAGTGATATGCATTCAGTAGAAAGCTGTGTGATAGTCTCTCCAGATGCTGGACAGGGGCAGAGCCGCAGCTCCCAGTCAGCCACTCAATCATGTGGGTAAACAAGAGATGCTCTGCAGTGTGCTGTGTTGTTAGGTGATTTTGCCCAACTGTAGGCTAATGTAAGTAGGTGAGATTAAGCTATAGTATTTGGTAGATTCAGTGTCTTAAATACAACTTCAGTAGGACATTTTCGACTTGTGGTGATTTCATCAGGACTGAACACCATTGTAAATCCAAGAACATATGTATTATTATCCACAATTTTACTTGTAATATAAAGCTTCCTTCGTTTATATTTTCTTGTTAAATGACTGTATGATGGGAGAGTTACTATACATACATTGCAACTACAGCTTTGAAGCAAATAAGAATTCACAAACGTAGTAAGTAGAAATAATGTATTCACACAACCGATTTACTGTTGCTAATCCTGTTTTGTCCAGATTCTTGCTAACTAAATGAAACATATAGAAAACTCATTTTTAAAACTATGGATACTTCTTTTTATCTTTCACCAGAGGACATGATTTTCAACTGGCAATAAAATTAGACATAAAAATCATTGCAAGAAAGAATTAGGGCAAGCCCTAAGTGATATTACTAAGAAGAAGGCAATTGTCTCTAATATACTTTTCTTTCCTTTAAGTGTTCTTTCTTTGTATTTCTCATAATGTAATTCAATTCACAGTGCCTGGGGACTTTTGCTTCATTACTCTTCCTGAACCACCCTTTTGAGGATTGCTAATATGTCGGTGTATTAGGCTTCTATTGCTATGTAAATTATTATAAATGCAGCATCTTAAAATAATGCACATTATTTATGTTGCAGTTTCCATTTGACAGGAGTTTGGGTACAGCTTGACAGGATCCCCGCTTAGGTTTTATATGTTGAAATCACAGTGTTAGTAGGCTGCATTCTCATTTTGAGCTTGATATCCTTTCTCAAGTGCATTCATATTCTTGGAAAAATTTAATTCCTGTGGTTGATGGACTCATATCCCTGCTTGCTAGCTGGCTGCTGGCTTAGGGCCTTTCTTGTATCCTAAAGCCTGCTGTTAGGTTCTACCCACATGAAGATTTAGAACATGGCAGCTTACTTACTCATAGCCAGCAAGAGAATCTTTCTTCAATCCACTAAAACTGAATTCTATATAACATAAACAGGAGAGTGACTACCCAATCACCTTTTGCATATTTCCTAACCTAATCTAGGGAGCAATTCTCCCATCATATTCACAAGTCTCATTAAAGGGAATAGAATTATTGGACCATCTATATCATTGGGCAGAATTTGAGGGCCATCAAATAATTCTGTGTACCATGCTATGCTATCACTATCACAATTAGTATTGCATTGCCACATCACCTATTCTTAGAAACCTTATTGCCAAGAGAATTATTAACACATTTTAAAAGATTAACATAATGGGCCATATCAGAAGAGTGAATTAGAGGAAGACATTTAACAAAGACTTTCAAGTAGCAAAATGACTTGTATAATAAAATCTAAGAAGATAGATTTTTATAACAACCTAAGATTCTTTGGTTGTGGTGAGTAGAGTTTTTAAAAATGTATGATTTTATTCACTGTCTTCATGTTTTCATCATTTTTATCATTTACTTCATATTGACAAATTGCTACTAATATTTTAGAATTATTATTTTTGTATAATTTTAGGGGTTACAAGTGCAATATTGTTACATGAATATATTGTTTAATGGTGAAGTCTGTGTTTTTAATGTATTTATCACTCGAATAATCTAAATTGTACTCATTAAGAATTTTTTTAAATCATTCATCCCTTTTCCACCCTACCCTCATCCTTCTGGGTCTCCAGTGTCTATCATTCTACATCTCTGTCCATGTGCCTGCTTTATTTAGCTTTATTTAATTATAAGTGATAATATGCAGTGCTTGACTTTCTGTTTCTGAGTTGTTTCAGTTAAGATACTGACCGTTAATGCCATCCCTATTGCTGCAAAAAACATGATTTTATTTTATTTTTTATAGCTGAATAGTATCTCATGGTGTTTGCATATCACATTTTCTTTATTCAATCACATGTTGATGGATACTTAGGTTGATTCCGTATCTTTGCTATAGTAAATAATGCTGTGATAAACATAAAAACTTAGGTATCTTTTTGGTATAATAATTCCTCTTCCTTCAGACAGATACCCAGTAATATTATTTCTGGATCAAATGGAAATTCCATTTTTAGTTATTTGAGAAATATCTATACAGTTTTTGGTAGACGTTGCACTAATTTACATTTCCATTAACAAAGGTGTAAGTATTCCCTTTTCTCCACATTTTCACCAACATCCACTATGTTTTGTCTTTTTAATAATAGTCTTTATGACTGCTATAAGATGGTATCTCATTATTTTCGTTTGCATATCTTTGACAATTACTGATGTTGAACATTTTTTTCATATGCTTATTGGTCATTTATATGTTTTCTTTTTTAAAAAAATGTCTTCTACTATAAAGATACATGCATGAGTATGCTCATTGCAGCACTATTCACAATAGCAAAGACATGGAATCAACCCAAATGCCCATCGATGATAGACTGGATAAAGAAAATGTGGTACATATACACCATGGAATACTACACAGCCATAAAAAGGAATGAGATTATGTCCTTTGCAGGGACATGGATGAAGCTGGAAGCCATTATCCTCGACAAACTAATGCAGAAACAGAGAACCGAACACCACATGTTCTCAATTATAAGTGGAAGCTGAACAATGAGAACACATGGACACAGGGACACAGGGAGGGAAACAACACACACTGGGGTCTGTCTTAGGAGGGTGTAGGGGAGAGCATTTGGGAAAAGAGCTAATGTATGCTGGGCTTAATACCCAGATGATGGGTTGACAAGTGCGAAAAAACACCATGGCACATGTTTATCTATGCAACAAAACTGCACATCCTGCACGTACCCCATAACTTAAAAAAATAATAATTTAAAAAATATCTATTCATGTCCTTTGCCCACTTTTTTTTTTTTTTTTTTTTTTGAGACGGAGTCTCGCTCTGTCGTCCAGGCGAAAGTGCAGTGGCGCGATCTCGCTCACTGCAAGCTCTGCCTCCCGGGTTCACGCCATTCTCCTGCCTCAGCCTCCCGAGTAGCTGGGACTACAGGCGCCTGCCACCACGCCCGGCTCATTTTTTTTTTTTTTTTTTTTTTCAGTGGAGACGGGGTTTCACCGTGTTAGTCAGGATGGTCTTCATCTCCTGATCTTGTGATCCACCCGCCTCGGCCTCCCAAAGTGCTGGGATTACAGGCGTGAGCCACCATGCCCGGCCCCTTTGCCCACTTTTTATTTGGAGTTAAGATAGACACTCAATACATTGTAAAAAAAAATATAGAGAGAAAGCTATTATTATGAAGCAGGAAAAACAAAACAATCAAAAGCCAAAATTAGCTAACATCTAAGGTGAAGTTTACGAAATAAGTTTTAAAATCTTATGTTAAGTTGTATCAGTTGGCCACCTTTGCACCAAAAAAATATTCTCAATACCATATTCTGACTTTTGAAGCCATACTTGTCATTGAAAAAAGAGGTGAAGCTACATTTGAGTGTCGGGCTAGCCGACTTAATGACTATCCAGTTAGATGGCCTTGAGACAGTTCAAAGCATAAATTTCTTATCTTATTCAAGCCAAAAAAGATACCTTTCACTAAATAAAATATGAGAAGAGTTCAATCCAATATGTTTATTCAGAACCCCAAGATGGAAAAAATGTTAGTGGAGAATACCATTGCTGGCTAAGGTAACACTGATCCTCATAATCAATTAGAAAGCTTTATAGCTGACCCTACTGGCAATTGCCTGATATTTGAAAGAAATATATTTTTCCTTAGGTAAATATTATATATCCACAAAAAAAAACTTTATTGGAAGGTCTCTGCAATTTATCCCTAAAGCTCTTCTATCTCAAAAAAATGAGTCTGAATGTGTTTCCCAGTACCAGGATCCACTGCATTTCCAAAGATGCTCAAACCTATACCTCTGTCATTTCTCCACTGTTTAAATAATTATCTATTGAGTAATCACCATCCACAAACAACTTTTTAAAAGAAAAATTGTGTTATCCATAATATGAGTAATTGAAATTTTAGGACGCATCAAAATTTTCAATTTCTAGATTTCCCTTATCTTGGAATGTTTTCTTAGCATAAAATCCCCAGATATGTACTACAGTGTCAAATAATATCAGCCTCATGCCCAATGTTGCATTTTACTTTTAATGAATGTCTCCAAAAGTTTGATTAACACCAGCAATATATGCTTCTTGAAATCCTATTAATATTGGGTATTTTTAAAGTTCCTAGCTTGATTTGTATTGTAACAGCAATAAAATATAGAAAAAAAATACAAATAGCAAAAGCATATGACATTTGAATGCCAAGGTATGCCCCCAATATAGAGTGGGAGAAACAAATATGACACTAGTATGTATGTATATGTACCCTTTTGATTGTAAGCACAATAGTACATCCTAGTTGAGAGAAGAAATGGATAAATTCTTTAAAGGTGCTATAGAGAGCATCATTATATTTTATACTAGTCTGCACTTATTGCTCTGTACCTAGTATACTGTATTTAGTTTGGGGCATGACATTTCATCAAGACCTTTATTCTTCAGGGTGTTCTCAGTAGCAAACAGAGAAGAGGCTGAGGAGACTCACATTGTGGAATTACAGAAAAATTTATAGTACTGGGAATATATAACTTAGACACTGAAGACTCAGAGGACGTGATAATTGACTGTCAATATTTGAAGGGCTGTAGTGTGGAAGATGGAAGGGACTTGTTCTATATTACCCCAGGGAGCAGAAGGAAACACTAGAAGGAACACTATAGGCAGAAAGCTATGATACAAGAATAATGAGGGCGTTTCTATTGATTAGAGCTAGCTACCAAAAAAATATGCTTTCCTGGAAAAGGATATATTTTTTTGCCCTTGAAAACTCTCAAACATTTCTTTACATTTTCATCCAGTAAACACTGCATCAGATGTCTACTCTGTAAGACTATTAGTAAATGACTGTTAGTAAATTAGGTGGTTGACTAGACACAATGACTTAAAATTTCTACGGGACTTATAATTTGTAATGTTACAAAATATCTTCAAATACATGAAGAATCTATTAGAAAAGATAGATGAGAATGTATGGCTTCAGACTGCAGGACAAAAGTAAGGTGTAGGTTTGTGTTTGTTTCTGCTTAACTCCTTTCTTGGATTTTGACTATTACCAAATGGAATCGACAATTTTAAAAGATAGGTAATTAAGTTTCTTAAAATATTCAAAAGGTAGTGACTTCCCCATCATTGGAAATGTTCCATGTGGATGACCACTGACCAGACGTGTATTACAAATGTTTATACATCAAATAATAGACAAAATAAATGTTCTCTGTATTTCTCAACATCAGAATCTATGACTTACTAGAATCTAAGCTCTCTGTGAGTGGGGAATTTGTGTTCATTGCAATAACCCCAGAAACTTGTGCCTTATAGCACAAGTTATGGAAAGGGTACCAGATCTCACATTTGCCCTTCCTTAGATTTGTTTAGCTATGTTTCTTTTTTTCCCTTTTTTCTTTATGTTTGATGTTGCTGATGACCTTTTCAGTGTATCTCTTACTAGTATTCACATCCCTAGATGCCACAAAGAAAAGTTCCAATCTTTGTTGGAAGATGTCTCCTTGATGTTCATCAACTTATTTGTGAGGGGGCCATATCACAATGCTCCTCCTCCTCTTGCCAGGCCTAGTTGCACTATTGTGGGGATGTTGCTTTATGGCAGTGCCAGATGGTGCCTTACCACATTACTCAGGACTTCTCTATTTCTCTACTGTGCACAACTCAGGAGCAGCCCTCTCAGTGCATATCAATGCACATGCATTGATCACTGATAATATTTTGTGGGCCGGGCACAGTGGCTCGTGCCTATAATCCCAGCACTTTGGGAGGCCAAGGTGGGTGGATCACCTAAGGTCAGGAGTTAAAGGCCAGCCTGGCCAACATGGTGAAACCCCATCTCTACTAAATAATAAAAAATTAGCTGGGCATGGTGGTGGGCGCCTGTAATCCCAGCTACCTGGGAGGCTGAGGCAGGAAGAATTGCTTGAACCTGGGAGACAGAGGTTCCAGTGAGCTGACATTGCATCACTGCACTCCAGCCTCGGCTACAGAGCGAGACTCTGTCTCAAAAATAATAATAATAATAATAATAATAATTGTGGCAGAGTGCTAGTTGTTTCCCAGTGTTCATTCCCTTTTTCTAGAATAATAAGTGCCAGATGTTTAACTAAGGAAATGGTGACCTAGAATAAAGACTACATTTTAAACCCCCCAGCAGGAGAGTTTAGCCAGTTAAATATGACCAAATATTTGTAAGTGGAAAAGTTGTGTACATATTTCTGGAAGACTCTGGAGGTGATGGGTGTGCTTCAAATTCTCCTTCTTGAACCACAAGGTCCTCTGCTATAACTACAAAGTGAAATACATGTGTTAAAGATGGTAAATTAAGATAATAAAAGGATCTTGAGTTCCTGCAGGGAATGGAGGAATTACGATAGACTTGAATTCACTATGTTTACATAGAAGCAAGTGAAGTTTGTCTTACTTAAGCTACTCTTATATTTACATTTCTTTCACTCAGAGCCAAACCTAACACTAAAACATACTTAATAATTTAAGAAGAATGTTTCACAAATCTGCCATGTGAACCTCAAAACAAGTCTACAAGTTAGATAAACTGTCTGATAGACACAGTGATTTTTAACTTCCAGATTCAACTTTTTTTTGATAAAGAATTCATAGTCATGATGTAGGATGCAGATCTGTAGGCTTGTGATGTAGGGCTTATATATATATACACATGCACATACACACACACACACACACATATGTATATATATATATTTTTTTTCTGAAATACAATGCTTCTCCCTAGTGTTATTATCTCATCAATTGAGGCATAGCCCACATACATCCATACTATTCGGAAAAGCTCCCTTGTTTTAGGGGTACATCTTCAGAAGGAGATAGACGTGCTGCTTACAACTTTATACCTTTAACTCACTGGTTTTTGTTTTGTTTTGTTTTGTTTTGTTTTGTTTTTGAGACGGAGTCTCGCTCTGTTGCCCAGGCTGGAGTGCAGTGGTGCAATCTTGGCTCACTGCAAGCTCCACCTCCCGGGTTCATGCCATTCTTCTGCCTCAGCCTCCGGAGTAGGTGGGACTACAGGCGCCCGCCACCATACCCGGTTAATTTTTTGTATTTTTAGTACAGACGGGGTTTCACCGTGTTAGCCAGGGTGGTCCTGATCTTCTGACCTTGTGATCCACCCGCCTCGGCCTCCCAAAGTGCTGGGATTACAGGTGTGAGCCACCGCGCTCTGCCTAACTCACTGTTCTCAAAACCCTTGCTCAGAAGCACACACTTATTTGATTGACTGCTTTTCTTGGGATGAATGATCTGCTGCCATAATTTGCATAACTCCATATAAATACAAAAATGTTGAGATAGGGTATGTTATGGTTCTAGTGGCTATATCTAGGAATAGCACATTTGGAACTGATTCTTTAAAGATGTCAGCCATACAAAGAAAAGATTGCAATCCAGTCACGTCCTGGGGCAGGCTATATGCTGACTACAGGTGGAAGTATACAGCTATCGACTGAACTTGAGAGTTTCAATTTATAGGAGTGTAAGAAATATTATATCTAGTCTCTGTGTATTTTTTCCATTAGGAATGTGAGATATAGTCCAAATGATATCAATTACTTTGTGTTTCAGATGATATTACTTTTTGCTATTATACTTAAATATTTCTTAGTTAAGTCTAACTATAGTATCACCATATATTTACCATTGAAGGTACAATCCCAATAGTATCATATTAATTTCATTGCTCACCCCAAAATTCAGAATTGTATCAAAGTACATTTTACTAACCATACTGTTGTCAACACTGACTGAAAGAGGCTGATTATTTTATATGACCTCTTGTGTTTAGTTTGTTTTGGAAAATTGTTTTGTTTTCCATCCTGCATTGATATCAATACCTATTCAATCAATGATGAAAACCAAATGCTGTTTTCATTGCCTGTTGATTACCATCACTATTTTCCCCAAGAAGGGATCGAATGGCTCTCATAATCCCTTTTCTAGTTATAGAAATTTAGGCTGAATTATGTGCTATTGTCTCCTAAATACAGCACTCTGCTCTGAGTCTGCATTATTAATATACTTAAAAATAAGAATAATATTGTTTAAGTAAATTGTATCAAGTTTTTTCTCCATTCAAAAGTTTTAAAACCCTGCATTCTGTTTATAGTTTATGAGTGGTTTCCTTTAAAAGGTTACAGTATTTTATTTGAGGCTATACTTTATTATTTCTATGCAGATCTAAACAGTAGCTCTGTTTCTCTCTCTATGTATATTGTAACTAATAGAAAGATATAGAGTTGTAATATCAACTTATTAAGCAACTTCTTGTGTTATTTTCTATTGTTATTTCTCTGTGTTCTGAGCATAAACCCCAAAATACAAATATAAATATTTGTATTTTGAATCTTTAAAAGCCAAGAACATATGAGTGCATGAGTCCTTTTGGTAGAATGATTTATTTTTTGGGGGTATATAATTAGTAATAGGATTGTTGGGTTGAATGGTAGTTCAACTCTTAGTTCTTTGAGGAATCTCCAAACTGCTCTCCACAGAGGCTAAGCCAACTTACACTCCCACCAACGGTGTATCGGTGTTGCATTTTCTCTGCAGCCTCACCAGTATCTGTTATTTTTGTGTGTGACTTCTTAACAAAAGGCATTCTGACTGATGTGAGATGGTATCTCATTGTGGTTTTGATTTGCACTTCTCTGATGATTAGTGATGATGAGCTTTTTAAAAATATGTTTGTTGGCCCCTTGTATGTCTTCTATTGAGAAGTGATCATGTCCATTGCTCACTTTTTAATGGGGGCTATTGCCTTTTTGCTTATTAGTTTATTTAAGTTCTTGTAGATACTGGATATTAGACCTTTGTTGAATGCGAAGTTTGTGAAATTTTCTCCAACCCATAGGTGCACTGCAACACTATTCACAATAGCTAAACCTTGAAATCAACCTAGGTGCCTATCACTGGTTGATTGGATTTTAAAAAGTGGGACATATACACTGTAGAATATTATGCAGCCATAAAAAGGAAGGAAGTCATATCTTTTGGAGCAATATGGATGCAGCTGGAGGCCATTATTTTAAGTGAGCTAATCCAGAAACAGAAAATCAAATACTGCATACCCTCAGTGATATGTGAGAATGAAACATTGGATATACATGGACATAAAGATGGGAAAAGTAGACATTGGGGACTACTGGAGGGAGGAGAGAATGAGGGGTAAAAGGATTGAAAAAATATTCACTGGGTACTATACTCACTATATGGGTGATGAGTTCAATTATACCCTAAATCTCGGCATCACACGATATACCTTTGTAATAATCTTTCATATATATACCCCGTAATTCTAAAACAAAATTTGAAAAAAGTAAAAAATTAAAAGCCAAGAACAGATGTTTTTCAAGATCCATCTGCCAATTACATAAGTGATCACATACCACATAAAAAATGTCAATACTTTGCAAAAATTGAAATTATATGGCGTGTATTCTCAGAATAAACAGAAATAACAATAGAAAATAATACAAGAATTGCTTGATAATTTGAGCACTCCGGAATTAGACTCCAACTACTAAACATTATGTCAAAGAGGAAATCAAAATTGAGGTTAGAGTTCTTTATAGAAAGGTAGGTCCATGTGCACACTATATAAACAATTCATGGCATATAACCAAAGAGTGCTGAGGAGAAAATTGATGGGCTATATGTTTACAATAGAAGGAAATAGATTCTAAAATTATATACTAAAAAAGAATATAACAGTTACATATATATCAGTATTCATGTTTTATATAAATATATACATGCTTCTATGCAAACTTTATGCCAATTCTTTTGAAACTATAAATTAATGAATTTCTACGTTCCCAAAAAATTGAAGAAGTATTAAAAATAAATTTGAAAAAAATTTATCAAATATTGAAACACAATAGAAACTAGAAAAGAAGTACAAACCAACTATGAATAGCAGATATTAAAAACATATGTATTTCATATATGTATATATCAAATAGATAGAACATATGTTTCTAAAATATGTGTATATGCTAAAATAAATATGCAAGAATATAATATTTACATACTATTTAATAATTATATTTAGTCATTTGTATTTTAACATTCACAAGTATCAACCTTTTCTACAGAGCATGTAGAATGTATAATTAAATGAATAACTTTTAAATATATTGAAAAGGGCTTCATCCAATGATAGCGTGAGGAACAGACGGTTTATATATCTGTTCCATCATAGCTAATAGTAAGAGATAATTCTCATATTATTTAAACTCCCCCAAAGTCATAAGGAACTTATGAAAGTATGCTCAATTTATTTTATTTGATACAAATTTTGTATTACAAATCTTCAAAAACACAATAGTGTATCAATCTCATATATGAATAAGTCATACAAATTCTAATTAGAATTAGTTTTCCTTGGTTCTGAATTTATTTCTTATTTGGAATAAAAAGAAGTGTGACATGAGAACATCATATACTATGAGCTTGTCAATCATCTTCATTATCATCCTCATGAAAGTAACTCCTATATAGCTCTCACTCCATGCCAGGCACTGTTGTATGGCTTTATGTGCATTAACTCACCTAATCTTTATACCAATCGTACGAGATAAGTAATCCCCATTTGTAAATTAGATAGTGAGGCTTAGTAAGATTCCACAATTTTCCAAGGTCACAAAACTTTTAAGAGGCCAACCCAGGTTGCAAAGCCTGTTAATAACTATGAAAGAGGAACTTCTAAATCCACTTTGATTATGGCAAGAAAAAAAATACCCAGAACTATAGCCACAACAAAATGAAACCCAAATTTCATGATAGGAGTAACTCTGAATTCTCTCTCTCTCTTTTTTTTTTTTTTTTTTTTTTTTTTTTTTTTTTTTTTTTGTGATGGAGTCTTACTCTGTTCCCCAGGCTGGAGTACAGTGAAGCAATCTCAGCTCACTGCAGCCACTGCCTCCCGGGTTCCAGCGATTCTCCTGCCTCAGCTTCCTGGGTAGCTGGGATTACAGCTGCGCACTACCACACCCGGCTAATTTTTGTATTTTTAGTAGAGACAGGGTTTCACCATGGTGGCCAGGCTGGTCTCAAACTCATGACCTCAGGTGATGCGCCTGCCTCGGCCTCCCAAAGTGCTGGGATGACAAGTATGAGCCGCCATGCCTGGCCCAAATTCTCTTAATATGATGATTACTTATCAGAAATAGCACAAAGCTCATGAATAAAGAAATGTAAAAAGCCCTAATATCATCAATAATATAAGCATATTTGTTATAAACACATTGATTTGTTTATTTTTTTGGGAATTTTACCCAATGCTATTAAGAAGGAATAAAAAGCTGTTGATTTTGGTTAGAAACAGGATATCTCTTCATTATTATCAAGTTATATATTTATTACGATGAATATTCAAGTTATTCAATGATGATAAAAATCAACAATAAGATTACTATATTGTTTAAAGGATACATTTACAACATTTGGCCTGATAATAAAAGTTAACATTCATGGAGGTAATACTGTATGTAAGACACTACTTTGATAAGTTTGCATGTATTAATTCATTTAATTTTCACAAATACTGTGTACAATGTCAACCGTTATGAATTCTGCTTACAACTAGTAAGTGAATAACAATTTTTTCAGAAAAGATATTGTTTCATGGAATATAAAATAAGTCAGGCTGAGGGTACCTTTGGGTTTGTCTGGTGGGTCCGTGAACTTATGGATGGACCAAGCTTCAATTTTTCTATATACTTAGCAAGGGTCTTCCATTACAGTATTGGCACAGGAGTCCTGATATCATTCCTACATCCTTGGTGGGGAAAGGAGGAAAAGTGCAAAGATGTTTCTGCCAGCAGAATAGGACTCCTTGCAAAAGTATTACTCAGATAATTTGATGCATATCTCTTTGATTAAGCCAATCAGAAATAAGGCTAGAAAATGTGGACTTTCATTCCACACTTTGTGCACAACCAAAAATGTTTCACCCTAAGAAACAAAACAAGGGAAGTAACTTGTCTAATAATGCCTAAACAGAAAGAAGGAAAGATTTGTTTTAAATTTAGAAAGTCTGATGCAAGAAGTTCTCTTGACCACAGTAATGTATTTTCAAAACCAAAAGTATATGCATAAATCAAAGATTTTTTTAATTAAAAATATGTTGTATAAAAATTATTCGTTACAGCAACCAAAGTATGAATTAATGAACACTTATTTAAAAATAGATATGACCAAATAATTCAAATTATAGAGTTTTATTAAATTATTTGAGAGTCTTGAGTAAATGGAAAGAAGTATCATGTTCCTGAATAAACAATTAAATGTTGTGAAGAGGTCAATTTTTGTCAGATTGATTTATACATTTTAATTAGAAAAATAGAATTTGGGGAAGATCCAGTCTAGGAAGCACAAGAACCAACAAAACCAAACCAAAACAAAGAAAGAATAGCAGCATATTTTTTTGTCCCTCAATTTTGGAATTAAAGTATTAAGGTCATGACACTTATGTAATAGACTAATCGATAGCCCAGAGTAAACGTTCCAGAGAGACATGGCAGGACACTGGGAAATTTAGCACATGATAAAGTTATTAGTGAATATCATTGATCTTTAAATATAATGTTGCATACTAGAGAGAGAAATGGTAATTTATCCATAGTAGGAATTCATCAAGAAAAATAATGTCATTACAAATATTGTATGTAATATATATGTAACCTAAGATTAATGTAACATAGGTAATCCTAGACTGGTACATGTGCTTATTCACTCATTTAGTCAATAAACATTTATTTAGTACCTACCATGTTTGCTATGCTAGGAGCATATTTTCTCCAGGGAATTGTTACTTGAGGGAAGAAAGGCCTTATAATCACATGTGACACACAGCTACAGAGCACAGTAAAAGTAAAAAGTTAAACTTAACACTGGAACTTTTTATTCTATTAGTACATAAAATGCATAGCTAGTTCCCTTGCTAAAATTATCTTCTTTGTCAAGTTTATCTAGTAGCATAGTCATGTAACTAGGAGATATCCAAGATTTATCTTTCTCTTCACACATGTGGAATTAAAGAACTGGAAAGAGATTTTACACACATGTGAGATTAAAGAACAGGAAAGAGATTTTATGCAAAAGCAAATTGATGGGATTTTCTTTTACAGCAATTGTTTACAAAGAGGAGTAAGTAGTGCAATCAAGCAGAATTTTGCCTTCTAACAAAGCAATTGATTTTTCATTAAAATCATTGTGAAAAAGAAAATTGCCTTAACCAAATATTTTAGTCTAATGTAAACCTACAACTATAATTACTGAAAGAGAGAAAAAGCAAGTCATAATGTCACTTTAATTTTTTTGCTCAGCTGTGTCTGGTTCAGATCTTCTGATATTTACATTAAATCCTTAAAAATTATTATTGAAGATAAAGCATCCTTTGAAGCTATCAGATCCTCCTGTACCAAGACACATACACAGTCAATCATTATTTGTTATTTTTTTCTCGTGATGATTCTGGTAATAATGATATAATTTTTGCACAAAGCGTGTCATAATTTTGCTGATAGATCATCATATTTTTACAGTATGCCAAATGGCGATACTCAGATATCTTACATTTTACTTTTTATATTTTTTTAGCTTTTGGATAAAACTGTTTTTAATGTAATAAATGCAAATCGAGCTCAAGTTATTTCATTATGAATTGATAATATGTGACAATGATATTTAAGTTACTGTGTATTGGCCATTATAGTAGTGTGTTTTACATGAATATTCTGATACTCAGAAAAATTTGTTTTTTTTATTATGCAGATAGAGAAAATACTAGAAACTAAATCCAAGAATATATGTTGCTTCTATGATTGTATTTCTAAGCCTATTGGAATTTATATAGTCTTTTTCTTCATTCTGTTTATTAGCATAGTAAGATTATTTTAATTAAATTAATATTTACATATAACAAGAGTTACACAAAACAAGAGTTACATGGAATTAAATGCAAATTTTTAACTCTGAGTTTAATGAGTTTTAACAAATATGTACACCTAGATGAGCAAGACCTCAATCTATGTTTAAATTTTTATCACTTTAGAAAGTTATTTCATGCTCCTGTCCAAACCCTTTCCTTCATACAAATACTTTTCTAATTTATGCCACCATAATTTACTTTTACCTACTTATAATTCATAAAAGTGAAATCATATAGTATGTGCTCTTTTGTGTTTGACTTTTTTTCTCAATATAGTGTTTTTGATATTCATCAGTTATTTCAAAGATTATTTGTGCATTAATTTTTGCTGAGCAGTATCCCTTTTTTGACTATAGTTGGGACCTATTATGAATAAATCTGCTATGATTAATTACACAAAAGTCTTTTTGTGGACATAAGTTTTGATTTCTGTTGGATAAATAACTAAATGTAGAATTGCTAGATAAAAGGTTAACTTCATAAGGAATAACATAAACTTTTCTAAAATGTTACATAATATGATACTTCACTAGCAATATGCCATTATTTCTATTGTCCAATATCCTCACTGACATTTGAAATGTTCACTCTTTTATTTTAGCCATCTTGGTTTGTTAAAGGGTTGTCACACTGTGATTTTAATATGCATTTTTCTTATGATTCCTGATAATGAGCATCTTTTAAGGCAATTCTTGGCCATTTTTTATCTTCTATTGTGAATATATTTTTAAAGAATTTCCCCTTTTTCTTTTAGGCTGGGTTGTTTGTCTTTTTATTATTGATTTGTAAGAGTTATTTACATGTTCTGGTTACAAGTTGTATTTTCTCCAAATCTGTAATTTAGATTATCATTTTCTTAATAATTTTCTTTGACAAAGTTTCTTATGTTGATAAAGTTTGAATTTATGATTTCTATATTTAATATTTTATTCAGTTTGAAACACCATAGATTAATTCAAAATCATGAAAACTTACTTCTATTTTTTTCTCTATCTGTATTATTAGGTTGGTGTAAAAGTAATTGTGGTTTCAGACCGTGAATTTTAAATCATTATAACTAGGCTCAAAAACATCTTTATTATTCAAATTATGAACCATGGCAATTAACACATTTTTGCCAACAAGAAATAAGTTTGTTTATTCCTGTAGCATAAAAGTCTGTGCCTTGGAATTCAACGAACTGTTGGAAAGCATTTTGTGCATCTTGCTGGTTGTGGAAGTGTTTTCCCTGAAAAAAACTGGTGAGATGCTAGAAGTGGTGGTTGGTGGGCGACAGGTCAGGTAATGTGGCAGCTGAGGCAAAATTTCTAGCCCAATTCGTTCAACTTTTGAAGTGTTGATTGTGTGATGTGTGATCGGGCATTGTTGTGGAGAAGAATTGGGCCCTTTTCTGTTGACCGATGCCGGCTGTAGGCGTTGCAGTTTTCATTGCATTTCATTCATTTGCTGAGCATACATCTCAGATGTAATGCTTTCGCTGGGATTCAGAAAGCTTCAGAGGAAGAGAATGGCAGCAGACCACCCAACAGTGACCATCCATTTTTTTGTGCAAGTTTGGCTTTGGGAAATGACTTGAAGCTTCTTCTCAGTCCAACCACTGAGCTGGTTGTCGTTGGTTGTCTTTTAAAATCCACTTTTTGTCACACATCACAATCGGATCGAGAAATGATTCATTGTTGTTGTGTAGAATAACAGAAGACAACACTTCAAAATGATGATTTTTTTTATTTTCACCTAGCTCAGGAGGCACCCACTTATTGAGCTTTCTCACTTTTCCAATTTGCTTTGAATGCCGAATGACTGAAGAATGGTCAATGTTGAGTTCTTGGCATCTTCCAGCATAGTTGTAAGAGGATCAGCTTTGATGATTGCTCTCAACCGGTCATTGTCTTCTGACAACTGGCCACTACACTCATCTTCAAATCTCTCATCTCCTTTGCAAAACTTCTTGAACCACCACTGCACTGTATATGTATATTTATTAGCAGTTCTTGAGCCAAATGCATTGTTGATTTTACGAGTTGTCTCTGCTGCTTTACGAACTATTTTGAACTCAAATTTAAAAAAAAAGGCTTGAATTTGCTTTTTGTCTAACATCATTTCCATAGTCTAAAATAAACATAATATAAACAGCAAGTAATAAGTCATTTGCAAAAAAACATAAAATGAGAAATGCCCCTTAAAATAATGTGTAACAGGCTGGTGTGGTGGCTCATGCCTGTAATCCTAGCACTTTGGGAAGCAGAGGCAGGCAGATCACTTAAGTTTAGGAGTTTGAGACCAACCTGGCCAACATGACGAAACCCCATCTCTACTGATAATACAAAAATTAGCGGGTATGGTGGTGCATGGGCCTGTAATCCCAGCTATTCAGGAGGCTGAGACAGGAGAATCGCTGGAGCCTCGAAGACGGAAGTTGCGGTGAGCCAAGATCATACCACTGCACTCCAGCCTGGGTGACACAGTGAGACTCTGACTCAAAAAATAAAAATTAAAAATAAAATAAATGATGTATAACATAATTGCATTTATTTAAGAATGTATTCCAATATCAAACACAAATTCCAACAATACAAAAACAGCAAATTATGTTTGCACACACTTCATATAATTTTAGCCCTAATAGTTAAGTCCATGACCTGTCTTGAATTAATTTTTGTGTATGTTGTGACATAGTGGTAAAAATTTTTCTTTTGTTGTTGTTCCCTAAATATTCCGTTGTTTCTATATCAATTATTTAAGAGATTTTCTTTTTTCCTTGTAATTTTCTCAGTTCTTTGGTCAAAAAGCAATTGACTACAAAAATATTACTTATATTTATTTTAGACTATAATATTTAAATAAATAAATGGAAAAAATAATTAAATAAGGGCTCTTATTAAATTATGTTTACTAGTATTTTAAGTACCTGCACTAAGCCCTGTAACCTGTAAACTTGAGATACTACTCAGTCTGAAATGAATTTATTGAGGGAAGTAGTTAGTAGTGCTAATTCATAAAAATGCCTATTATTCTTTATCTTGATTAGAAAAGCATAATGGACTTCCTTTGAATTCTTATAGCTCTAATAATTGCCCCCTCAATTATATATATATTACCAAGAGATCAAATATGGAGACTACAGTTCTTACAAATATACAGGTTGAATACTGTTAAGACATAAGGCAAATATTGAAATCCAAGTTGAAAAATACTTTTAGAAAGTTACAGATAAGTGAAGACATAATAATATCATATATAAATAAAAACAAGTAATACAAAATTACATTTTTTTCTGAGTTGATTGAAAATTTCAGTTTCAATTCAGTGCTCCTCATTTTTTGTAATAAAATCAACATTTAATGTATATGGTTTGTACCACCTTTAGAACCATGTAACATTTGGGAAATTTTTTTCATACTTAAGAAAAACTAGTCAAAAATTTTGTGTGTAGGATTTGGCCAGGTGTCATTTAAGAAAAGCTCAAAAACATTTAATTGCTGTGTTCAAATTTCAGATGCCACATTAGTGTCAATGTAATGGGAAGTAGAGCTGGTGAGCCTCTTAACTAAGCAAGGGCACGAAATTCATCCAGGGGATGTGACAGATGAGTGCTTAGCAAATGTTACACCAGCCAAGATATTTTTGCACATGACATCGTATTGTCTGACTAATTATGGGATAGCTCAAAGTAGAGGTTTGTACTGGTAATCAGGAACCAGAATCAGTGGAAAGCTAATTGTAGGGTCAGATTGAACATTTGGAGGTGGTAGCTATGTCCTGATTTATTCACTCAGATGAGAACACAGTAAAAAAGGATCAATCATGCTACTGAGCAGATAAACTACAACCCTGATTTTACAAAGGGAGAAAAGAACATGGTCTTTGTGTATAAGTGGACAAACTTTTTAATTGTTGTGTTGAATCAAACACAAAATAGTTGCTTCCATTTTGTATTTTAAAGAAAAAGATCATATAATAAACAGTTATGTTCTTTTCAAAGGGTGTACGTATGTATTGTATGATAAAAAATAAAACTTAAAGAGAAAGTGAATTTTGACAGAAGTATTGAGAAGAATATGACAATTTTATTACCATTAAACAATATTTCTTTTTTTTTTTTTTTTTTTTTTTTGAGACGGAGTCTCTCTCTGTCGCCCAGGCTGGAGTGCAGTGGCGCGATTTCGGCTCACTGCGAGCTTCGCCTCCCGGGTTCACGCCATTCTCCTGCCTCAGCCTTCCCAGTAGTTGGGACTACCCGGCTAATTTTTTTTTTTTTTTGTAGTTTTAGTAGAGACGGGGTTTCACCGTGTTAGCCAGGATGGTCTCGATCTCCTTACCTCGTGATCTGCCCGCCTCAGCCTCCTGAAGGATTAAACAATATTTCTTAATGACATTTTCATCTTGGCACTAGAGCTATGTTGGGATGCTTGGTTCATAGATGGGAAAGACAACTTCTTGTTACCATGTACAAGGAGACTATACATATCCCATGATTCTTTTGAATGACATTATATAAAATATTAACCAAAAGTGTAGCACAGTCCAAAGTTTGCCAACTGTTTACCAACGCAAAGAATGAGAGCACTAACGAAATAATTGAAGGAACAGAGAAGGCAATGTTAGAATGCCTACACTTCTAGCCTGTATTCTGAAACTGAAAGAACTAAAAGTATTTTAAGAAAAGGGAAGAAAGATGAAAATGAGTTTCTAAAGAGTGAGAATGGTATTTTCAGATGTTCAAGAAATTATCACAGAACATCATCATTAAATTAATTCTGCAGTTATTCAAGAAGATGAAATAAAAATGACTAGAAAAATTATGTGGATAACATTTGTAACTCTCTATCATGCAAATAGAGATTTGTAAAATCTATCATGTAAAATAAGAGATTATCCTTCTGTGGATGATAAAGTCCTCACTTATTGAAGAAAATCAAATTGATTTTTTATAAATATAATGTAGGAATATTGATATTTGAATCAGATACCTTCTTTGTTATTCAGGAAGCCCAGTAGTTGTCACCTACAGCTGACATGGAATGAAGTAGGAGGGAAGCTGGCTAGCAGAGCTCTGTATCCTCATACTCATTCAAATTTTGTTTTTGTCCTCTCCAAATAGTACTTTGCCAGCTGGTTTCCATTTTCTATACTAGATTACACACATTTACTTTAGTTGTAATGTATATCTACACCTAAAAGTTGTATTAAAAACTAAAAAACAGGACAATGTCCACAATGTAATCACGCTCTGAAAGCCTATCAAGTTATCATTGCAGCCAAGGTTGGAAACACCGTGGAGGCAACCGAAAAAAGGGTTCTATCTAAAACCCACCCACGTTGGCTCACAGAATCTTCTTATGGAGCTCGAGAGTGAATCATGAGACAAAAGAGGAGCTGGGAACTGAGCTTCCTCTGATAAATCTTTTGTACCCTGAGCACATTCACTCCTGAGTGTCTAGCCTTCCTATTTTCACACACTTTCTCTAGGTGTATTACAAGAAAAAAAAATTAAAATTAAATAAAAAACAGAATCATCCAGGTAGTTTGATTGCCAAGTTCTTCAGTTTACGGGTGTATTTCAGTTGGCAAACCGGTAAGTAGATCTGTATTGTCATATAATGTCTAAATTACTTGGCCTCATGTTCATCCTTCTTCTACCTCAGAAATTTGTATAAAGTTTTCATTAATATTCAAGTATGTTACACAAACTTTGGAAGCTTCTGTGTGATGTGTAGGAAATGTCTGCTTACTAAATGTAGTTAGAGAAGTATCTGGAAATCTGGAACTCTTTTATCATTTTCAATGAATCTGGTGATGAGTTAGTTAGAAGTAATGATCAGGAAAGTTCTTCAAAATATCCTTTCAAATATACTGACAGCGTCATACTTTACTGTTAATACTGTATTATGCACCTCCCTCTCCAAATCCTTAAGTTGGAGCCCTAACTCCCAATGCTACTGTATTTGTTGACAGGTTAAATAAGGTCCTCAGAATGGGGCCCTAATCCAATATTAAAACTGATCTTCTTATAGGAAGATGAAGAAATACCAGGGATGTGCATCACAGAGAAAAGGCCACGTGAAGATGCAACTAAATGGTGTCCATCTGCAAACTAAAGAGACAGGTCTTAGGAAAAACTAAACCTACCAGGTTGATCTTGGGCTTCCAGCCTTGAGAACTAGGAGAAAATATGTATCTGTTGTTTAAGGCGCCTAGTCAGTGGTATTTTGTTACAGCAGCCCTAGCAAACTAATAAATCTACACAGAACAAAGTAATATTTTATTCCAACATAACATAAAAAAACCTTGTACATAAGTTTTCCTCCTGGATTGAGAAACTAGAAAATGAAGAAGGCATAGGGGTAAGTCCTAGACTCTATTCTCAGTGATATAGAGAACTTGATTCTGAGCTATATGCATTGGTATCACTGCAGGTCAAGGATATGTGGAGGAGTTTGAACACATTAAACTATAACATCTGATGTGTTTGCTGAAGATATTAGTGAACTTATAAAAATTCATAATTTGGACAGTGGCAATGTACAGTTGACTCTACTAACAACACTTAATACAATTCATTCTGTACTAGGTGTCAAAAAGTTTACCGTAAATGTTCAGAAGTGATTTGTTTTTGTTCCTCTTTTTCTCTTTTTTTTTTTTTTGAGATGCAGTCTCACTCTGTCACCCAGGCTGAAGTGCAGTGACACAATCTTGGCTCACTGTAACCTCCGCCTCTCAGGTTCAAGTGACTCTTCTGCCTCAGCCTCCCAAGTAGCTGGGACTACAGGCACATGCCACTACGCCCAGCTAATTTTTGTATTTTTAGTAGAGATGTGGTTTCGCTTTTTTGGCCAGGTTGGTCTTGAACTCCTGACCTCAGGTGATCTGCCCGCCTCGGCCTCCCAAAGTGCTGGGATTACAGGCGTGAGCCACAGCGCCGGACCAATTTTCTTAACTCAAAACAGCAACTGATGAATGTATATTGTGCTTCCATAT
Source organism: Homo sapiens (assembly GCF_000001405.40). Classification (NCBI taxonomy): domain Eukaryota; kingdom Metazoa; phylum Chordata; class Mammalia; order Primates; family Hominidae; genus Homo; species Homo sapiens. The sequence continues at coordinate 29,616,021 of NC_000004.12, read as the reverse complement.
ATGTGCTTATATATATTATTTATATATTATATATATGCATACATATTATGTTTCTATGTACATATCCAATAGCAATATTTTATATATATATGAAACTTGTTGAAATAGTATATACCTATTACAGTTAAGGTGCATTTATTTATTACAAATTAACATTATCGTATAGTTAGCACCAAAAGTATTGTCTAGATGAGATATAAAATCCAGTGTCTACTTAAACTCTCTAATTGTTCAGTTACTCTGTATCTAAGCAAAAATAATATTAGTCAGGTTAATATTTTATTTTTCCTCATACTTATGATTTTCTGTATTGATTGTACCTGAAATATGCTTAAGTTTTTCTTGGTATATTTTTACTATACATGTATCTATAAGTATATGTGAAATATACATTCTCTATATGTTCATGTGAATATAAAAGCATTAGTTGATCCTAAACTGATGCCAAATAATGAATGAGGATGTGCTCTGTTATCTGCTGAACGAATGGTCACCAAAAATATATTCCATAACACAGTCTAAATATTTTTTTACAGTTGTTAATAATAAAGGCTTGCAGAGTAAAACTCTAGACTTTTCCTTTGGTAACACACCTTCTCCAAGATAACAGATAGTATCACAGTAAGGAAGTTGTCTCTCTAGTAATGAAAGGGCATTAACCATGTGAGAGTATCAACTACCCTTCTCTCATTCTACTTTTCTCAGCATCCTTGTCTCTTACAGTTGTGACCAGGCACAGCTGAAGCATGCTGAGCTGCAGGAAGATAACTATAAAGATCCCCAGGAACACAGCCACTACTAGCGGGTCTCTAGGCATCTACACATCTCTAGAGCAATGACGTCCCAAGTGTTCTGTCTGTACGATAAGCCGGTGGCTCATACCAGATGGCAGGATGCATTATGGACATTTTGCCAATTATATTTCTAGCCAGTGGCACCCTGGAGTATCTCTGGAATATGTGTAGGAGATTTTAAAATCCTCTGGAGTATCTAAAACACATTTTGATGATAAATAGAAGCTATAGGGCATGTGAGTTGTCCTGATCACATATTTTTTTCCAAATGAAACTTTTGGTTATATATTTCTGAAGAACTTCAGAAGCCCTAGAGTCCTTAAAGTCCTTGGAGAGTCTCTTTCAGTGAATCATGCTTTTACAGACAAATGAAACAAACACGAAATCCCTCCACAAAACTTACTGCACTGTAACTCCCATGTGAATTTCCTATTTTGTGTAGTGCCCGAATTGGTTCTTTCCCACAGAAACACTGGATAGACTCTTTCAGAAAGCTCACTCCTAATCCACAGTTACAGAGTTTTCATGAGATCCTTGTCTTACCTGAAGAAAATATATAAATTAACGTTAAAAATGTTTAAAAATCTAAATAATTCTGCTAGTAATTTACCACCTGAGTGGTAATAATTACCACTCTGCAATAATTCAGAGTGCAGTGAATTTGTGAATGAAAACCAGTACGAATATTTTAATCATTAGACAGAATTAGACTTATATTTCTTAGTATTCCTCACTAGATTATATTCCATTGCATTGTATTTTGTTTGTTTCTTTGTTTGTTTAGACAGAGTCTCACTCTGTCACCCAAGCTGGACTACAGTGGCATAATCTCAGCTCACCGCAGTCTCTGCCTCCCCATTTCAAGCCATTCTCATGCCTCAGCCTCCTGAGTAGTTGGGCTACAGGTGTGCACCACCATGCTTGACTATTTTTAAATTTTGGGGGGAATTTTAGTAGATATGGGGTTTCGCCATGTTGGCCAGGCTGATCTCAAACTCCTGACCTCAAGTGATCCACCCACCTTGGCTTCCCAAAGTGCTGGGATTACAGGCCTGAGCCACCATGCCTAGCCCATTCAGAGACATTTTCTTATCCCTTGAAATGTTTTAATATTAAAATAAAGAGTTATTTTATATTAAAAATATGACTTTCAGTTGTCTGTTTGTATAGCCTGGATTTTTTTGAGATAAATGAAACTTTCTCATTTGTTAAAAAAAAAACTAAATAAAAATAAAAATAAATAAATAAAAATATGAATGTATTGAGTAGTATACACTCTACTGAATTTATAATTATAAAAAAACAAGGGAGAAAGAAACACATACACTTAAAAAGACTAGGGAAGACTGCAATAATTGATGGTAAAGGAAGGGAAGATGAATTCCTAAAATTAGAAAAAAAGGTAAAATATGTTTAAAAATGTGATTTAAAAATGTTTTAACATACAATAACGTAGATGTGAATATCATTCAGTCACAAACATCGATATACAAGTAAACTTTATGTGAGACCTATACTGAAAATCAATGTAAAATATGTTAAGGAAAAGAAACCAGGAGATGCCTATACCTTTTACATAAAAATCAACATCGACCTCAAAGTATGTTTTATTTTCTTTAATTGATATTGTCTTTACTCACCAAATGATTATGTTGAAAATATAAGCTCTCACATAGGTACTGTATTGACCAAAATATGTCCTCGAGAGAAATTTAGCAGCAGCTCCAAAGATGAGTTACAACAGAAATCTAGTTAACAGGATAAGGGTTACTTGTGTTGGTGTCTACAGTTAGTCCTGGAGCTGCGTTTCTACGAACTCCACACGTGAAAATGGAGACAAATATTAGAGTGATGTGTCAACAAGACAACGAACATGAGGCTTACTGACACCACCAGAAGCTTGGAGAGAGGCATAGGAGATTTTCTTCAGAGGTTCCAGAAGAAACCAATACTGCTACCACTTCGATTTCAGGCTTCTGGCTTCCAGGACTGTAAGAGAAGTTTCTGTTTTGAGCCACTCAGTTTGTGGTGCTTTGTTATATCAGCCCTAGTAACCTAATAAATATAATACCTAGACCCAGATTTGTTCTACTTAAAACCTAACCGATGGGGTGAAGGATGATGTGGTCTTGTCTAAATATACAATTTCACATATCATACTTGATCTGAAGCTGATAGTCTAAGTGGCAATCCATTTTTTAAAAATTCAACTTTCTTCTGTTCAGATAAAAAAATTCATAGAATGAAATTATAGAATTAGTGTTAAAGCTGTATAGATTTGTTCAGAAGAAGCCATCACCCCTTATTAAACATGAGCAGGGTGATATGGCTTGGCTGTGTGTCCCCACCCAAATCTCATACAAATTGTAATCCCCGCTTGTGGAGAGAGGGACCTGGTGGGAAGTGATTGGATCATGGGAACGGTTCCCCCATGCTGTTCTTGTGATAGAGAGGAAGTCCTCATGAGATCTGATGGTTTTAAAAATGGTAGTTTCGATGACGGAGAGGATGTGGAGAAATAGGAATGCTTTTACACTGTTGGTGGGAGTATAAATTAGTTCAACCATTGTGGAAGATAGTGTGGAGATTCCTCAAGGATCTAGAACTAGAAATACCATTTGACCCAGCAATCCCATTACTGGGTATATGCCCATAGGATTATAAATCATTCTACTATAAAGACACATGCACATATATATTTATTGTGGCACTGTTCACTATAGCAAAGACTTGGAACCAACCCAAATGCTCATCAGTGACAGACTGGATAAAGAAAATGCTGCACATATACACCATGGAATACTATGCAGCCATAAAAAGGATGCGTTCATGTCCTTTGCGGGGACGTGGATGAAGCTGGAAACCATCATTCTCAGCAAACTATCACAAGAACAGGAAACCAAACACTGCATGTTCTCACTCATAAGTGCAAGCTGAACAATGAGAACATATGGACACAGGAGGGGAACATCACACCCCGGGGCCTGTCGGGAGGTGGGGGGCTAGGGGAGGGATAGCATTAGGAGAAATACCTAATGTAGATGACTGGTGGATGGATGCAGCAAACCACCATGCACGTGTATACCTATGTAACAAAACTGCACGTACTGCACATGTACCCCACAATTTAAAGTATAATTTCAAAAAAAAGAAAAAAGAAAAAAATGGCAGTTTCTCCTGCACTCTCTCTCTTCTGCCAACTTGTGAAGAAAGTGCTTGCTTCCCTTTCACCTTTCACCATTATTGTAAGTTTCCTGAGGCCTCTCCAGCCATGCAGAACTGTGAGTCTATTTAACCTCTTTTGTTCATAAATTACCCAGTCTCCAGTAGTATCTTTATAGCAGCATGAGAAGGAGTAATACACAGGGGTTATATATTCATTGATGTGGAATCATAGTTGTATTACTCAGGGTTCCCTAGAAAGACAGAGCTAATAATGTGTGTGTGTGTGTGTGTGTGTGTGTATAAAATATTAGTTTATTAAGTATTAACTTACGTGATCAGAAGATCCCACAATAGGCTTTCTGCAGGCTTAAGGAGCAAAGAGAGCCAGTCTGAGTCTCAAAACTGAAGAACTTGGAGTCTGACGTTCGAGGGCAGGAAGTATCCAGCACAGGAGAATATGTAGGCTGGAGGCTAGGCCAGTCTCCCTTTTCATATTTTTCTGCCTGCTTTATATTCACTGGCAGATAATTAGATTGTTCTCACCAGATTAAGAGTGGGTCTGCCTTCCCCAGCCCAGTGACTCAAATGTTAATCTCCTTTGGCAATGCCTTCACAGACACACTGAGGATCAATACTTCGCATCCCTCAATCCAATCAAGTTGACACCCAGTATAAACCATCACAATAGCTTTCATGCTAAATCCTAGTTTCTACTTTATGCCACCAAACTGACTTCACTTGAGAATTTAATTGTCACCAGTAGATTTAAGAATAAAGACTTACGGTGACAAGGGTTGGAGAGTGGCATAAAAAAAAAGAATGAAAAAAATGTTAAAAACACCACTCAGGAACATGGTCAGGTAAGACAGGTCCTCTGGAGTTCTGTGAGACTCTTCAGTATAAAAGAACTTGGTCCCGAGGAGAAGGCTTTCATTTCTACCTTTCCACTTTATTATCGAATTTCAATGTCATTAGAGGTTTTACTATTAATATGTGTAACATCATAGGAATTATCTGAAGAACGAAATCAGGGGCCAGTTTTTGTTACTTCCAAATTAGTTACATTAAACCTAACAATGAGTTGATCTTTAGAAAGAAATGAATACAGAGAATGAAGCAACACCATGGAAAGAAGAAGAGCAACATTGCTTTTGGCTCATTCCTATTCACTGCCTATCCCAGATAATATCCATAAATTCAAAAAAGAAATTCTTCCCAGCATTTATTCCTGTTTCTGATAGAAAAGGACACCACATCTAAGGTTCAGGGCAAAGTATGCCTAGCAGTAAGATTTGTACAGGCTGGGGCACAGGTTCCAAAAAGAGCTCTACATCTGTTTACTGATACTAGAGTTGTCATTGTGAATAAAATTTCTGGAGTTGGTATATGAGTCTGTATTCTTAGAACTTTTTTTGTAATTGGGATTAACAGCCTGCTTAGCTAACCACGCTTCCGGTGATCCCCATTACTTCCTGTCCTCATTCTACATTCTGATGAGGCAGCTATTCAAACAAATGCATAATTATACTGATAAATGTTGAATAAATGATGTAAAGAAAAAATAATAAAAAGTAATACATTAATAATTATTGAATTAACTGTAAAATTAATGCATGGAACACATCACTTAATTTTGGATAATGGTTTCATTTATTAAAACTTAACAGAGTTTTCAGTACATGTGCCACACACTGCTACGTGCTTAATGTTTATTAATCTATTTAATATTCAGAGCAGTCTTATGAGGTAACTATTACTATTAGTTTTACTTAGTATGAGGCTATGTAGCTTATAAATAGGAGAATATGGATTTGGCCCCAAACTCAGTATTTTCTTTGAACTTTGCTATAACAGTTCTATTAAGTGTTATGCAATTAATAATCAACAAAGTTAAAATTAGACAGTTTCCTCTTAAAATTGGGTATTCTAATACATTTTTTATCATATTGACCACTTTTCCAGTACGATGCATGGATAGCAAAAGAGGCTTCCAATAGAGAGTAAAAATGAATCTCAGCTCTGAACTAAGAAGAGAAACTCATTTGCATGGAAATTTACATAATGATGACAAAATCCCTCTTCCCTAACTTGTTTTATTAATACTATGGTGTGTCGATAGAATTATTTTTAAAACCCATAATTACATGTAGCTAGTTTAATGGAAGATATCAGTCTGAAACCTCATGGAAGCTGTAACTGTACCCTAACTTTTTGCTTTTTTAACTAAAATAAGTGTTATGCTCATTCCAAAAATGGATCCAATTTGACATGGGTCCTCTCCTATCCTTCACAATTGATTTATATTTTATAACCAGAGAATTCTGCCCTGACTATAAAATAGGAAACATAGTATTTAATACTGCATATTAATAGGTATAATTGAAATTTCTATAAATGTTTTCCATAGTATTGTTTTAATTACTTCATTATACTCAATATTGTAAAAGGAAATCAAATGATAAGAAAATAAATTAATGTCACAGAATTATAAAAGAGAAATGCTATCAAGATATTTTCCAGTTCTATTACCCCATGGAGACCAATTTTGTATACTTTTAAATCTCCACATTCTTGTACGATGTTAAATCTCAGAATAAGTTTTGAATCACTGCAAGCCCTCCAATTTCTTTTGACTTTCAAACATTGCTAATACCTGAATAACACATAAAGATATTTTCTGATACAGATTAAAAGTTGGTTATATTTTTATTGTAACTTTAGGAAATGCAATATTACTTAGCAATATGTCGATTACTTAAACAGATTATTCTGTCAGTTATACATCTACTTTTTCCCAACCAGACCAATAAATAAAATTTTGTTTCTTATAAGATGGGCTTCATAAAAGTCAAATGAATTTTTTTTTTTTTAGAAAAAAGAAAAGTTTCAGGAAACGGAACACTCGACTTCAAAAATTAATTTGGAGACAATCATTAATAATGCAAACCTAGCAACACATATCACCTTAAATCTGGTTACCATATATTTGCTTCTATAATACCAGCTTTCTATTTGCTTCTATGATTTTTGACCTTGGCATGCAATTATGCCACTATTTCTGCAATCCAAGGTTTATCTCAAAGGTTGAGCAAATAAAGAAATAAAAATTGTGAATGGAAGAAAAAGCAAAACAGTAAAAATATTCAAAGACTAAATTAAAAGAGACAGAAAACCTTTTCAACACAATAAAAATGAAATCATAGTAAGAAGTAGTCACTTTGCTTGTATCACTTTGGCATCCATAGTGACAGGTGTCTTTATTCCTAAAAGAGTTTATTACTCTCATAATGTAATGGTTTCTGTTAGAAAAAAAAAAAATCCATGCCTCATTACTTTCAATCTCATTTGTTGCTCCATGTCATGCATTTAAGAAAATGAAAGCACATTAAAATGCTCATATATCAACATAACCAGTTATAGAATTTCTAGATGGATTGTACCTAAGGTATTGCAATTTATTAAATCAGTTGGGAAAAGCAAATTTATTTTGTAATGCAATGAAAAATATTAAGCATATTTTCTGCACTTATATCTTATGTTACCTTACAATGCACACAGGTGCTTAATGGAATTATTTTTGACAAACAATATAAATAATGTAAAGTAAAATAATAAAGAGCACATTATTAACAAAATTATCTAATTTGGTAATGACATTTCAAATAGTCATATGGTTTTGTAATGTTGGAAGTTACCAGAACACCAAATTTGCTTTGTAAATTCATAATGTTTGGTCTTTTTAATTTTCTTTTCTATACATGTTTGAATTACATCAGGCATTATATTTGGATAATATATTTTAGGGGCCAAGGACACTAATAAGTAATATGCATATCTTCACCCAAGTTCAAAACTATTTAAATGATTTATTAGATAGATGAGTATTAAATACTGGCATAAGTATATACAAGGTTAATTTGAGGATGGTGTCTTGATCTTCAGCTGCATCTGGGCTCCTGATACCTATCTTCTACTTTGAGCTTTCTCCTACAAACCTGGATACTTCCCTTTTCAGAGATACAACCCATTCTTATAAGCATTCTCGGTAGACAGACTGGTTCAAAAGAGAAGCCAAAAAGATAGAACAACAAATGCCCAATTCATCATTAAGAGACGCAGCCACTGTAGAGTAAAACCATCTGCCATTAACCTCTCCTGCTTTTCACTCTTGTAAATGTCAAGCCTAATAAATAAACCTTTGATGAGCAAGATGTGGCTGACTTTAGGGCCAGAGATACGAAGTTTATCAGAATTGTCAGAAATCACGGGCTAGCCTTCCAATGGCAAACACTAATGTGATCTACTTCATGTATTCTCTTAGGAACACTGTCCGTCTTTGCTCATCCCTAATGAATTGGCTGATGAGGAAACAAGGATACTTTTTCTTTGTTACTTTGCGTTTGCTTAGCCTCTGTCCCCTGTCTAAGCCAGGGACCTAAAGGAGAACCTGAAAGTTCTCCTTCTTGGATGAAATCTTTGAGACACTCTAATGTAAGCTGCAATAACCTGAGAACTACATAATGCAATCAGTGAGGGATAATTGCCTCAGCTGTGGACAAAATACAGTATAGTTTAGTACACTGACGATTCCACAAACATGACCTCCTTGACATGTTGAAGATTCAGGCTGTATGACTATGATATAATTATCATATATTAACCTCAGCCAGGGCATTTATGTTCTCTCCATAAGCTCTAGCCGCAGCAGAAGTGGTGTGGCAGCAGAAGAAAGCAGCAATTAGTAAACAAATATCAATGCAAAGGCCTTCAAGGAAACCTAAGAAATTGAAATCTGTGAGCTCATTCCAAACACCTACAGGTTTCAGTGCCTTTTTTAGAGAGAAAAGAAGCTGCAGGGGTAGATGGGGGCAATAGGGAAAAAGTGATGTGTATGTAACTACTACAGCAGTGGTCAGCAAACTACTGCCCAGGACTAAATCTGGCCTTTCCTCTGTTTTTGTGAAAAAAGTTAACTTAGAAACAATCATGCCTATTTGTTTAGGTGCAGTATTTCCTTTGGATGCTTTTACACTACAACAGCAGAGATGACTTATTTGTGACACAGACTGTATGGCTAGTCAAGAAGAAAATCTTTACTATCTGGCATTTTACAGAAAACATTTGATGATCCCTGGTCATCAAATGGACATAGCTGCAAAGAATGGGGTGATACTATGAATTGACTTATCTCTGAGCATGTTAGAGTTCTACACAACTCGAGCACACAAAAAAGATTTTATTTTTGAAAAGTTTATAAGCATGTTTGAAAAGTGGATAATTACGGAGGAATATATCAGAAAGATCCATACATCCAACAATGACTTTAATTCAAATACCTCTCCAGAATAAAACCAGTCTGCAAATATGTACTAAGTATCTCTTCAGCTCCAGACCTTGTCCTAGTTACAAGTGTTCTGCTAGTGAATAAGTCAAGTACTATCTCAATGTGAATGTAGCTTTTATCCAGGGGAAAACAGAGAAAAATAAACACATCAATACTTTATATTATAGGTCCAAAGCAGAAAATATAGCAGGACAAGGAATAACCTGAGAAAGAGTAATATATTGGGCATATCACACTCATCACACAACATAGGATCATGCCCACTGAGCCCAGGTGAACACTTGCCAGCCCTCAGATATATAGGTGAAATGAACACGCTATTTTTTTTCTTTTTTTTTGAGATGGAGTCTCACTCTGTCGCCCAGGCTGGAGGGCAGTGGCGCGATCTCAGCTCACTGCAACCTCCATCTCCCAGGTTCAAGCAATTCTCCTGCCTCAGCCTCCCGAGTAGCTGGGACTACAGGCACACGCTGCCACGCCAGCTAATTTTTTGTATTTTAGTAGAGACGGGGCTTCATCATGTTGCCCAGGCTGGTCTCAAACCCCTGAGCTCAGGCAATGCACCTGCCTTGGCCTCCCAAACTGCTGGGATTACAGGCGTGAACCACCGCGCCCGGCTGAACATGCTAATTTTTGTATACTACTGTGTTTTGCAGTGGTTTGTTAATCTCAATTATTGTGACAAATACACATCACGTTTAAATCACAATACAAAATCTTTTCACGTTTACATAGGTTTATGTCATCTATTTTGGGTCATCTTTTTCTCATCATATATCAGTCTACTTTTTCTTCACTATGCTTCAGCTACACTGATATGCTTCCTGCTCCTTCACTATGCCAAGCATTTTTTTGACTCAAAGCTCTAATCAACTTAGTGTGGAGTGCTTTTTCTTCATGTATCTTTTTGACCTTTTTCATTTAATTCATATATGACAATGCATGTCACTGCGTCAGAGAGAAGTTCCCTGACCACATCATCTAAAATAGGACACTGCTTACCACTGAGCTCTTTAGTATATTAATTTTTCTTAGTTGTTCATAATACCTGATACTATGTTATGCATTTTACTGTTCATTTACTCATTGTCTCCTCACCTAGAATTTTAATACCATGAGGATAAGGACTTTAACTGTTTTATTTGTTTGATTTTCTACTCCATCTCTGGGATACAGAATAACATCTGAAAATATTGTGGTTATATAATAACACAAGTCGAATGAATAAATAATTGAATTTAGTAGGATCACTAGTGGACTTCAGAATCTCTTACTCTGTCATCCTATTTTAATATACATATATAATTTTCATACATTTTCTTCAAAACTTATAAAAGTTTGATGAATTATGAGCTTGTTTTCGCTGTCTTATATTTAAAGGGAACAGTTTAGGGCTGTGCTTAAGGTTGAAGAGAAGCATTTAAAATGCCCATATAAATTATATTTGAAAGTGTTTAGGGAGAACCTAGAATATCTGCAATTATACGGAAGTTTATTTGCTATGAAGGAGTGACTCTGAAACACTAATAAACATAAACATATATGTAATTATAAGAATTGCCTGTTGTTCAAAATGTAAAAAATAATAACGTTAGAAAACAATATTATATAAGCTGAGAAAGGGTGGTCTTCGAAAATGCCTTCTATCTTCATGTTCATATTCCATAAAGAGGTACTACATTTGTGAGCCTGACAGGTGTTTTAAGAAGAGAGGTACAGATGAACATCCAAGGAAACAGTGGGAAAAAATAATGTTAGAAGAGATATAAAGATTTTTGGAAAAGGCTGAAAAATGAGGAGAGATTATATATATTTTTAAATCCTAAGCGTTGCTTAGATTTTTTTTTTTTTAGTAAATAGAAGTAAACCAAAACTATATTTTTTACAGCTCTCCAAGCATGCTTTGCTTAGAAATGGAGCCATACCACAGCATTTAAAAACATTTCATGGTCTGTAATTAAATGTGCCATCTTTCTCAGAAATGGACCTATCTTTTATTTATGGGTGACATAGAGTTTTAATCAACATAGATCAATATATTTTAAGATAGATTAGGTTTCCAGATAAATATTTACAAGTTTTTGTGGAAAAGGCATTGCCAGTTGAAAATAATTCCTAACAAATAGTTATTAATCGGGAAAAATAAAAACTATTTGAGGATATACTGAAAATCATAATATAAAAAGTGGCAAAATATCATGTTACTGGAGAAGTTTGATACAGGCAAATATAACTGATTCACAGGGCCTCAGTTCTGGATACTACAGGGATTCTAAACAGATCAAGCTTACAGGGTCAGTGAAATTTATTGACCCCTAATGCTGTTCCTTCATCCACTTACCTTAGGCATATAAACATAGTTTGTGCCTGTATGACGCAAACACTGGATTGTGGCAAGGTCGATTGATGTTTCCACCCATCGTAATGACTGATTTGGACTGTCACCCGGTGGATCTGATTGACTGTACATAAGTTAGCCCACAAAAGTCAAAGTTGCTTTTCCATAGCTGCTTTTGTCATGGCATACAAACAAACATAGATGTTTTATGTCTCTCCAGAACAGCGTTTGAAAGGGGTTCTAGAAAGCACTTTGTTCCCTCTACAAATGCAGATGTCTAAACTGAATACTTCTCACTTGATCTGCCACCACCAATCCTTCTCTGAGTCACCACCTGGCACTGCCATGGTTTAAAACACTGAAATGATTACAGCCGCCATGAGTCCTCTTACATTTGTTTTATGCCTGGGATTCAGAGAACTGATCATTTGCTCCAAGAAATGTCATGTGGGCCTTTGACATCTTTTGGCTGCTTACTCTTCATACTCCCACACTATGATGCTATCATGTTTGTAGACCAATATAAATTCAATAGTTTGTTATTATTGATTATTTTTACTTTCCACTAATCACAAACATCAAGTTTCAATTCAGGAACAAACAAAAAGTCTCTGTAATTATATGAGAGGAAATAACTTCCATTGCCACCATGGGTAATGATTAATATTAATTTATAAAACAATTGCAAAGGAAATACTCTCAAATTTTAAAATACAATTATCTCAGCTTATATTTAGCCAGATTACTTTTGTTGGAAATGTATATACCCAAATCATTGAGCCTAAAAATTGTATTTTCATCAGACTTGCTAGATCCCCTTCAGTTAAATGTGAGGAGTTTGTACACAAGGAAAGTATTATATACTCTTGTTTTTATGCTGTGGTCTCAAATGTGTTTACAATTTTAATAAGGCAAAGATGAATAATATGGGTTCTGGGTACAGTCTAGACATTATTTTTTAATTTTGCTGAAAGACTCAGGATGTGAAAAGATTAATATATTAGTATATATTTCTAATAGTTAATAACAAGTATACAGGGAATTTGGTTAGACTATTCCCACAAAGAGATAAAATGGGCACTTTCTTAATATTGAAGGAAGAGTAGCAAGTCTTATGTCAGTGGGAATTTAAAGTGTCTAATAGTATTGATAAATTATTTAAATAAACAACAGAAATAAATTAGTATTTTTAAAGAGACTGAACATATTACTGTTTTCCAACAAATTTGCGTCCTGTTACATTTATTGGCAGTCCACTTACATTTGCTATTGCTTTGAGAAGTGAGGTTGTAATTTGCTTCTTTGAGGGGAAAGATTGGTAACTAACATATAATGAATTTGTGAATTTTTCATGAAGTTATACACACATACAAAATTGACTAATTTTATAATTTTATGAGTTTGTCGTTAAAAATGGAAACTGTAAGTATATTCATTTCAATACTTAGCATCGAAGCACTTGAACAAATAAAGAAGGCCAGAGTATTAGCTTCAAACTAACATCCTATTGTGCTACATTTTTTAACTGTATTATTTTAAAATGAATTTATTTAATTTCTAATTTATAGAAAATCTGTGCTACAAGTAAATTGACACAAACTTAAAATAGATAGTTTTTCTTGCATATTTAACACGATTTGGAAATATAGATTTGGGAATCACCAGTGTAGTGTACAGCCCACTATTAGATCTAGGGATATAGAAAGGTCACATAGGTAGAGACAATAGAGTAAAAAGCAAAGATAGAAAAAAAACTTTAAGAAGAATTATTAATACGAAATTAATTCCATGATCCTTTGAAGTACAGTCACCTTAGGCTCAATACATGTCATTCTTGCCCTACCCAGTTAGAAATGTCTGCCATCTCTTTTTTTTTTTTTTTTTTTTTTTGGCGGAGTCTTGCTCTGTCGCCAGGCTGTGCTGTGCAGTGCATGATCTCTCTCACTGCAACCTCTGACTCCCAGGTTCAGGCAATTCTCCTGCCTCAACCTCCCAAGTAGCTCGGATTACAGTCGCACACCACCACACCCGGCTACTTTTTGTATTTTTAGTAGAGATGGGGTTTCGCCATGTTGCCCAGGCTGGTCTGGAACTTCTGACCTCAGGTGATCTGCCCGCCTTGGCCTCCCAACGTCTGCCATCTCTTCTATATATAGTAGTGCAACTATTCTTCAGTGAATAAGAATAAATGGATAATAAAATAATGAATGAGAAGATACATAACTGAAACTTACACATAAATTTAGAAAATTTTAAAGCATGAAAATACAAAACATTCATTTGAACCACATTCGTAATTAAAAAATGAGAAAGTCAGAACATGAGTAAATAAATAAAACATTACTAAGAAAAATGGTAATTATAAAATGTCAGTTCTGTGCTATGGATAATTAAGATGGAGGAGAAAATAAGTGATAAAGAGATGACCAAAGACCAAAAAATGTGTTCTGAGACAAAGATAGTGTGAAACAAGCTCTTAAGAGAAAGTACTTGAAAACAATGTATTAATTTATTAAATAATATATTTATTCAGATAAAATTAGTTCAAATAAAATTCATTTGTCATGGTTATTGATAGTACTGTTATTATTATTATTATTATTTATAATGTACATCATTCTGATAGTGTCTTTAGGAAAATTAAGGTAAAAATCAGTCAAGATGAAGTTAGGCCAGTCACAATCCTTCTTAAAATCACGTCTCATGCCCAAACCCTTTATGAAAAATGGGAATCCAAAGTAACATAAAAATCCACTATAAAATACATAAAATAGTTAGTTAACTACCATTGGCGGTAAGGAAAGTGTCAACCAATTTTGTTCTCTTTTACATAGTGACATAAGTCATGTGCTCTGGATTCAAACTTTAGTTTTTATTACTGAACAAAGACAACTACTAGATATTTTGTAATGATTAAATTAGATGAGGCATATTAGAATTTGCCAAATAATGGATATTCTTTTTTTACCTCACTATCCTCACTCTAGAAAAATTTTCTTTATTTCAGATCACCTTACTTCCCTTTATTTCAGATCACCTTACTTCCCTTTATTTCGGATCACCTTACTTCAGATCCCCTGAAATGACAGTTTCCACTGCCTGAGGAATGTAGTGATGATGATGATGATGATGGAAACCTGTGATTTGGTACCGCTATCCATCATGACCAACATTGATAATGAACTTTGAGTTAGTTGTATAACAACAGATTTTATTCTTCCGAGTTTTTTAATAACCATTCTATTTTTCAAGGAGGTATAAATGGCAAACAAAATAGAACTTTCATATATATAATTATCTTGAAAAATAACAAGATTGATACTAAAATTAATAAAGGCATTATGGTATGTTAATATTATTTTTTATGGAATAAATTTGTACTTAACTATTATTCAATGAGCCATTTTACATGTAATTACACATTAAAGTTATTTGCATTATTTGCATTTTGTTAAACTACACTTGTAGTTTTATGATCAAGAATAAAGTATTGATGTGCAATCTAGTTATACAAAGAAAACCATACTATTTATTTTTTTACATTGAAAACAGGAGTTTTTTTTCTGAAAGATACATTAATTTTGTAAGCAATAACTTAGTTAAAAAGTAAAAGGGAAGAGATTGTTGATGGAATGTTTCTTAAAGAAAAAGAAATTACACTCATCACACTTCTGTATTTGGATCAGTGATTTTGTTTTGATGTAACATTATCCTATCCACTCCTTTATTCCTCAAATGAGGCTGCAGATAATTTTAGCTTTACTGGTAGTTTGTCTATTTTTTCTCACAGCTATGACTTTTTAAATTACAAATTTCTAATAGAGAGGTGGGGAAAGGAGGTTCCAATCTAACCAAGAACTACGTTTGTAGATTTGATACATGATTCTCTAAATGTAGCTCATCGTATATGAGCTTAGTCAGGTTTTCTCCTAATAAAAGGAAAATTTTGTGCATTACTAAAAAAGTACAAAATGGCATATTTATACCTAATTCTAGAGACTCAGAAGGATATCCAGGAGAGCCAAAGTCATCAAAGTTCTTAGGGCAAGATAGAGCAGTAATAATGTTATCTTAATCTATTTTGTACTGTTATACTAGCATACCACAAACTGTGTCATTTTTAAGTGATAGGAGCTTATTTAATTTGGTTCTGGAGGCTAGAAAGTCTGAGATCAAGGATCCTCATCTGGTGGGGGCCTTTTTGCTGGGCCATAACATGGTAGAAGACATCACGTGATGAAAGAGAGCAAGTGGAAGGGGGCTGAACTCATCCTTTTCTCAGGAATCCATGCCTGCCTTTTAATTAAGATGTTCAGACTATTTACATTTAATCCTGTTTTCTTTTTGGGTTAGATTTAAATCTATCATATTGCTACCTGTTTTTTTTTTTTCTCAGCCATATCTGATTTTTGTTCTGTTTTCTCATTGTGGGTCTTATTTTCAATTCTTTGATTTTTAAAAATGATTGTAATGTATTTTCTTTGTTAAATTATTGGTAATAACTTTTTGTTATGTTATGTTAGTGGTTACTTTGTGTTTATAGTATTCATCATTAACTTAGTCTACCTTCATGTGATATTACACCATTTTATTTACAGTACAAAAAATTATTATGTGCTTCCCTTTATCTCTCATAGTCTTTCTTTTATTACTATCTTATAATTTTGCTTATGTTAAATAGTATATGCTACATTATTTTGCTTACGTATAATATACGGTTATCATTTTGTATAAAAGGTAACTTACCCATTAAAGAAATCTTAAAGTTAAAAATTCTGTCAATCCAAAGGCAGAGGCTGCCACATTGCAACCAAATACAAAATTTATCTATATAACACCTATATAAAACACCTTTTAATATAATAAAACTAAATTGTCTTAAGAAAAGGAAAGAAAAACAATAAATTCAGCTATGATAGTCAGAATAATGACCCATGAGAGATGCCCACATCTTAATTTCCAGAATCTGTAAATACGTGACATTACTCGGTGAAATATACTTAGCACATGTAGCCAAAGTTATATACCTTGAAATAAGGATAGTATTACAGAATGCACAGGTGGACTCAACCTAATCACATATGCCCTACTAATAGATATCTTTCCATAGCAGAAGTAGAGGAGATGTTGCAGGAAAATAAGTGTGGTACATGTGGCAGAAGAGGAAGTCAGAGAAATGCCAGCCTTGAAAACTATTTTGAACATCATTTCTGTCTCTGAAATGTAGAAGGTCATGGTGCAAGAATAATCCAGAGACTTGTAGGAGGAAAAGTTGATCACCAGGTAAAAGCTGGAATGGAAATGTGGATTTTAGTTCTATTACTACAATGATATAATTTAGTTCAGTCAACCCGAGGAGCAAAGAAAGAGATTATTCCCAGAGCTTGCTCATAAGAGAACACCCTGCTGACACTCATATTTAGACTTGTGATATCCAGAGCAGAGCGCCAATATGGGATCCCAAAGTTTTCTTTAAGTTGTGTTGTTTTTAAATGGCTAAATTTACATTAACTTGTTAGGGCAAAAACAGACAATTAATACATAAGCAAGGTAATTTGCCATTTTAAACTACTATAGAAAATCATACAATCATGTCAATAGATGCCTAAAAATAATTTGACAAGATCTAACATCTATTCTAGGAAAAAAAAATCATTAGCGATCTAGAGGAAAATTTTCTCAACCTAACAATGGGTATCTATGAAAAAACATATAGCTCATATTCTACTTGTTAACTATTGAACAGTTTCTCTCCTACAATTAAGAAAACTATGTAAATATCTGACATGTATTAAATTACATCTTACAGGATATAAGGTAAGAAACACAATAAGGTAAGAAAAAGGAAAGTCACTCAAATTGGAAAGAAGAGGCAAAACTCTATTTATTTGCAGACACCATGATTGTCTATATGAAATAAATGATAGAATCTACTAGCAATAATAGAACTAATTAATGAATTTTACAGTGCTGCAGAATTCAAAATCCATATTCTGCAAAGAAGACATACAAATGGGCAACTGGTGTATGAAAATGTGCTCAGCAACACTAATCAGGGAAATCCTGATTCAAGCCACAATGAGATACCATCTTATACTTGATAGAATAGCTATTTTTTTTTTTT
This sequence comes from Homo sapiens, assembly GCF_000001405.40. Classification (NCBI taxonomy): domain Eukaryota; kingdom Metazoa; phylum Chordata; class Mammalia; order Primates; family Hominidae; genus Homo; species Homo sapiens. Next base: position 29,598,256 of record NC_000004.12, on the reverse strand, counting down.
AAAAAAATGTAAGTGTTGGCAAAGGTAAGTGTTGGCAAGGATGTGGAGAAACTAGAACCATTGTTGATTGTTGGCTGGAATGTAAAATGGTGTAGCCATTATTCAAAGCATTATGGAAAAATAGAACTACCATGTGATCTACCAATCCAAATTAATTATATAATTATATAATACAGATTATGCAACCAGAATAATTGAATCAGGGACTCAAACGGATATCTGCACCCCTATGTTTATTGCAGCATTATTCTATAGCCAAAATACGGGAACAACCCAAATATTCATCCATGAATGAATGGATACCGACAATGTGATTATATACATACAATGGAATATGGTTAGCCTAAAAAAGAAGAATATACAGATATTTCGGAGAACTATGAAGAACCTGGAGGACACTGTGCTAAGTAAAATAAGCCAGTTACAAAAGAACAAGTAATGCATGATTTCACCTATATAAGGTATCTAATATATTATGGGATCAGAGAGTAGAAAGGTGGTTACCAGGGACTAGAGGGAGGGAAATGGAGAGTTGATGTTTAGTAGGTATACATTTTATACTCATTCGTGGAAGACAAATACGTATTAGAGATCTGCCATACAAATTAGTGTCAACAGCTAACAATACTGTATTGTACATTGAAAATACTGTGAAGAGAGTAAATCTCAAATGTTCACACTTCTTATTACCTTGGTTATGATGATGCTTTAACAGGTGTATGGATATATTCAGACCCATTGAATTGCATGCACTAAATATATGCAGTTTTTTAATCTATAAATTGCACCTCGATAATGCTGTAATTTCACTCATATGTAAAGATCTTGTGAACATAGTAAGTAGAATGGTTACCAGAGACTGGGAAGGGTAGTGAAGAGGGTAGATGAGGAGGGCCTGGTTAATGCAAAGAAACACACAGATCAGAGGAATAAGATTTAGTGTTTGTAGCATAATATTTCAACCCCAATTTATTATGTATTTCAAAATAGCTAGAAGATTTGGAATGTTCCCTACCCAAAGAAATGATAAATGTTTGAGTTCATGTTTTTCCCAGATATCCTTATTTGACTATTACACATCATATGCTTATATTAAAATATCACATGTACCCCATAAATATGTACAGCCATGATGTATCTATAAATTTTTAAAAAAATAAAAAGTAGGTCAATACTTCAGAATTTAGAGTTGAGAAACATACCTATACATTTCTGACAATTTTTCTTTCTGATAAAATTGCCAGGGTCATTCAGTGAAGAAAGTGTAGTTTAAAAAAAAATGGTATTAAAGAGCTGTTATCTGTATGCCACTGATGAATTCAGTTTTAAACAATATGTCATATTTTTAAAAATGGGTACAACTGGGTGATAGACTTGAAAGTAAAATCTAAAACTTTAAAAGGTATAGAAGATAAGTTTGGGGAAAATCCTTGTGACTTTGATTTAGAAAGAGATATTTAGAGATGACAACAAAAGCATAATCCATAAAAGAACAAATTGATAAATGATATTTCATAAAAATTAGCAACTTCTGATTTCCAATAGACACTAAGAAGGGAGTAAATAGACAACCCTTAACCTGGAGAAATGGATTTGCAACTCACTTAACTGCAAAATGACTTGTATTCATAATATACAAAAACTTCTCAAAACCCAATAATAAAAATGCAAGCAAACTGTTAAAATTTTTTGAACATACACTTCGTGAGTAAAGTTTGCGTGGATAAGATAAACATGAAAATTCTTATCATTATTCGGTATTAGAAGAATGCAAGTTAAAACACAATGAGATACTTGTTACACCTTAAGTAGCATTGCTAACGTTAAAAAGACTAGTCATCCTAAATGTAGGTGAGGGAGCATAGAAACTGCAACTCCCAGGCACTGTCAGTAGGAATTTAAATAAAGCAATCCCTTGGAAAAAAGTGCACAACAGTTTCTCAAAAGGTTAACTCTACGCTTCCAATAGGATCTAACCTTTCTACTCACAGGTATTTAGTCAAGAGGAATAAAAGCATATGTTCATAGAAAAACTTGTAATCAAATATTTGTAGCATGTTTATTTATAAAAACTTAAAACTAGAAACATACAAATGTTCATTAACAAAAAATTGATACTGGGTGGTGGCTGGCAAGATGGCCAAATAGGAACAGCTCCAGTCTGCAACTCCCAGTGAGATCAATGCAGAAGGCAGGTGATTTCTGCATTTCCAACTGAGATATCCAGCTCAACTAATTGGGACTGGTTATACAGTGGGTGCAGCCCACAGAGGGCAAGCCGAAGCACGGTGGGGGGTCACCTCACCTGGGAAGTGCATGGAGTCGGGAAACTCCCTCCCCTAGCCAATGGAAGCCAAAGGAAGCCATGAGGGATGGTGCACTCCGGCCCAGATACTCTGCTTTTCCAGTGGTCTTCGCAACCTGCAGACCAAGAGAATCCCTAGGGTGCCTATGCCACCAGGATCCTGAGTTTCAAGCACACAGCTGGATGGCCATTTGGGCAGACACCAAACTAGCTGCAGGAGTTTTTTTCATACCCCAGTGGCACCTGGAATGCCAGAGAGACAGAACCATTGACTCCCCTGGAAAGGGGACTGAAGCCAGGGAGCCAAGTGCTGTAGCCCAGCAGATCTCACCCTCATGGAGTCCAGCAAGGTAAAACCCACTGGCTTAAAATTCTCGCTGCCAGCATGGCAGTCTGAAGTTAACCTGGGAAGCTCCACCATGGTGGGGGGCAGGGCATCCACCATTACTGAGACTTGAGTAGGCGGTTATCCTGGAAGTTCGAACTGGGCAGAGCCCACGACAGTGCTGCAAACTTGCTGTAGCCAGACTGCCTCTCTAGATTCCTCCTCTCTGGGCAAGTCAGCTCTAAAAGAAAGGCAGCAGCCCCAGTAAGGGGCTTATAGGCAAAACTCCCATCTCCCTGAGACAGAGCACCTGGGGGAAGGGATGACTGTGGGCACAGCTTCAGCCAACTTAAATGTCCCTGCCTGCCAGCTCTGAAGAGAGCAGCAGATTTCCCCACACAGTGCTCAAGCTCTGCTAGGGGACAGACTGCCTCCTCAAGTGGGTCCCTGACCACTGTGCCTCCTGACTGGGAGACATCTCCAAGCAGGGTTCTACAGACACTTCATACAGGAGAGCTCCAGCTGGCATCTGGCAGGTGCCCCTCTGTGACAAAGCTTCCAGAGGAAGGAACAGGCAGCAATCTTTGCTGTTCTGCCGCCTCTGCTGGTGATACCCAGGCAACCAGGGTCTGAAGTGGACCTCCAGGAAATTCCAGCAGACCTGCAGCAGAGGGGCCTCACTGTTAGAAAGAAAACTAACAAACAGAAAGAATGCTATCAACATCAACAAAAAGGACTTCCACACAAAAACCCCATGCAAAGATCATGAACATCAAAGACCAAAGGTAGTTAAATCCATGAAGATGAGAAAAAAAAAAAAAAAAAAAAAAACAGCACAAAAAGGCTGAAAATTCCAAAAACCAGGACACTTCTTCTCCTCCAAAGGATCACAACTCCTTGTCAGCAAGGAAACAAAACAGGGTGGAGAATGAGTTTGATGAATTGTCAGAAGTAGGTTTCAGAAGGTGGGTAATAACAAACTCCTCCAAACTAAAGAAGCATGCTCTAACCCAATGCAAGAAAGCTAAGAACCTTGAAAAAAAAGTTAGAAGAACTGCTAATTGGAACAACCAGTTTAGAGAAGAATATAAATGACCAGATGGAGCTGAAAAACACAACATGAGAAGTTCATGAAGCATACACAAGTATCAGTAGTCAAATTGATCAAGCAGAAGAAAGGATATCAAAGATTGAAGATCAACTTAATGAAATAAAGCATGAAGACAAGATTATAGTAAAAAATAATGAAAAGGAATGAACAAACCTCCAAGAAATATGGGACTATGTGAAAAGATCAAACCTACGTTTGATTGGTGTACCTGAAAGTGATGGGGAGAAAGGAGCCAAGTTGGAAAACACTCTTGAGGATATTATCCAAGAGAACTTCCCCAACCTAGAAAGAGAGGCCAACATTCAAATTCAGGAAATACAGAGAACACCACAAAGATACTCCTCAAGAAGAGCAATCCCAAGACACATAATCATCAGATTCAACAAGGTTGAAACGAAGGAAAAAGTGTTAAGGGAAGCCAGAGAGAAAGGTCCAGTTACCCACAAAGGGAAGCCCATCAGACTAACAGCAGATCTCTCTGCAGAAAACCTGCAAGCCAGAAGAGAGTGGGGGCCCATTGCTGAATATTTTCAACATTCTTAAAGAAAAGAATTTTCAACCCAGAACTTCATATCCAGCCAAACTAAGCTTCAAAATCAAAGGAGAAATAAAATCCTTTACAGACAAGGGAATGCTGAGAGATTTTGTCAGCACCAGGCCTGCCTTACAAGAGCTCCCGAAGGAAGCACTAAATATGGAAAGGAACAACTGGTACCAGCCACTGCAAAAACATACCAAATTGTAAAGACCATTGACACTATGAAGAAACTGCATCAACTAATGGGTAAAATAACCAGCTAGCATCATAATGACAGGATCAAATTCACACATAACAATATTAACCTTAAATGTAAAAGGGCTAAATGTCCCAATTAAAAGTCACAGACTGGCAAATTGGATAAAGAGTCAAGACCCGTTGGTGTGCTGTATTCAGGAGACCTATCTCACATGCAAAGACACAGATGGGCTCAAATTAATGGGATGGAGGAAGATTTACCAAACAAATGGAAGCAAAAGAAATAAAAAAAGAAAGAAAAAGAAAAGCAGGGATTGCAATCCTAGTCTCTGATAAAACATACTTTAAACCAGGAAAGATTACAAAAGACAAACAAGGGCATTACATAATGGTAAAGGGATCAATGCCACAAGAAGAGCTGACTATCCTAAATATACATGCACCCAGTTCAGGAGCACCCAGATTCATAAAGCAAGCTCTTAGAGACCTACAAAGAGACTTAGACTCCCACCCTACAATAGTGGGAGACTCTAAGACCCCACTGTCAATATTAGACAGATCAACAAGACAGAAAATTTGTAAGGATATTCAGGACTTGAACTCAACTCTGGACCAGGTGGATTAAATCCAGAATATATAGGGAACTCAAACAATTAATTCACAAACAAACAACACAGTTAAAAAGAGGGCAAACAATATCAACAGACGTTTCTCAAAAAAAGACATACAAGTGGCCAACAAGCATATGCAAAAATGCTCAACATCACTAATCATCAGAGAAATGCAAAACCACAATGATATCAAGTTACACCAAACAGAATGTCTATTATAAAAAAGTCAAAAAACACACAAACAAACAAACAGATGTTGGCATAGATGTGGAGGAAAGGAAGCACTTATATATTATTGGTGGGAATGTAAACCTCTATAGAAAACAGTATGGAGATTTCTCAGAGAACTTAAAGTAGATCTACCATTTGATTCAGCAATCGCTTCACTGGGTATCTACTCAATGGAAAATAATTATATACAAAAGACACTTGTGCTTGTACATTTATTGCAGCACTATTCACGAGAGTAAACTTATGGAATCAACCAATGTGTCCATCAATGGTTGAATGGATAAAGAAAATGTGGTGTGTATTCACCATGTAATAATATGCAGCCATAAAAATGAATGAAATCTTGTCCTTGGTGGCAATGTGGATGGAGCTGGAGGTCATTATTCTTATTTTAAGTTAAACAACTCAGAAATAGAAATTCAAATGCCACATGTTCTCCTTATATGTTGGAGCTAAACTTGAGCACCCACACACATAAACATGGGAACAACAGACACTGGAGATTCTGAAAGTGAGGAGGATAAGAGAGGAAAGAGGGTTAAAAATTACCTATTGGATACAATATTTACTATTTGGGTGATGGGTACACTAAAAGCCCAATCCCCACCATTATGCAATATATCCATATAACAAACATGCACAGGTACACACTGAATCTAAAATAAAATTAAATTTATAAAACAACTAAACACAAAAAAGCAGCAAAGAGTATGTTAAATGATGAATCAATTATATGAAAATATTTTGTTGTTTTTCTTGTGTTGCAATTGTCAATAAGGACATATTAGTAGAATTATATCCCCTCATTCTTATTTATATGTTTGTGTATGTTTGTGAGCATAGGTACTCATAGCAAGTACTCATCAAGACATCTACTTGTCAGTATTTCCTAGTTAAGAGATTTAGGTAGATTGATTTATTGATTTGTAATACATAATGCTGAATAGTGTTTTGCAGTCAAGTGTGAATTTTAAAGAATGGTTGTTAATCGCTCAATACCACATAAATAAAAAGGATCCAATTAAGTTTCTCAGGAAGTCATTACTTGATATACAAGTAGATAAACATCCAACAAATATTTACCCATGTGAAATCTTCTGCCAGGCGTTGTTCTAGATAATGGGGATAGTGAACAAACCAGAGGCCATCAAGCTTTCATTCCAGTGGGGAGAGATAGATAATAACTTACATATGTTTAAAGTGCGTGCGAATAAGACCTTGTGTGTGTATCCAGGTAATGGTAAGGGCACTATGAAGGAAACTCAGGAAAATGAGATATCTGAGAAACAGCATTCTGGAAGAAGGAAACAGACAATGTAAAGGTTCTGAATCAGAGAATGTTTTGTCATATTTTGGTAACAACTTCAAATACCTTTTCATCTTGGGGTCTTCTTATGTCATGAAACTACCTCCTTTATACAGGATGGCACTGTCAGTGAGATATTTGCCTTTAACCTGCCTACACTAGATTAGGAGTCATATAGATGTAGATAACTTGGGAAGACCTGCAGTGTTTTCCAGTGTTTTTCTCTCTGGACTTTAAGCTTCCTGAGAGCAGTAGCATCCGTGGTGCCTAATCACAATCTGGAAAGGGATGTGCTGATTTTTTTACCTGAATGGATAGATAGAAGGATAGTATTCTTCCTTGTCAAATATCTCTTCAGAATTATCAACCCTAAAATCCTTACCATTGAGGAAAACACCAAAAAAGTAAATGACCTTGCAGGAATGAGAAAAAGTATATCTTCTACAGCAGGAGTGCCTGAACCCCAGGTCATAGACCAGAAGTGGTCTGCAGTCTGTTAGAAAATGGGCTGAATAGCAGGAGGTGAGCAGCAGGCAAGAGAGCAAAGCTTCATTGGTATTTACAGCTGCCCCCCATCACTTGCACTACCACCTGAGCTCCTCCTCCTGTCAGATCAGTGGCCTGAGCTCTGCCGCCTGTCAGTTCAGTGACCTGAGCTCCACCTCCTGTCAGATCAGTGGCCACATTAGATTCACACAGCAGTGAGAACCCTACCTTGAACTGTGCATGTGAGGGATCTAGGTTGAGCACTCCTTATGAAAATCTAATTCCTGATGATCTGCTACTGTAGCCCATCACCCCAAGATGGGACTGTCTAGTTGCAGGAAAACAAACTCAGGGCTCCCACAGATTCTACATTATGGTGAGTTGAATAATTATTTCATTATATATTATAATATAAAAGTAATAGAAATAAAGTGCACAACAGATGTAATGTGCATGAATCATCCCAAAAGCATCCCTCACCAATCCTAGTCTGTGGAAAAATTGTCTTCCACAAAACCAGTCTGTGGTGCCAAAAAGTTTGGAAACTTTTGTTCTGTGGCATTATTACCAGCTTGATAAAATGCTGAAGTTCTCCCTTATTTATTCTAAAATCTGATACACATGATGGTTGAGTAGTAATCATTGAATTTACCCAAATGTTCATGGTAAGGTGCTTGGAAGGGTGATAAAGTAATTCATCATTTGCAGAATTCCACCCCTTTCTCTGTCATGTGTACCCTTGTCCTTCCCACTGCCACATGTTTCAGTGCCAGACTGATCATCATTATCATATCAGCATTGTTGCTTGTCACTGTTAAGCGTAACCACAACTTTCACACTACCCATGACACTGCAGTTTATAAGTACCTGGAAAATCTGTAGTCATGCCAAACATTGTACACACAAAAGAAGGTAAGACAGCTTCAAATTATCTTCCAGATAATTTGTTCTTTTAGTGATCTTTCTAATCCTCTGCTTAGATTTATGGGAAAGCATTCATCAATCAAATTGGCAATGCTTTTAGTCACATTCATGGGAAAAGGTGGTTGAATTTAATCAACAAATGAACATGTTTTACTCCTGTATATATAACTATAAGCCCCCTTGCAGTTTTAATGGCTTACTTCACACATTTTCAGAAGACTATCATTAGTTATCCAAATGCATTTGATCTCTGCCATCTACTTATTCCACACTCAAATACACAATTTGTTTTGATAGCCTCTCAACTTCTATTATCTTTTTTCCTTCAGAGTGAAATGCATTTTTCTTTTCCAGTCTTGTGGTGCTAGGCATAGTGTAGATCAGAAAACACGGCAATTTCTCGTTTTCTTAAAGGAAGTCTTACATTAAAAACAATAGCAACAAAAATAAAAAACCTCATAGTGTAAATGGTATCTAAATACAAGTGGTTTCTCTATTGCGAGATTTTATGCAAAATAAATTTAAGCCAGAGCTATTTTATGTGCTAGAGAAATGCCACATTCTTGCAACTGCCACCAAGGTGCAAAATAAGTGAATAATATTCTATATTATTATTCTAAACTCACATCCCAATATTGGTATCATTAAAATAAACAGGACACCACACCTGGCCTGCTTGATCCTCACACAAATGATAAATAGCTAAGCCTCTGCCAAATCCCTTAGATACAGAGTTTCTACATTCTGTGTCTTTGACTAAAGGGAAATAATAGTTAAGAAAATCCAATTGGCAGCAGCAATCAAGTAGTCTACTATTTGAAGACAGTTCTAAGTAGCAGCTGTACCAGTATTGGCATAGTAAGCTTCTGGAAGATCCTTGTGAATCCGTCTTTTTATTTCAAGTGTTAACAGACAACAACATTCAAATGCATTTGGATAACTAATGATAGTCTTCTGAAAATGTGTGAAGTAAGCCATTAAGACTGCAAGGGGGCTTATAGTTAGATATACAGGAGTAAAACATGTGCATTTGTTGATTAAATTCAACCACCTTTTCCCCTGAATATGACTAAAAGCATTGCCAATTTGATTGATGAATGCTTTCCCATAAATCTAAGCAGAGGATTAGAAAGATCACTAAAAGAACAAAATGCAATATGACTGGTGCTTGGATACCAAGATGTAGAAGACAAATAATCACAGGATACATATGTTAGTTCCATTTCAAAATTTCAAGTAGTACATTTCAATAATGGACCGCATTAGTTTTGGCATAAACAGAAAATGACCATGTGTTTGTAATTGGGGCAGCCCGATTTATATTGGTGACCAGAGTATTGCTCACATTTTTATTTTGTCATGCAAGGATAAAACAACAATGTTCTGATTCAAAATATTTCTATTGCTGAGAGTTGGTGGGGATGATGACACATAGAGTCAACATCCCAGCACCATCAGTAGCAAAGGCTTCTGTTCCAGCCCAAATTTCTCCTGCGGGAATATAATGAATACACCATTTTTTTGTTTGCCATTTTATGTAAACCATTTAAAAGAAGGAAACTAAAATGTAAACAACTATTTTGACTTTACTATGGCTGTTCTATTTCCTTTAAATCTGTTAGTCTACATACTTATAATTAAGATTTATGGATTTATAAAAAATGACGGCAACATAATTTTACATTTTCACTAAACAATTTGCTGCTTGTGAATTATTCTAATGACTTAACAGTAACCAAAGGAACACTTTATTCCAAACAAATCAACATCCTTTACATCTATTAGTTAACAATAACTGTTATTAGTATTATTACTTTATTAGTAATACAGTTAATATTATGAACTATGCTCCATTCTAAAAACCAGTAATTTATAAGTATAACTATAAATATATATTTTCAGTTTTTATAATACATTTAACTCATATAACAGGTATACTAACCATAAATTTTTGAAATGCTTATTTGACTTATTTCATGCAGGTGCCCATGACATGTTCTTTTTGACTGAGATCCAATTAGAACTTATCTGTATGGTGAAGACAAAAAAGCATGAAATGAATATATAAATCATTTAGATTGAAACTTTACTTCCTAGCACTTCCCACTTAAAAACTTTATCCATTTTGTAGAAAGTATAAACTGTATTAATAAGGGTTTTCAAGATTTAGTTATTTCTTTACGGTATATGTTAGGCATGGTTGAAAGGAAATCCTGATAACATTTAAAACTCTTCCTGTTAAATTCTTAAATAATACATTCCTTCCATGTTTTGTAATTTTGTTTTGTGAATGAACACCTATTGAATTCAGTTAAATAATATATAATATCTATTAAAATATAGTGGTGATATCTGCCCACGATAAAGACAAGTTTATCAGTGCATAGCTCCTCACGTATTTCAGAGAAATTGGTAATAATATTGAAAATCAAACAGCCCTAATTATTTAGCTATAATAATTAATAATTATATTAATAAATCATTTACACTGTCTGGAGGTAATGAAATCTAATTACTGTTGGACATCTCAAAAGCTGTTGGCTGTAAATTTTATCACCTGAATAGCTCATGTTTTATAAATATATTTAGAATTTTAGACATAATAATTTTTAAATGTCTCTATTCATGTATTGATGTAGCTTCTCCGTATTTTCTATGTCTAAAATCTGAACCTGCTTTAAAACTTGTATTTCAAGAATTATGTTTTAGGAAGTATACAGATACAGAACTATGGAAAAGTTGTCCTTTTAGTATTAATAGAAAACCACTTAATCATTATATTACAAAGATAAATATATATGTATATTTACAATTTTGCCAGTATTTTCACCTGCTGTTATATTTATTATTTCATTACAATTTGCCTTCCATCTTATGCAAATTTACCTCTATTTCTTTGTCTTCTTCTTTTCTTTCTTAAGCATTTTCATTCCTATAGAGTAAGTAAACTAACAAATAACTTCTATAGTTATTGAATATATCCTCTTTAACTTTCTCTCTGTTCTTCCTCCTTTCATTCTCTGTTCTTTCTACACAGGGACTGATTTCAAATTATTGCCTCTGAACTCCAAATTTACTCTTCATTGTCTGCTCTGTGAAAATGGAGCTTGACTCTATTAATATTCGTCCTTTGCCAGCTAGCAGGATGTTACTCTTTGTAGTAGAAAGCACTAGAGAGACATTTCGAGGGGTTTCTCTTACTTTTTTCAGTCTACTCAGATTTCCCACTTCTGCAATGCACATAGTTCCTCTGACATCTGGCTTCTGCAGTGTGAGCAGTTTTTCTGGGGCCAGGCTTTCAACACCTGCTTAAACAGATATTTGGCTTTATTTACTTATTCACTTAATGTTTAATTTTTTTTTAACATTTAAGAGAGAAATGTAATATTTATTTAGTTTTCTTAGTTATGAGTGGATTTTCATGGCTAAACATGACAAGTAAATGTGTAAGATGAATTAACTGTCATAAGTTTCCATGTTTATAATTAGGAATTAATTTTCCTGTACACTTCAGGGCTTTAAAAGATATCAGTTGATTTTTTTTGGTATGATTATTATACTTTAAGTTCTGGGTTACATGCGTACAATGCGTAGGCTTGTTATACAGGTATACGTGTGCCATGTTGGTTTGCGGCCCCCATCAACTCATCATTTACATTAGGTATTTCTCCTAATGCTATCCGTCCCCCAGCCCCCCCACCCCCTGACAAGCCCCAGTGTGTGATGTTCCTCTCCCTGTGTCCATGTGTTCTCATTGTTCAACTCCCACTTATGAGTAAGAGCATGCAGTATTTCGTTTTCTGTCCTTGTGATAGTTTGCTGAGAATGATGGTTTCCAGCTTCATCCATGTCCCTGCAAAGGACATGAATTCATCCTTTTTTATGGCTGCATGGTATTCCACGGTGTATATGTGCCACATTGTCTTTATCCAGTCTATTATTGATGGACATTTGGGTTGGTTCCAAGTGTTTGCTATTGTGAATAGTGCCAAAGTAGACAAATGGGATCTAATTAAACTAAAGAGCTTATGCACAGCAAAAGAAACTATCAATAGAGTGAACAGGCTACCTACAAAATAGGAGAAAATTTTTGCAATCTATCCATCTGACAAAGGGCTAATATCCAGAATCTACAAAGAACTTAAACAAGTTTACAAGAAAAAAACCAACAACCCCATCAAAACGTGGGCAAAGGATATGAACATGCACTTCTCAAAAGAAGACATTTATGTAGCCAACAGACATGAAAAAATGCTCATCATCACTGGTCATCAGAGAAATGCAAATCAAAATCACAATCAGATACCATCTCATGCCAGTTAGAATGGCAATCATTAAAAAGTCAGGAAACAACAGATGCTGGAAAGGATGTGGAGAAATAGGTACGCTTGTACACTGTTTGTCAGAGTATAAATTAGTTCAACCATTGTAGAAGACAGTGTGGTGATTCCTCAAGGATCTAGAACTAGAAACATCATTTGACCCAGCAGTCCTGTTACTGGGTATATATCCAAAGGATTATAAATCATGCTACTATAAAGACACTTGCATGTGTATGTTTATTAATTTTTATTTAATGTCCAGAATGCAATGGATAATGCTAAAGGATACATGCACCAACTATATTTAACATAAGATCGAAAAGTTCAGGGATGTATCACAGAGAATTCCAGAGTAACACAACTTAGTTCAGGAAAAAAAAAACGAATAGAAAATAATTAATACTATTTTATATTTTGCCTAAATGAAAACTCCTTCTAAAGGACACACACAAGTGGATGGAAGGAAAGGGCATTGTACACGAATTTTAAAATAAAGCAAAAAGAGAAATTTATACTATGTATCAAATCGTCATCACTTTATACTTTAGACTCCCCATAGAGAACAAATTGTGCTTCTTCATAAAATAGAATAAAGCTAGATCTTTATCACCAAAGACAGGTGTTAAAGTTAAAACACAAACATTATAGTCGGCATTGGAATATTATATATTGCATCTACAAATTAAACAAACAACAAAATAGACAATTTTGTGATCACTAAATTACTAAAACATATTCTACATATAGTAATTTTGCTTCATTTTAATTTATATAGTCAATATTTTATTTAAGCCTTAAATTCTCCAAAACTCACAAAAGAAGCACCTCTCAAAAGAAAAAAATAGTAGGTGCTTTGCTATCTTTCGACTTCTAAATAGATATACAGAACTGAGACACATTGGAAAAAAATCGAAGTTATTTCCAACTATACTTATGATAGCAGCAGCCTTTCATATCCTATCGCACATCCTTGACTTCTAGACTTCTGTATTTTAATAGAATTCCCTTCCCCTCCATTACTTCAGCCAATAAATATTTGTTAAATGTTTATTATGTATCTGGCAGTGTCATATTCCGGATAGTGAAAAATGGATAAAATAAACTCTACATATTATTTTCTTTTGAGAAATTCACAGTCTAACGAGGGAATCTCCCTGAATTAAGGCAATGTTCCCTAGAGAAATCTCCCACATTGAAAATAGAAATAAAAGGCCTTCCAGATAGAGCAGATAGAGGAAATTGTACGTGAATGCATTGGAGGTTACAGAAAGACAAATAAAAACAATACATTGTGACATGTGAAAATAATGAGTAGTTTGTGATCCTCAAGAGATGAAGGAAGACCTATGGAAAATTTCTTTGAAAAAGTTAGCCGAGGTAGATTTTGAAGGGCTTTTTGTCATGTGTAACTAAGAAGTTAGAACATAACCCTGTGACTACAAGCCCTAATTTTTATAGTTATTATGCTAACTTTTAGAATGTCATTATTATGTAACAATCTATTACAGGTAAATATTGAGATTAATAGAAAAAATACTAGTTTTATAATGTTTAAGTATTTTTGTAAGCATATAAGCAATCTGAGTATAATGCAAACTGACAATGGCTTATGTTTTTAATTTGTGGTAAAAGCCCATTAGTTTTAGTCAAGTAAGTATTTGTGATATAATGTCTACATACAGTAAAAACTCAAAGGAGAGAAACCATAAAATAGACATGTGAGCTACTTCTTGCTGAAAATAACTTTTAAAAAATAGGATAAAGGGATAAAATAACCCTTATGTTACCTTACAGATGATGAAGTAGTTCTTGTACACCCTTAATCCTCTCTCAATCAGTGTCTTGAATTTAGTAGAACAATTTGAGAAAGTTTATGCTGGGACTTAACCTACATCTAATCATCAGTTCACCTTATCAAATGCCTAATAAATTACTTCAGTGCATATTTGAGACTCCAAGTCTCAGTGCAGAATTGTCAAATGCTAATTATTATTTTGTCCCTATCACACAGAGACAAGTATTCTTCAAAGAGGAAAACTTTCAGGGAAATAGATATAATCCATTTCTATAATAGTTGAGAAAAGCTAATGCAACCATTCTCTTTTTAGTTATTTTTTGTTTCTAGGCTAGACAGTAAAATTTTGTACTGTTCAAATCATGCAACTAAAATATGGAATATGTTTTCATAAAAAAAGATACTGTTTTTTTCAATGTTATTCAACAAATTGATATTGAGCACTAACATTAAACTACTATATTTAGCAGTAGGAAATAGATAAATATATGGATAGAAGGGTGTCTGCCTTGCAGGGACTTACAGCTAGTAAGAGATCTTCAAGGGTTGATTATAAATTTTGTATAGTCCTTAATGGAATAGTTAACCTGTAAAGCAAACTGATATGGTTTGCCTCTGTGCCCCTATATAAATCTCATGTTGAATTGCAATTCCTGATTTTGGAGGTGGGGTCTGGTGGAAGGTGATTGAATCATGGGGGTGGTTTCTAATGGTTTAGCGCCATTCCCCAAGTGCTGTCTTGTGATAGAGTTCTCATGAGATCTGGTTGGTTGAAAGTGTGTGGTACCTCTCCTGCCACTCTCTCTCTCTCCTACTGGTCAGGGAAGATTTACCTGCTTCCCCTTGCCATCTGCTGTGATTGTAAGTTCCCTGAGCCCTCCCCAGAAGCAGAAGCCTGAACAGCCCACAGAACCGTGAGCTGACTAAACCTCTTTTCTTTATAAATTACCCAGTCTCTGGTAGTTCTTTATAAAAGTGTGAGAACGAACTAATATATGTACCTTGAAGCTTGGAAAAATAAATGAAGATAACTGTTTGAACCATGTCATGGATTTGAAAATACCGAATGGTATAAAATAAAAGACTGGAACTTTGACGTTGTAATAATCTAATAAATGAAAGCAACTTTGCTCAGTAGAATAAAATTTAAAAAGATCTACCAAAGGCCCTTGTGGTGAAAGTTATAATAATCCAATGCTTCATAAACATTGATATACAACAGTTTGAAGATAAATAAGAATATAGAAACCGTGACGGTAGATTGAGCTACATGGGTGACATGGATCTACGTAATATTTCAAGAATTACTTAGGATAGGCCCAAAGACTGTGGCCATGAGAACTGAGAGCATGAACGATATGACAAATATTTTAAGGAAAGATTCATGATAACTTAAAGACTACCTGACTGTTTCAGAAAAGGAGATGTCAAGAAATCTGACACATTTTGTCTGAGCATAAATAAAGTTAGCAAATTGAGAATAGAAAAATGTGGAATGGCCCCATTTGTAGTAATTTTTGAAAATACACCAGATAATTAAATTATTTAATTAAGAATGGTTTTCACCAAGAGGGTGAAATGTTACAAAATCCCGAGGAACAGAATATTTTAATAAAGTCAACAGTGACAATTTTGGAATGGATATTTTCTCTTATATATTACAAAGAATAAAAAATGTGAATTTTATATTTGTTAACTGAAATAGTTTATGTAACTTGGAAATTAACTTCTTCTGTACATTAATAGCTAAATAGTCCAAATTGTTTGCCTATGTGGAATTATAACTGAAATGTTTCTATTAAATCAATGTTCATATGTGTTTACTTGTCTCATACTGCCATATCCCTGGCATTTGCATTGACAGGTATTCCATAAACACATGTTAAGTTCATGAAAGAAAAAATGAAGTTTTAAAGTTGCAAGTTAGTTTCTCTAATATGTCCCATGGACTTGGGTTCCTTAACTGTGAAGCAAAATATTATTCTGTTTTTTTGACCCTCATTTAGAAGATCAATATAATTTCCTCTCATCAATATGTTTAGAAAGATAAAAAATCTTTGAATTATGAATATGTAAAACAATCCCAATTACACTGATGTTTAAATCAGTACACTTGTGCCATCAGTAGTCTGGAAAAGGAGGAGGAATAGCAAGAGAAGGAGGAACAGAAGGAGAGGCAGCAGAGATGGGTGCAAGAAACATTCAGGAGACAAAGACAGAGGTAAAGAAACAGCAGCAGCAGCAGCCATAGCCAGTTGACATCATATCTGTGTTCAATGAAAAGGACATTCACATAAGAATGGACTCAAGATTGAGGGCAGGAAGTGAACTTATAGGAGAATGTGCCCACTTGCGATGTGTGAATATCCTGCCTGTTTCCTTTGACTGTGGCCACAGTCCAGACTCTTTTTGGATATCTGGTACTGGCTAGACTCCCAGGATTGGATCCCAGCCCAGGTCTATCTTGTTGGTCGGTGGAATACTCCTCTGAGAGATTTTATTTGGAAGTAGGAAAACTTCAGTGAGTATCACAGCAGTTAGATTTTCAAGTATGGTCAGCAGAGTATGCAGTTAGAAAACTGTACTTCTCAAAATTTTTCCTAGAGTGAGAAAGTGACTGCCAGAAGTTCCACTGTCTAGAATTTGCAGTTGGAGTTGAAATGAGGAATACACAGAACCATCACAGAAAACAGTAAGTTGCAGTTCTGCTCATATTATCTAAAAAAAAAAAAAAAAAAAAGGGAAAAGAGTAGGAATGTAGAGTAAGCCGTTAAGTAAGATTGGGAACAGATTGAGTCAGAGACAAAGTGTCGTGATAGAGCAGTTTGTTGAGTTGGGTGTATTAATTTTCTATTGCTGCCATTAAAATACCACTAATTTAAGTCTTAACAGAAATGATTATCTCACAGTTCTGTAGATCAGAAATCTGGAAGGATCGGTTGGATTCTCTGCTCAGACACTAATACAACCAGAATCAAGATGTCAGCAGAAGTGGGCTCTTGTCCAGTAGCTCGGGAGAATAATTCTTTTCAGACTTACTCAGATTGTTGGCTGAATCCAGATCCATGTAGTTATAGACCCTTGTTTACATGCTGGATCATTATGAGCTGCTAGAAGCTACCTGCATTCCCAGGCTCATGGCCTCCTTCATGTTCAAAGCAAGTAAGGGCAGGTGAACTCCCTCACATTTGACATCCCCTCTGCCATTTCTTCCTCTCCAATTTGGAAGACTTTTCTTTTCCATGTGTAATCGCTCTAGCTTGGACTTCCATTACTCTGCTGAACAGAAATGGTGAAAGTCGGCATACTTGCCTTTTTGCCATCTTAGAGCCAAAACTCACTTTTTCTCCATTGGATTGTGATGTTAGCTGTGACTCTTTCATATACAGTCTTTACTGTGTTGAGGTAAATTCCTTCTGTACCTATATTGTTGAGAGTTTCAGTCATGAAAGATTGTTGAACTTTGCCAAATATTCTTTCTGCATCTACTGAGATGATTATGTAGTCTCTGTCTTTCATTTTGGTAATGTGTTTTATCACATTGATTGATTTTGGTATGTTGAACCGTTTCTGCATCTCACGAATAAATCCCACTTGGTCATGGTGTGTGATCCTATTAATGTGCGATCAAACCCAGCTTGTCAGTATTTTACTGAAGATTTTTGCATTTATTTCCATCAGGGACAGTAGCCTGTAGTTTTATTTTCTTGTAGTGTCTCCATCTGGTTTTGGTATCAGAGAGATAATGGCCTCATATAACAAATTTGAAAGTGTTTCCTCTGTTATTTTTTGGAAGAGGTTAATAATGATGAGTATTAATTTTTATAATATTTGGGATAATTCACCCATGAAGCCATTGGTTCTGGGCTTTTCTTTCTCAGGAGATTTTTGATTATTGATTCAATCTCCTTATTTGTTATTGATCTATTCAGATTTTCTTTTTGGGTTGGTTTTGGTAGATTGTGTGTTTCTAGAGATTTATCATTTCTTCTAGCTCATCCAGTGTGTTGGCATGCCATTGTCTATAATAGTCCCACGTAATCTTTTTTATTTACTTATGTTTTATTGTTTGTTTATTTTATTTTACTTTTTTTAGAGATAAGGTCCTGCTCTTTCACACAGGCTGGAGTGTGGTGGTGCAATTATAACTCATTGCAGCCTCAGATTCCTGGGATCAAGTGATCCTCCCACCTCAGCCTCCCAAATAACTGGGATTACAGGTGCATGACACTACGCTTAGATAATTTATTCTTTTTTGTAGATGGAGGGTCTTGCTATGTTGCCCAGGCTTATCTCTAATTCCTAGGCTTAAAGGATCCTCTCACCTCAGCTTCCCAAAGCGCTGGGATTAGAGGCAAGAGCCATGACACGATGTCCTTTTTATTTTTGAGGCAGGTGTTATATCACCTCTTTCATTTCTGATTTTATTTACTTGAAGCTTATGTCTTGTCTTTACTCTTAGTTAAGCTAAGGGTTTGTCAATTTTGTTTATCTTTTAGAAAAAAGTTTTATCTCTAAGGGCTTATGTAATTATTTTAGGCACAGTTTGATTTATCCAATATGATCTTCTCATCTCAAAATTCATAACCTTAATCATATTTGTACAATCCCCTTTGCCATGTAACCTTACCTGTTCATAGGTTCCAGGGAATTGGGTATAAATATCTTTGGTGGTTCAGTGTTTAATAATTATTAGCTTATATATAGCTAATAGAACTAAGCAACCATTCATTCATTCTTTAGGAATAACGAATTAAAAGTATATCTAAATGCAGTCAAAATGACCCACAATAGAATTGTACACAAACTGAAAGAATCTTTCTATTATGAATACAAATGGAACCAATATTAGCTTCCCAGATTTTAAAAGCTGTAATGTTTCAAACATTTTATTGAGAGATATCTAAATGATAAGGTGTTTCTGAGAGACAAATAGATGACCAGGGCAAAATCTGATTCTCTCTACATGCCTTGGCTAAGAAGAGTATATGGTATAAGATGGTGTAAAGCTGGCTGTCATTCAAGTTATGTTCTGAATAACTTCCCTATGATATTAAAGTTTAATAAGAGCTAAGTTAGAATGAATGTATGCTACCTATTTATAGTGGCATTGAAGAATCTGGTTACACTGGAATCTTTTTGCTTTTTGTTCCTCTAACTTTGCTTTTATTTCAGCAAAAATGGAAATGGTGACATCTTTACTTAATATATTTAGTGACCTGAGAATCTCATGCTGCTTTCTCTTCAAGCTTCAGCTTAAAAGACACCACAGATTTTTTAAAGGGAAACACTGTCTGAATGGATTTCTTCTTAATGACAGATAATGTTACAAAGTAATGCATTTTGGCAAGTGCAGGGACTGTCTCTACTTAAGATTTTTTAGGTACATCTGTTTTTTCATATTACAATAGGAGTTAGGAAATAAAGACTACTTGGGTAGTGTGCACAATGCCCAACTACCTGTAAATCCATTTTGGCACACTGAGATACTGCTGTATTCTCCACTTGTCTATTTTAGGGAATTCATAAACACAGCTTGGCTTGTTTATCAGAGTTCAAAAACCTGGCAAAGTACGTCACTGCAGCTCTTTTTCATCTGCTGTGTTGACACAAAGATCAATGACCGCTTTTGAATGATCAAGATGTTGACAGCTTAATTTCTGTGTCATGAGTTGCTAAGGTAACACTATTTTTGTGAATTCTACACTTAATAAATCCTTAAGAAATGTCTTCCATTTTTAGTATTGAAAGTAATTTAATGTTGAAATTAAAAAGATTTATTTCTTGGTTCACGTTCCATTCACTGAAGCAGCTCACTTTACCTGTTGGCTGTTGTCTTCTTTCTTGGAATAACCGACTCAATCTGGACAGAAAAAGAAACTTAAAACACAGTGACTTACAACTGAAAAGGAAATAAAATATCTTGAAGAGAAAAATAAAGCAACACTTTTTCTTTCTAGGTGGATTATGCTTTAGAGATGAGCAGACAAAAGCACAGCTTTTAAGGCAACTTTTAGATTTACAGTTTTATTTTCAAAATCTGGTATAACACTCAATTTGTATTAATATTACATATAGCATTTTCAGAGAAAAGCAGGGTATTAGTGTTCTAGCACTGTGTAATAAATTACCACCAATTCGTTACTTCAAACAACACCATTTATTATCCTACAATTTGATAGGTCAGAAATTGAGGTATGGCTGAATTGGGTTTTCTACCCAGAATCTCACAAGGCTAAAATCATGGTATCAGCTGAACTGTGTTCCTTTCTGACATGAGGGTCCTCTTTCAAACTCATGTGGATTTTGGAAGAATTAACTATCTCATGATTATTTTGACCAAGACCCTCATTCTCCTTCTGGCTGTTGGATAGGAACTACTTTCTGCTTTGGCGACTGCCCACAGTCCCTAGCTGTGTGGCCTCCTGCGTAGGTTCTCTCCACTTTCTATGTCTCTGACTTCAAAAAGAGCCCAGTCTTCATAAAGACTCAGTTGATTATATGAATCTCACCTGGTAAGCTCCCTCTTAATGAAATCAAAGTCAACTGATTAGTAATAAGATTACAAAAGTAATATTATATATTCACAGGTTCTGTCAGAACTCAAGGGGAGGGGATTATAATCAAGGTTTATATAACAGGGACCAGGAATCATGGAGGCCATCGTAAAATCCTGTCTACTGCCTGTAGGTTATGTGTATTCAAATACAAAGCACTGGTATTCATACAACAAATAATTCCAGGCATGTTTTGGTGAATGATTGATACTATTTTAAACAATCAAATCCTATAATTTTTGCATTTGCAAAATTCTCTATTATGATGCCATTTGCTTTATAACCATAAAATAGAGAAAAGCATCTGACACATCTGTCTGCCCATTGACTAATAATATAGATTGATGATTCAACTGCAATATTTACATATTAATATTTTAAAATCAGTAATGATAACATCTTTATAAATGTACACAATAAATATAAAGATATAAAGATACATTCAATAAATATATAATATATTAAATATTTAATATATTTATAAGAATTATCTCATATAATTATGGAATTTTAAATTATGACAATTCACAAAATTTCTATTTCAATGTCCAGAAAAATAGTTCTGTTCATAGGAAGTGTATATCATGTAAAATATAGATAGAAAGCAAACACACAGTTTAAAAACATATTCTGGAAATAGACCATTTAAGAATTTTGTAAAAACTACATGCCCTGATGGAGAAAAAATGTAATCGGTTAGACATGCAAATCCAGGAAGATTTATGTCATGGCAGTAAACATCATATGAGAAATTAATCACCTGTTACAGGCAGTAGCAGTTTTATACTGAGAATTCAGAATGGGGTCATATGAATGGATATGAAATCTGGAAGTCAGTTATCCAGCAGACAGAAAGTACCCAAATGAATTATGAACACAGTTGTTAGAAATATTAATAGAAAAACACATGTACCAAACTAAAAAAAAAACCCTCTGCAAATCTCTTCTGTAAAAGAAAATGTCCTTTTGATAAAATATCATTCCAAGTACAATATCACATAAATAAAGCAATATTTTCTAATTAATTTTACATAAAACATAGAAGCATGTTTCTTAAAACTGCATAAATGTGAATAGGCAGTGAAGAATCCACAGAGGAATTAATGTAATTTGTAGTTTAATATGTTGATACAATCCAACATCCATATAATGAAGACAGAATTTATTTTCTACTATTCCAAAGATTTATCTCTTCTTGTTGTCTAACATTTTCATTGATATTATCATTGTACTTAGACATAGTCAACACAGCATTATTCCTCAATTATCAGAACAAATCATGAAAGTATTTTTACTCCAGACTTAAAAGGTATCTTGAATTCATTTCGATTTTCTGCATTCATCACCATTTTCTACTAATTATTCTCATTTTACTTTGGAAAACTTTAACCCGTGGGAAATTTTAATGTACATGTGATTAGGTTTCTCCCCTTAAATTCTGATTCAGAAAGCCTGGATTGTAGCCCAAGCATCTACCTTCCCTGAAAGTTGCATAAGTTATTCTAATGAGGCCTTAGATGAAAACGACTATGGTTTTTCTGGCTTTCACTGTTGATACAGACTTCTTGTTAATAATCTATTTCTTCATTACCATACATCATGCACAAAGTTCTCAGACTGTATAACCTTAAAAATTTATATATCACCACATCTTTCAGTGACAAAGTTACAGTTCTTAAGCATGATAGCCAAGATTCTTCAAAATGTATTGTTAGTGTCATCTGCATTAGTTAATGCATTAATTAAAAGCTTTCTTCCAACAGTATTGAACTTATCCTGTTCACTGCCATTGCATACATTTTTATACTCCTGCGACTTTTTTAATACTCCTTTTCCATTTGTTTTCCATTCCCCAAATATTATATGCCACTTTTTCAATCTATGAAAATTTCAACTCATCCTTTAAGATTTGTCTGAAGTGTTATCTCTTCAATAACATCTTACCATATTTAACCTAACAAAGTTAGCTGGTCTCTCCTCTCTGGTTCCACAAAAGGTTTCTTTTACTTAAATAAAGTACTTACATTTTTACAAGTCTGTCTTCTACACCAATCTTCCACTTCTTCGAAAATATAAGCCATGTCTTATTCATTAGGCCAAGTCCACACTATTTTATACATACCAGGGCTCACAGACTGAATACATATTTGTTTTATAAATAATAAATGAATGCATGCACACATGTGTGTATCAGTGAGAGGAGTTAATTTCCTTCCAGCAAACTTTCCAAAGACTATCAGAAATGATAATGGTGAAAGTGTGACAATTCAATTAAGAATAGAAAATAATATTTGTCACCCAATTACTTGTGGAGGTACATTTGTGGAGTTTGATGAATTAGTTTAAGTAAGAAATATTAAAACCTTCAGTGTACAGTAAAAGAGTGATCTGGCTGAGTGCTTTGACCCGACGCTATCAATTTAATTCTTCACTACATTCTGTCAGGTGCCTAGCTGAACTGGGAGACAGCGCTGAGCTGCCAGGTATCAGGGTAGTTGATTAAATCAACTGGTCAAAAATGGAGTTAATGTCTCAATCACTTACTGCAACAGTATAAGCAAGGGGCTAAACTCAGAAAAAGAGTTAACTCTCCCTGTTGCATTTACACCCATGGAACAGAGCAGGAGACTCCGGTGAATCAGCACAGACATGGGGGTTGTCTCACCATTGAGGGAGCTCTAAAACAAAAGGCTGTGGTAGTTTTATGGACTGGAAATTGAAGGGAGAGCAAGAGGTAAGGGCTAAGAATGGAAAAAGAGTACCCAGTACTGAGTCAAAGTGAGGAAAGTGTCTTCAAATTCTACCCCTCTTCTCTCCAATAAGAAAGCCTCCCCTGAGGCACCTAAAGAAGACCTCTACACCAAGTCCTCAAATAAGAAAATTCGGAATGAAGGCACTGGAAATGCAGATACATCCATGAAAGAATGTAACACACACATGCATACTTCCTGTTGGTTCTGTTTCTCTGGAGAACACAGACTAATACAACATCTAATCTTTAAAAATTTTAACTAAAAATAACTGACTGATCTCTTCTTTCATTCAGTCAGATCATTGGCTCTTCTCAAGACATTTAAGCATATAACTTTTCTTCAACTATACATGGATTTAGCTTCCTAATCTTCTAATTTATTTTTATTTAGTAATTTCCAAGAAAGATAAATGTTTCCTCCAAGGAATTATTATCTCTCATAATGTTCCCTACAAGTCCAAAGAGTTTTATATGTCTGAGTTATATAATAAGTAGCTTATAATTCAATCTGATAGCGGTTTATAGGTTAGTTTACCTCAATTTATTTTCTTGATCAAACTTTATATTCCATAAGCTGCCACATTCAGTTGCGTAGGGCCTAAAACATGGTTGTAATGTATATGTTCTACATGGTGGCCCTGGTTAAAGAATGGAAAATGATAAACTAAAAAAGTATGATGATTGTATATGTACATTTATTTATATTTAAGACCATATATATATGGTCTTAAAGCATACCCAGTTCCTAAATGAGAAGGTATCTTCTAGAATTGTAGACAACTTGACAACTCTAGTTTTCTAAGAAGAACAGAGGCTCACAATTGGCTTCTTTTATAGTTGCTCAGATTTTCATGAAAATAAAGCAACCCATGAATTTAAATAATTTGCATCCCTTACCTTTACAAGAAGACTTTTCATGAAGTATTTTCCATACATGTGCAACAATTAATGAGACCACTGGTTCTTTAGGAGTTACATACTTCAGTCATAATTCAAACTCAATAATTATTTATCCAAATATTGGTTGTTGCTGAATCTTATCTTTGGGAAAGGGTTCAAGGTCCTTGAATATTTTTACTTCATCCAAGATGGCAAATAAAATAATGGTCCTTATATTTACTACTAAAACCTTTAAAACAATTCTTACTAGATTTTTCTTCCATCATAGTGTTTAGAATATTTTCCAGACTATAGACTGCCAGATACTTGTTAAACATGTAAAAATTCCAATAAAACAAAAAATTACAGATTGATATTTTATTTTTAATTATTTTAAATTAAACTCATTTTAAAGAATAATATATACTTATATTTATTTAATACATGTTAAATGTAATCTCAAAACTAACTCATCTTTTATTGTACTATATGTTAATACATTTTGCTAGATATTTTCTTGATTTGCTTTCAAATGCTTTGGTTTCAAAAAGAGATACTTAAAGTTTATTGTATATAAACTTAAATGCCTAACATTATTGTATTCATAAACTTTATTAGATAAAGTTGATTGTATAAAATTTATTAAGTAAACTTTATAAATGCATAAGACTAATCATGGCCTAAAAAAAACAGTAATTGTTTTACAGTAGAAAACAAAACAAAAGACACTTTTGACTATTATCATAATGGAATTCATGCAAAATACATTTTCCTACATATTTATCTTTTGACAGGAGAAATAGACATCTTTTAGAATTAGGTAGGTTCCATTTCCCTGGGGATCCAATTGCAACCAAAACGAGGTGGTCTGTATTTAAATAGAAAGCAATAGAGTTGGTACATAGACTAATAAAATATGCCTATTTTGTACAGTTTTGAACACACAAAATATGTTGCCTGGTAACATGTATATCATTTGTTATCAGACGGCTTTGTCTTAATTATACCAATCCTGGGCTTTTTTGGATTCACATATAGTTTTCTCTAAGATAAATGCCAGATAAATATGGGTATATTTGAAGTAGTTTTCATTTACATCAATGTATTTTCATCTACAGATTGTCAACAGGAAAGATAAATAAACTTGCCAAGGAGTAAAGTTGATGTAATTTATTAGAGACAAAGTTATATTTGAGCATTTGTCTGCGAAATCCATTTAACTTTCTTTTTTTCTTGATATGGTGGTTTGAAAAGCACTAAAAAAAATTTTTTTTTGACTGAAAACTGCCTAGATCATGGGTAACTAGACTGAATGAGGTCTCACAGATCAATGACTGCTAAGTCTGGCTGGCTGACTTACATTTCATGAAATCATAAGAGAATACTGAAGTCTCTTCAGACTTGTGTAAGTGGAAACCGTGCCTGCACATTGTTAGTTATGGCAAATGTTTCCAAAACCTCTTCTCTAACAAACAGAAAAATAACACAGATTGAAGAGCGGAAAAGGATATTTTATAACAGTCAGAAAACTTCAAAAGAGTTGAGGAGGAAAAAGAGAGAGGCACCAAGTAAGATTTCACAAAAATCAATCACACATAATAAATGGAAACGGTTTTTGAATTTTGCATATTGTTAATTCCTTCAGAATTTCTCTTTCTCATCAGAACCTCTTAGCCATAATTGTTTTTAGAACTGTTGGTCTGAATTTTCTAGTCCTATAATTATTTTCTAAAAAAAAAATACCTTTTTAAATTACAAAATAGAGTACAATCAACTAGCACACTTAATGAATTGAGCATTCCTTATTATTTAATCTCATAATCCCTCATTATTATTCTTCATTATACTCTGAACATACTTCTAACTCTTTATGTCTATGTTTGATTATTTTACAAGTTGCTCAAAAGAAAAAAATATGTCTTAATCATCATATTTATATCTCTTGTAAATAGCAGTTTAACTGCTTTTTAAATGATTTATCAATCTATTTTTATTGATTAAATATTTCTTAGGTAAAATCCAAAATGTTACCAAAGTTTTTACCCTGTTTTATTTGTTTGGCCTCACTTTTATCTAAATAAACATGAAGGAATCATTTAAACTGTATAAGCAAATAACTGTATTATTGTTTTTGTTTTTATTTCTCCCTCTATTTGGATATAGAATGGAAAACATCGAGAAAAATAAACATAGAAGAAAAGCAAAATACAAAGTTTGTATAATGTGGAGATGGAAGTTGTTTGTTTTACAGAATTCCCTGAAAAATAAGGGGAAATCCATTCTCTTTTTCTATCACGTAACTTGACCACTGTGGGTCTAGTAAAGATAGCTTCCAAATTCATGTTTCTGTAGAGTTACTCATAGCTTGCTTTCATGCAAATGTGGATGGTGCAGGCACACATTTTACTGAAGTGTTTAGCAGGCCTGTAGCTATGTGACTCAATTTTCACATTCGTTATGTAACTTTGAAGGAACTCGTGTGTTAGTATTTTACAAGTGTATTTTAAATGCCTTCAACATTTCAATTTTTGGAAGGTAATGAAAATAACTGCTTCAACTTTTTCCTTTTAAAAATAATAGAAGGGATAAATACAACAATGTAATTTTTCCGCGATCAAAAAACTAACCCCAAATATGCCATATGATTAATATCTCAGTGCAGGCATTCCAAAACAACTAATCAAAAATAATGTTAATAGCAATAATAACAAAGCCACTGATAAATATGTGATGGTATGTATAACATTTTAAATTTTAACATATAACTAGATTATAGAAATATAAAATTTTGAGGAACATGTTGTCAGTTAGGGTCCTGGCAGAAAAGAGTATATTCAAATTGGGAAATTTCAGGAGAGTTTGATAAACCAATTATTTACAGAGATTTGGAAAATATGGAAAAATCTCAAGACAGTGTAGGATTTCCTTGTATCTATTGCTAGTGGGCAGGCACGGTTACTGTACCTTTAATTTCCAGTCTCATCACATAGAAAAAACAAAAGTAAGAGATCCACAGACATTTCTGTACAAAGACAGCACTATGTATAATGGTTAATGCAGTGAATTAAACTAAACATTCAGCAATAAAACATACAAAAGTCACTTATATTTGCACAATAGAATGATACGAATTTTCAAATATTTTCCACAAAAAGACATGGTAAAAATAACTTAATTTTTTTAAAAAAGGAACATATTTTTAAAATTTTATTTAGGTATATTTATTGTATAAAAATTGTATTAATTTGCAGTATAAAATTTTCTGACTCTTAATATACATTTGTATACCATAAAGACACCATAATGAATAGAATATTTTCTCTTCCCTTGTTTTAATTTGTCTCTCAAATCACTTTGGCTTAGAAGAAACAGTGCCATTAACAGATTATTTTTCATTTTAGAGATTTTTAAAAGATTGAGTCATATCTACTTTTTTCTTTGAAACATCATCTATCTCACAATAGAAAAATAAGTAACAGAAGGAAGCTAAAACAGCAGTATTAGTAACTAAACTAAGTATTATTTAAGATGAAAATATTAATAAGAGCAGTATATTTAAGATTTAAAAAAATTATTAAAATTATTACAGGTTACTTCTATAAGCAATGGAATATCAAAAGGTAAAGAAATATTAGATTTGAAATAAATACATAACTGTAATCATAATATAGAATTTAATGCAACTCCTTCATATATTATATTTGTCCTGCTTTAGTCTGAAAATTGAGCATCTAAAAGAATTAAACAATGAAATAATAAATATTGAACACTATGATTCTATTTCTCTTTCTTTGAATACATAGAAAGTATTGTACCCAAAATATAGATGATTAACAACCTTACAAATTCCAAAGCAATATTTACAAAATAATGACAAGCCACAAGTAAAAAATTCTCAATACTGTACAAATAGACATTAATTTATATGAAAAATCCAATAAAATATTAAAATTATTTAATATTGAAAGCTATATTCAGAATCTAAAAAACACATTCTAATCACTAACATGATAAAAAATAAATGTTTACAGCTCAGGAAAAATGACAGTGTGTTTTTGCATCTCAATTTCATTAAGTTCTTCTGCAATTTTAGTTATTATAGTCTTCTGCTATCCTTGGATTTGGTTTGCTCTTTTTTTCCCCCATTTCTGTTAGGTGCAAAGTTAGGTTGTTAATTTATGATTGTTCTAACTTCTTAATGAAGGTGTTTAGGGCTATAAACTTTCCTCTCAACACTGCATCTCAAGGATTTTGATAAGTTGTGTCCCTATTTTAATTAATTTCAAGGTATTTTTTATTTCTGTCTCAGTTTCAGTGTTCATCTAATAGTTATTTAGTAGAAAGTTGTTTAATGTTCATGTATTTGTGTAGCATATATCTTAAATAAATGATCAAAGGAAAAAGGGAAGTTATGATTCCTATTTGTATACCACAGCAGGAAAACATCAAAGCACTTTAAATGCACCCAATAATGGGATTTTAAGTTAATGATTGTGTATTCATAGTATTAGATAGTATACAGCACTTAGAAAACAATTTTATAAAATGACCACCTTATATTGTTAAATGCAAAATAAGCCAAAAGTACTCATAGTTAATAGTTACTTGCTCATTTACAAAGTGTATGTTGAATGAGCTATATCCATTTTTCTATGAAGGGGGTTTTTCTCCAGATTTGTTCTAAAATTGTTAGAAAATAATATAAAATCTTGTTAATGTTACTATAAAAAACAGTCACTTAAACAAATAAAAGTATAATCCTCCATGAAATAAACATTTTTGTGTAACATAGAAAATAAATATTACAATAAATTTAATAAAATATAGTACTGACAATGTAAGTAGGATTTTCCATTCAGAGAAGATAAAAACGCTAAAAATATTTCTGAGGGAAAATATTTCTTCTATTTTAGCATAATTGGATTATGCAGAAACAGTTACTAAAATATTGATAAATACGTACATATTATTCATTGCATATGGGTGATTCATATGTATATTATTATAGGTATATTGTATATTATATATGACATATAACATATATTTATATATCATATATATCATAGGCTTATATTATTATAGATATATAATAACATACATATTGTATTCATATGTACATGTTATTCATTTCAGTAAAATGTGTGTGCAGAGAGGTCATTTGAGTTTCTAAGATTTTCCAAATAAGTTCTAGTTCTACAAGTAATTAATTTAAATAATAAAATAATGATAGGCTTTAAACAATTGAAAACATAAACAAAATTAACTTGCTTCACACTGCCTTATATCAATTTTCTTTTCTCGGACCTAACTCCATTTAATATTATTTTAAAGTCGGTAGCTTTTCCACTTAACACTTGCTAATTGTACCCTTATCAGAATCATAGGGCTTGTTTCTTTATTCTCAGAGTTTTTTACTTCCACTTCATGCAAAAAAAATGAGGATTTTTGTCTTGATTTGTTTTATTATTTATTCCTGTTTGACCACATCTTTTACTTGATGTATTAAGATTAGGCTCTGCCAATTAGATTCAGCTAAGTGATTGAGTTTCATTTTTCCTATCTTGTTATAAATTCTTAGATGAAGACATTTGAGCAGAGAATAAGACTTCATATGTTTTTATTTAAAAATAAGACATAAATACTGTGATCGATTTAATTTTCAAAACTAAGAACAAATATTTAATGTGCATTACCACATCTATTAATATTTATTTTAATGATCTTAGAATATATAATCTGTATTTTAATATAACTCCTATTGGAGATTTCTTCATAAATGATATTATAATCATAAAAATGTATGATTAACTTTGGAGTCATCGAACTACTACTATATTCACCATCCTCATAAAAAATGTAAAAATTGATTTTAATTATTAGTATTATTATGTTTTCCTAATTAAATATTATTTGTTCTTTAAAGCATTTAGATTCTGACAAACTATAACAATTTTGCAATATTTTAAATAATGTAAAATGAATATTTTAAAGCAAAGACACTTTTAGTAATCAAAATATTATGCCATAAATTCTAAATCCTAACCAAACAAGAGGTATGTTAAGAATATTTTGAATATCTTCAAGCAATAGCACTGTCTCTATTCTCTTTTGCAGTTCTTTTCTTTACAAGATACATGGAATTTCTGTTTATTACTGAGTATAAATTTACACAAATGATGCATTAACTTATTCTCAATTAGTCAAATTATAAAGCAGTGTGGTATTCCTATCCTTGCACCAAAAACTTCTACAGAAGGAGCCCATGCATTATTTAAGACAGTTCTTGTTTCCCTGTCTGTGGCATTTGCTAGATCACACAGAGTAACAGCAAGCTGTGGAAAACAGAACTACAGTTTAACAATGGGTTTGAACTGTGTAGGTCTGCTAGTATTTGGATTTTCTTCTGCCTCTGCCACTTCTGAGACAGCAAGAGGAACTATTGCCCTTCCTCCTCCTTATCATCAACCTATTCAACATGAAGATGATAAGCATAAAAACCTTTTTGATGATCCACTTCCACTTAAAAATACTAAATATATTTTCGCTTCCTTATGATTATCTTAATAACATATTTTTCTCTAGCTTACTCTAAGAATATAGTATATAATATATATATATATATAACCTACAAAATATGTGTTAATTGACTATGTTATGAGTAAGGCTTCTAGTCAACAGTAGAATATTACACGATTTGGGAGAGTCAAAAATTATATGAAGATTTTTGACTGTGCCAGGAATTTGGTTACTTCTAACCCTTGCATTGTTCAGAAGTCAACTGTAGTTACAAAATTAAAAGCAGTAATAAAACACTTGGCACACACAGCCTGGGTGGAGAAGGGAGGTAATAAATGCTTGAACATAATTTTTTTATCATTAGAAAAATCCAAGAAGTTAATATTAAAATGAAAATGTGATTGTATAACTACAGAATCTAGAAGTGATAGAAATAAAAAAAAGTTTATTGAAATAATTATTTATATCATGCATTTAATGTTAATTCCACAAGCTTTAGTAGCCTAAGGCATATTCCTGCATAATGTGTGACAGACAAATGAATACTTTCAAATAATGAAAACATCACAACTTAGCAAAACTATGCTAAGTTCAGTCTTTTGAAGGTATAAGAGAGGTGCTTAATCAAGGTTATACAATGGGGGCAGCTTAAAAGAGGCCTTGACAGACTAGTTCTTATGCAAAGCATCTTTAACTAAAGACATCGTAAGATGCATAATGCTACCCAACATAAAGCTGCTGATATTACATTGTGACAAGTGTCTTTTTTTTAAAAAAAATGGCAATTTTCTGAAAGAATAAAACCTAAATTAGAAACATTACATGACACCTTTTGGAAAGCCAATGAAAGGAAAAGTATCATAAAAGCAGTTTCTCTCTTACAAGGAAAGAAAGAGAAGAACTTCAGGACAATGTAAATTATCACCTTTACACTACAAGCTCAAAGGCAGATGCTATTTCTATACAGATGAATACTAGCCTGATTTCCTCACTCCCTTCTTTTTCTTTGAGTTGCTATTCTATAATATCAATGGGATTAGAAAATTGGGCAGCTTTACTTAGTCTTCCGCATTTCTAACTTTACAATGACTTCATGATAGTTAATTGTCCAATTCTTTTGTCCTTGGCCAGGACTACAAAGCTTCTTTTAGATGTAAGTAGTTAATAAATATTTGCTGAATGGGATATTAATATCTAACTAGGAATGCTTTAAAAAGAGCGTTCTTTGTGTCACCTGTGTTTGTCCTTGATTCTACTTACTCTCTTCTTCTCATTGCATTTTCATTCATAATATTTTATATTATTATGGTATATTATCATTTGAGGGGCATGCTTCAAGTACTCAAGTAACTTTTACCTTTTTTGCTGTTCTCTCTCTCTATATATATAATTACAAATATGTAAATATGTATGCAAATGTATGCATGTGTATTTAGCACGCATCTATTGAATACTAATCACATAATGTAATCAGTTTAAGGGACTGGGCAGTAGACTAAATGATAATGCCCAGTAATAACTACCAGTTTAATAGTCCTTTACACCTTATCTGTAAGTCTTTTGCATATACGATCTTATTTGCTGATAAATACATATCACTTTCTTAATGAGACATACTACAACTTGTGTAAATTTCTATTTCTCACAAAAATATCTTTAAGAAAGTGGAACATATCATGAAAAATGAAGATTCACAAATAGTAGGTGTGATATTAAAATTAATATATTTGAAAGTTTATCCACACCATAAACAAAAACAAAAAAACAAGTGAAAATTTTCACAGTGGAACTCAACTATATGAAGTTCTTTAATAAAATATATTTTTAAGAAACTTGTATAATGTTTTCACTTTTGGTTATTGTATTGGGTATTGTATAGTCAATATTCTCCAGAAAAACATGGCTAATGAGATTTAGAGAGAGAAAGAGAAGAAGAAACAGGAAAAGAAAGTGAAAGAGAAAGAGACGTGTTATAAGAAATAGGCTAGGCTCTGGTATCAGGATGATGCTGACCTCATAACATGAGTTAGAGAGGATTCCCTCTTTTTCTATTGATTGGAATAGTATCAGAAGGAATGGTACCAGCTCCTCCTTGTACCTCTGGTAGAATTCGGCTGTGAATCCATCTGGTCCTGGACTTTTTTTCGTTGTTAGGCTATTAATTATTGCCTCAATTTCAGAGCCTGTTATTGGTCTATTCAGAGATTCAACTTCTTCCTGGTTTAGTCTTGGGAGGGTGTATGTGTTCAGGAATATATCCATTTCTTCTCGATTTTTCTAGTTTATTTGAGCAGAGGTGTTTATAGTGTTCTCTGATGGTAGTTTGTATTTCTGTGGGATTGGTGGAGATATCCCCTTTATCATTTTTTATTGCATCTATTTGATTCTTCTCTCTTTTCTTCTTTATTAGTCTTGCTAGCAGTCTATCAATTTTGTTGATCTTTTCAATAAACCAGCTCCTGGATTCGTTGATTTTTTGAAGGGTTTTTTGTGTCTCTATCTCCTTCAGTTCTGCTCTGATCCTAGTTATTTCTTACCTTCTGCTAGCCTTCGAATGTGTTTGCTCTTGCTTCTCTAGTTATTTTAATTGTGATGTTAGGGTGTCAATTTTAGATCTTTCCTGCCTTCTCTTGTGGGCATTCAGTGTTATAAATTTCCCTCTACACCTGCCTTAAATGTGTCCCAGAGATTCTGGTACGTTGTGTCTTTGTTCTCATTGGTTTCAAAGAACATCTTTATTTCTGCCTTCATTTCGTTATGTACCCAGTAGTCATTCAGGAGCAGGTTGTTCAGTTTCCATGTATTTGAGCGGTTTTGAGTGAGTTTCTTAATCCTCAGTTCTAGTTTGATTGCAATGTGATCTGAGAGACAGTTTGTTATAATTTCTGTTCTTTTACACTTGCTGAGGAGTGCTTTACTTCCAACTATGTGGTCAATTTTGGAATAAGTGCGATGTAGTGCTGAGAAGAATGTATATTCTGTTGATTTGGGGTGGAGAGTTCTGTAGATGTCTATTAGGTCCACTTGGTGCAGAGCTGAGTTCAATTCCTGGATATCCTTTTAACTTTCTGTCTCCTTGATCTGTCTAATGTTGACAGTGGGGTGTTAAAGTCTCCCATTATTATTTTGTGGAAGTCTAGGTCTCTTTGTAGGTCTCTAAGGACTTGCTTTATGAATCTGGGTGCTCCTGTATTGGGTGCATATATATTTAGGATAGTTAGCTCTTCTTGTTGAATTGATCCCTTAATCATTATGTAATGGCCTTCTTTGTCTCTTTTGATCTTTGTTGGTTTAAAGTCTGTTTTATCACAGACTAGGATTGAAACCCCTGCCTTTTTTTGTTTTCCATTTGCTTGGTAGATCTTCCTCCATCCCTTTATTTTGAGCCTCTGTGTGTCTCTGCATGTGAGATGGGTCTCCTGAATACAGCACACTGATGGGTCTTGACTCTTTATCCAATTTGCCAGTCTGTGTCTTTTAACTGGAGCATTTAACTTATTTACATTTAAGGTTAATATTGTTATGTGTGAATTTGACCCTGTCATAATGATGTTAGCTGGCTATTTTGCTCGTTGGTTGATGCAGTTTCTTCCTAGCATTGATGGTCTTTACAATTTGGCATATTTTTTCAGTGGCTGGTACCGGTTGCTCCTTTCCATGTTTAGTGCTTCCTTCAGGAGCTCTTGTAAGGCAGGCCTGGTGGTGACAAAATCTCTCAGCATTTGTGAGGACAGCATCATCCTGACACCAAAGCGTGGCAGAGACACAACAAAAAAAGAGAATTTTAGACCAATACCCCTGATGAACTTTGATGCAAAAATCCTCAATAAAATACTGGCAAACTGAATCCAGCAGCACATCAAAAAGCTTATCCACCATGATCAACTGGGCTTCATCCCTGGGATGCAAGGCTGGTTCAACATACGCAAATCAAAAAACGTACTCCATCATATAAACAGAACCAAAGACAAAAACCACATGATTATCTCAATAGATGCAGAAAAGGCCTTTGACAAAATTCAACAGTCCTTCATGCTAAAAACTCTCAATAAATTAGGTATTGATGGGACGTATCTCAAAATAATAAGAGCTATTTGTGACAAACCCACAGCTAATATCATACTGAATGGGCAAAAACTGGAAGCATTCCCTTTGAAAACTGGCACAAGACAGGGATGCCCTCTCTCACCACTCCTATTCAACATAGTGTTGGAAGTTCTGGCCAGGGCAATCAGGCAGGAGAAAGAAATAAAGGGTATTCAATTAGCAAAAGAGGAAGTCAAATTGTCCCTGTTTGCAGATGACATGATTGTATATTTAGAAAACCCCATTGTCTCAGCCCAAAATCTCCTTAAGCTGATAAGCAACCTCACCAAAGTCTCAGGATACAAAATCAATGTGCAAAAATCACAAGCATTCTTATACACCAATAACAGACAAACAGAGCCAAATCATGAGTGAACTCCCACTCACAATTGCTTCAAAGAGAATAAAATACCTAGGAATCCAACTTACAAGGGATGTGAAGGACCTCTTCAAGGAGAACTACAAATCACTGCTCAATGAAATAAAAGAGGACACAAACAAATGGAAGAACATTCCATGCTCATGAATAGAAAGAATCAATATAGTGAAAATGGCCGTACTGCCCAAGGTAATTTATAGATTCAATGCCATCCCCATCAAGCTACCAATGACTTTCTTCACAGAATTGGAAAAAACTACTTTAAAGTTCATATGGAACCAAGAAAGAGCCCACAGTGCCAAGACAATCCTAAGCCAAAAGAACAAAGCTGGAGGCATCACGCTACCTGACTTCAAACTGTACTACAAGGCTACCGTAACCAAAACAGCATGGTACTGGCACCAAAGCAGAGATATAGACCAATGGAACAGAACAGAGCCCCCAGAGATAATACCACACATCTACAACTATCTGATCTTTGACAAACCTGACAAAAAACAAGAAATGGGAAAAGGATTCCCTATTTAATAAATGGTGCTGGCAAAACTGGCTAGCCATAGGTAGAAAGCTGAAACTGGATCCCTTCCTTACGCCTTATACAAAAATTAATTCAAGATGGATCAAAGACTTAAATATTAGACCTAATACCATAAAAACCCTAGAAGAAAACTGAGACAATACCATTCAGGACATAGACAAGGGCAAAGACTTCATGTCTAAAACACCAAAAGCAATGCCAACAAAAGCCAAAATTGACAAATGGGATCTAATTAAACTAAAGAGATTCTGCATAGCAAAAGAAACTACCATCAGAGTGAACAGGCAACCTACAGAATGGGAGAAAATTTTTGCAATCTACTCATCTGACAAAGGGCTAATATCCAGTATCTACAAAGAACTCAAAAAAATTTGCAAGAAAAAAACAAACAAACACATCAAAAAGTGGGTGAAGGATATGAACACACACTTCTCAAAAGAAGACATTTATGCAGCCAACAGACACATGAAAAAATGCTCATCATCACTGGCCATCAGAGAAATGCAAATCAAAACCACAATGAGATACCATCTCACACCAGTTAGAATGGTGGTCATTAAAAAGTCAGGAAACAACAGGTGCTGGAGAGGATGTGGAGAAATAGGAACACTTTTACACTGTTAGTGGGACTGTAAACTAGTTCAATCATTGTGGAAGACAGTGTGGCGATTCCTCAAGGATCTAGAGCTAGAAATATCATTTGACCCAGCCATCCCACTACTGGGTATATACCCAAAGGATTATAAATCATGCTGCTATAAAGACACATGCACACATATGTTTATTGCGGCACTATTCACAAGAGCAAAGACTTGGAACCAACCCAAATGTCCAACAATGATAGACTGGATTAAGAAAATGTGGCACATATACACCATGGAATACTATGCAGCCATAAAAAATGATGAGTTCATGTCCTTTGTAGGGACATGGATGAAGCTGGAAACCATCATTCTCAGCAAACTATCACAAGGACAAAAAAACAAACACCGCAAGTTCTCACTCACAGGTGGGAATTGAACAATGAGAACACTTGGACACAGAAAGGGGAACATCACACACTGGGGCCTGTCATGCGATGTGGGGAGCGAGGAGGGATAGCATTAGGAAATGTAATGTAAATGAGGAGTTAATGGGTGCAGCACACCAACATGGCACATGTATACATATGTAACAAACCTGTACGTTGTGCCCATGTACCCTAGAACTTAAAGTATAATAAAAAAAAAAAAACAGAAAAAAAAAAAAGAAATAGGCTAATGCAATTACAAAGGCTGACAAGTCTCAAGATGTACAGGGAAATTAGCAAGCAAGAGATCCCAGAAAGCTGGTGGTGCAGTTCGTGTCTGAAGGCTGGAAGGCCGAGACCCAGGAAAAGCTGATATTTTAGTTTGAATTTTAAGGCCAGAAAAAATACATAATATTTCAATTCCAAGGTAGTCAGGTAAAATAACTATCTTACAGTAAAAAGGTCATAATTTTGTTCTGTTTAGGTCTTCAACTAATTGAATGAGGACCACCCACATTAGGGAAGGCAATCTCCTTTACTAAGTGTTATGGTTTGGCTTTGTGTCCCCCCCAAATCTCATGTCAAATTGTAATTCCCACATGTCAGGGGAAAGACCTGATGGGAGGTGATTGGATCTTTGGAGTGGATTTCCCCCATGTTGTTTTTGTGATAGTGAGTGAGTTATCATGAGATCTGGTGATTTAAAAGTGTGACACTTCTCCCTTACTCTCTCTCTCCGGCCACAATGTAACACATGAGTTGCTTCCCCTTGGCCTTCTGCCATGTAACACATGAGGCCTCCCCAGCCATGTGGAACTATGAGTCAATTAATCCTCTTTTCTTTATAAATTACAGTCTCAGGTAGTGTCTTTATAACAGTGTGAAAACAGACTAATACACTAAGTCTACTGATCTAAATTTTAATATCTTCTAAAACATCCTCACAAAAACACCCAGCATGATGTTTGATTAAATATCTGGGTATTCTGTGGTCCTGTCCAGTCAACACATGAAATTAATCATCACAGTAATAAATTAGTAATTGATAATTATTTTACCTACTATGTTGAGGATAAACACACTAGAAGTCGATCTCATGAGAGAGCATCTCAAAATGATATGACTGTCTAAATTTAATGATATTGAACTTCTGAATTGCAGGCATGTTTGATAAAGAAGCAAGTTTACCTCTTTTTGTTGGTGTTGTTAAATTTGGTAAACTATAGTAAAACATTCTCACATTATTTTTAACTTGGGTTGTATTGTTTTAAACAATTATGTATGTACCCAACATGCTTTATGTGGTTTTCTTATGTAGAATAGATCATAATATGTATTACCATGGTAGACGGTATCTGCTAAATAAATAATGTTATTGAAAAGTGGTCCTGATCCAGACACCAAGAGATGGTTCTTGGACCTTACACAAGAAAGAATTTTGGGTGAATCCACAGAATACAGTGAAAGCAAGTTTATTAAGAAAGTAAAGGAATAAAATACTGACTACTCCATAGAGCAGGGCATTCTTGACATCAAGAGGAGAGACATGTCCACCTTAGGTAAGATGCTTGTTTATGTATAAGACAACAAAGTCAAAAAATCATGGGGAAGATTTTTACTACTACAAGTGCTCCTGACAAGGAATCAACTTTTGTGTAACTATTGTCTTCCACATCAATTTATATTATCATTTTTAAAGTGAAACTTTTTCTTAAACTAAGAATGCCTTTGTTCTTAAGATATGAGGACATCAGGACATTTCTGGGCCTGTTAAGGGTCTGTTAGGTAAACATTATTAACCTGTTCCCTTAACCATAAATATCCTGTCACTAAGAATGCCTGAACTCCTGGGAATGCAACCAGCAGGACTCAGCCTCATTTCACTCAGTCCTTATTCAAGATGGAGTCACTCTGATTTAAACAGCTTTGACAATATTACTTAAAATAAGCAGTTTTACTTTTCACTAGGAAAAGTTATAAACACCCAGGGTACATTCTGATTGACCTGATATGAGTTTATTTCTGAAAATCCTCCATCCCTCCACACACAAAAAAACCTTAAACAGCATATAAAATAAAATAAATATCTCATGCTAAAACAAACAGGCACACCCACACAGTAATTATAGATAAAACTGATCATCCATAAAAAAAAGCCATATAAATTTTGGAAGACTAGAGAAAATAAACAGAATCTTACTTAAACAGAGATTTGAATCTAATGGCTCACAGAGATGAGGAGTAGGGGGAAACCATACAGATTTTACCAAGGTATAAAGAAAAAACTGAAGAATTGTAGCTGAATATCTCTGCAGCCTGCCATGTGGACTGTGGTTAAAAATAAGATAATCTGTTGAAACATCATATGAATAAAAGTGCCCACATCTCCTCTAAATCTTAGTCAGCAATCAACCCCAGATGCCAAGTGATTTAAGATTTGGACAAACTGAACCAGAGAAGTGGAAATAAAGACAAAAAGCCCAGTGGATGCTGAATAAGGATAAGAGGCAAAAGTAGGGCAGTTAGTTTCCATTTAGAACAGCAAAAAAATTAGAGCACTTGCCCAATTTGGCTCTGAGGTTGTTACCAATGGTAAATCCATACGGATCTGCAGCAACTTCAATTCTTGCCTCCTCAGAAGAAATGATTCATCTGAGGGGCATTGGGCAAAAGGAGAGACCGAGGCAAGTTTTAGAAAAGGAAGTGAAAATTTATTTAGAAGCTTTAGAGTAGGAATGAAAAGAAATAAAGTACACTTAGAGAGGGCTAAGTGGGCAGCTTGAGAGATCAAGTGACTGGGTTGACCTTTGACTTAAGGCATACTAAGTATGTTGGCATACTACAAGGGTCTTGTGTCCCTTTCTCCCCTCATTCTTCTCTTGCGGTGGGCTGTCCACATGCACAGTGGCCTGCTAGCACTTGGGAAGGGAGCAAGCACAGTGTGTTTACTGGAGTTGTATGCGTGCTCCCTTGAGGCATTCTTGCCTTCCAGGTCAGGTCAGTTGTCTCTAGATCATGTAACAGTTAAACTCCGCCATTTTGCCTCTTAATGCGCATGCTTGAGCCCACTCGCCCATATCTTGAGATCTTATTGGGAAACTACTAATCAGTAACCAGTTTCAGGTTTTTTGTATTTATTGGGAGACTGCCTTTCCCTGGCAGTGGCTGCGACCAATTATTATTTTATAGAAATAGTGTAATACCTGCCTGACCATCACTTGATGATCATTTAACGTTCCTGATGGGAGCAGGAGGGAGCCCTCTCCTGCCGTGCTCATACCTGACTAGCTTGTTACCTACTGTAACAAGGTCAGTGGTGACCAGGCTTGAGGCTCCTAAATAGGCATTTGAAGCATTCCTCTCTAAAGAAAGTGATTGACTACTTTAAAAATTACAGAATGTCACAATATGAGATGTCTAAATGAAAAGGCAAGTTCTCATCCAATAACTATAAGCTCCATCTGTGCACAGAATGATTCCAATCAGCTTTTTAACAGCTAGATTTCTAAATATTAAATATGAATAAAACATAAAGACTAACCCAGTATTAGAAGAAAGCCTTTAAAAAATAAATGGAACAAAAAAAAATTCAAAGGGGACAGAAAGACGAGAAAAATAAAATTAATATATACAAATGTATATAGATATAAATTAAGTTAAAATTCTTAGAGGGAAATTCATATATTGCATCCTTCAGAAGAGAACAAAAGGTATAAAATGGGAACCCTTAGATAAGATGCACAAGTTCCAAATGTGTGTGTGTGTTGGTGTATAAAACGTAAATAGATACACACACACATACACAAGGAAAGGGTGTAAAAGAAAGAGAGGAAGAGATAAGAGTATACAGTTCTCAGTGAGTGTGGGTGGAGAGCCATAAGGAAACCAAATAGTTTGGGACATCTCATTAACAACAATGAAACCTAGAAGACAGCACAGGGAGAACTTAAAACATTCTGAGATATTTATTTCCAATAGAACGTTTGTAAAGAATTTTAATTTTGTCCAAATTAGTACTTACTTTAGAGAGAAAAATTAAAGTATAAAACACGTAGAACCTCAAAAAATTATACTCATTAGTTTATTCTATGGATGCTACTGGAGGATTCCATCCGCCAAAAAGAAAATTTTTAAAATGTAGAGGAGGAGTGTGCATGTGTAAACTGGTAACAGAGGAGACAATACGGAAGTGTATTTTTTTACTTTCTACATTAAATTACAGCCTCATGACTAAAATCAAAGCTACCTGCTTTTGACTTCTAACCCACTTAGCAATTAAAGGATGAAACTATTATATAGCATTTTAGAAATATTCGTGTCACTATACGGTGTAATCTTAAAAAGTAGTTGCAGCATATTTATATAATGACTTTTAAAGTTTTCATATTTTCAGCATTATGCAGCTACCAAAAAAATGGTGAAAGAACTTTCAGAAAGCATTCATACTAAATCCATTTATGCCATAAAATTAAAGAGAACAATTCGTTCCGGAAATTTACATTTACATATTTAACATTAAATATGTTACTTTAAACATTAGAATATCAAGAATATACATAAAGAAAGAAAATGTACATGATTATATATGTAAAATAAATATCAAAGTGTATATTTATGTTACATATATTCAAAATTGATTTCATTTTTATCAAAAACATGCATGCACATAGCTATACATCAAGTAGAAATATAAAGATTTATCAAAGTACTTAGATTTATCACCATTCTATCCCTAGTGCCATGTTCCAGCAACTTTCTTTTTCAACAGTTTTATATTCTCTTCATGGTCCTAAAATGCACATTTCTAAACAATACCGTGTATATACTATTTAATATTTATTAATTTTCGATATTGTTTTCAGTGATAGCAAATGAGGTTTTCAGTTATTTTTCACAACCAATGCTTGCACATTTTATCTTCATCTCTCAAAATTATTATACTTTATTCAAATAAATATATAGTGCTCATATTATTCTGAATATGGTAGCATTCTTATTTGTTTAACCAAGAGATATGTTGTATTTTCTGTTACATATAGGTTTTATTTTCTTTCTAGAGTTAATTTCCTGTTTTCTCACCTAATTGTCTCTGTACTCATGAGATCCTTTAAATACCTAGCAATCTTTTTTATTAATATTGATTTTAATTGATAAATAACTGTGTGCATTCATGAGGTACAATGTGGTTTTAATATATTTATACATGTGAAATGATTAAATCAATTGAATTAACATATCCATTACTTAGCTTACCTATTTTTCATGATGAGATATTTGAAATTTACCCTTAGTTATTTTGAAATATATAGTATATTATTATAGATTATAGTCCCTCTATTATACAATATGTCACAAATCTTATTCCTCTTATCTATCCAAACTTTGTACCTTTTGATCAAGAACTTCGCATCCTCTTCTTCCCCCTTCCCAACCCACTCTCTGATAAACATTGTTCTGCTCTCTACTTCTATGAGTTCAATATTTTTAGGTTCCACATATAAGTAAGACCATGTGCTATTTGTCTTTCTGTGCCTGGCTTATTTCAGTCTGTCTTAAAAAGTCCTACAGGTGATTCTGATAAAAAGCTAAAGTTGGAAATTCATTTTTGTAAAGTAATTAAGTGACAAGGGACCTTCCTTCTTTTTCCCTTTTAATTGTGGGTATCCCAATTAGAAAGCTGCAGTAGCATTTTTCTCTTCAGCTGCTCATCAAATTCTTTGAGTGTGTCATGAAGTATCCCTGGAAAATGAAATTCTCCAAGTGGAAGAAAAGAACTGATAATCTCAAATTTAAGTATACAAACTTCTAATTAACACACTGTTTGCAGCACTGTGGCTGCTAGTTCTCTTAACCCTAGAGCTCCTTAAATGCCACTTCTTTAGTACTTAAGCTTTCTCTTTACTTTGAGACTATCTGGGGGAGAGGTAGAAGCCTAGATTCATGGACTAATGAAGACTGGAAAATTGTAGCGACAACTCATCTGTGAACACACTTTCACATTTCATCCCTGTGTTTTATCTCCTATTTTCTGGAATACCTCGTGTTAGAAACGTGCATGGTGAAATTTACACATGACACAATTTCTTTTTATTACCATTTTTCCTCTTGAACAGTAGATTAAACCACACTGTGATGGATTTTTCTGTTGATTTGGGGTTTATGGTGATAGAATGTTGAAAATAATCCCTTAAAGAAGCTATATTTTTACTTGTCTCGTTCATTTGCTATAATAATTGACTCTATCTACCAATCATTTAATTTAACTTATGGTAAAATTATTTCTTTTCAGATATGTAAGTTTGGAAAGTCAAGATTCAATAATTCCTACACAATTATTGAATGTCTACTATGTTCCAGATATTGAGCTAGATACAGAATGATGTTTTGTTGCCATTTTCCTTAGGAGAATTACTATCAAGTTCGTGTAAAACTGTAGATACCTATAGAAAATGAAACAATAATGCAATTTGGCGCACACACACACACACACACGTACACACACATATCTATGTTATTTTTAGACAAGGTAGAGATTAATTGGAATGGGAATTACTAAAATTACTTAACTGAAATGTGGAATTTGGGTGGGAAGAAGGAAGAAAAAGCATGTTTCAGGCAGGTTAAATTATTAAATTCTTTCTACTTTCCTCCTATAAAAATCCAAAATAATATTTTCTAATTATAATCTGTGTTATATCTTTATCTTACACATCTTTACTATGTTTCCATTAACATATTTTAACACTTTCTACCTTGTTTTCTAAAATATGCATTTCTATAAATAAAGAATTTTAATAAATATATTTATAACTTATTTAATATGCATATTAAATCTATATTTCCAGACATACAAACATATTTACATATATTTATGGGTATTGCATGTTTGGGTATATATCTATATGTGTAGGGCACTGCACTGTGAACCACCGTCTTTTCACTTTTAACTGTTAACACAATCCTAGCATTAAAGTAATATCATTCTCATTTTTCAGATGCAGAAATTTTGACTTGCCCAAGGTTACACAGTTAATTAGTTAATGGCAGAGGGATCCACTCCTCTTAGGTTTAGCATGATTCAGATAAAAAATTACTATGCTAACCACAATTACCTCTCCTTTAAATTAACTGCATTAAAAAAATAATAATTTGAATAGCTTCCTCTGCAGAAAAAGTCACCATGGCTCGTGTTCTAAGGTAGTAGAGAAATTGAGTTTTCTATTAATTTGGAGCTAGATGAAGAAGTAAAGCATAATTTGTTTTTGAGAACTGTTGAGCAAGTTGAGAAGGTATGTGATCCAAAAGGCAGTTACTTGGGAAGCAGCCAAATTAAAAAGGATAAATCTGAATGAGTCATAAATTGAAAGTGGTAGGCAAAGAAGGTGAGTCTGGGTTGGAGCCAAAGAAATAGAGAACAGCAAATTGTAGAAAATGCCTGTGCTATTAGGAAAAGACAGGAATGGCCTAATTCCCTAGAGGGATTTACACTCAGGGAAAGCATCTGGAGATTATCTGGAAATTATTCCTTTTTAATAATTGAATGGGAAATGCTTATAGTTTTATTGCTATGATTTTATTTGTAATTTTAAATGTTTATTACTTGCTGATTATAAAATAAATCAATGTCATCAATTTTAACCAGAAAAAAATGAAATCTGAGATGCTGAATGCTTGTTAAGGATTCACATCAGGATTATCAAATCTCCTTCTATGACCCCAGTTATTGGTACAGTATTCTTTGTAATTAAAATGAAGGAATATGGCAGAACTTCCATCTTTAGCAATAAGACACACTGAATATTCTGAAATATTCTGAATATTCTGAAATATACCTCAATATGCTGGATATTTTTTAAAATCTTTAATTGCATAGTTTTAGCAAAAAAGTTTAAAAACATAAAGATAAAACAAAATATATTGAATAAAGCAGGAATTCCAAGAAGAAAGCTCCCA
The DNA here is from genome assembly GCF_000001405.40 of Homo sapiens. Lineage (NCBI taxonomy): Eukaryota > Metazoa > Chordata > Mammalia > Primates > Hominidae > Homo > Homo sapiens. The sequence goes on along the minus strand of NC_000004.12, from coordinate 29,553,435 downwards.
AAGAAGAGTCAGTTGCCCTGAGGAACTATGTCATGTCTACGAGCTTTTAGGCATATGGTTTTAATCCAACAAGTACAAAAAAAAAAATCTACAGGCTGATAAGAATAAAAGTTAGAAAACCAAGAGCCCCGATATAAAGCCATGATTCCAAAATATGAATAATCAATAAAATATCTAACTGGGAGGTAAATAGCACGCCCCTCCCCCCCACAACACACACACACACACACACGCACACACACACACACACACATACACTGCCAACTACAAGGAGAAAATAATCAGACTTAACAGATAAGGGAATGGAGTACCAAGATCCTCCTTGATAATACCTAATCTCCAGTCTGGCCTGAAGCAAGTTTTAGACTGGAAAACGCATTACCTACAGAACCTAAAATACCTAGAGCACACAGACTTTATGTTAAATTTCTGAGTATTATCAAGTTGGACACTTCGTAGAAGTAAACATAGACCTCCTTATAGCAGCAGATGTTATCACAGTCCTTCAAAGTTCTCTGAATAATAAAGTACCATAGTGAAGAAATAAACATTAAAAATGAAAATTGCCAAAGAAACAAGCTACTGTGTGTGCAAGTTAAGAGAATAAATACACAATAATCAGAAACAGATGTAAAGTATTAAAGACCAAATATAATGTGTTTAAGTAACAATAGGTGGTGTGCAAGTATGCAAAAGAAAGAAGGCTATCAAAATGCTGAATCTGATTTGGAAAATAACCAAATAAAAATTCTAGAAATGGAAAAAGAGCTCTTTAGATGAGATATATAGCAGAATAGGCATTATGAAGTTAGCATGAGTGAACTGAAATACAGATCTTAATAGAATTACTCAATTCAGTACAGAGAAACAGAGATGTAAAAATATAAGTGATGTTGAGAGATGTGAGAGTGAAATGAAAAATTTTAACATATATCTACTGAGATAACCAGAAGAAGCTAGTAAAAAAAAGTTAGATAAAAAGATATACTGAATAGAATTATATAAAAACTACTCATATTCTGTAACCATTGTGAATCATAGGTGGGATATATGACTATAACTTTATACCTACCATCATCATCATGTAGTTACATAGTATCAAAGATAAAGAGAAGACGTTAAATAAATAGGAAAATAAAGTATTTATTGATCTTCAATAGAACTAACTTTGAACTGAGCAGTCCCAATAATATATTTAAATAATATTCCAAATAACATTACCTAGATTTGCATGGAAATCAAACATGGTCAAGAACAAAAATGAAATAAGAGCACTGAAGACAAACAAAAGTTGTAAAGTTTATTGCCAACACATCTACAGCCAATAGGAGTTAGCCAAACAACCTAATGAGAAAATGGGAAAAAATGTAAAAAGATAAACAGAAATGGTCAAAAGGTAGTAAAAGAGAATGACAGTTTAATGAGTATGAGGTTTCCTTTGGGGTGATGACAGTCTTCTGAAACTAGATACTAGTGAAGGTTATATAACATTGTAAATCTACTAAATTCCACTCGAGTGTGCACTTAAAAGTGATTAAAATGGTATATTTTAAGTGATGTGTATTTTACCACAGTAAAAATGATATTCACAAAAATATATTACCAAAACAGTGGTAGTATACAACTGCTTCAAGTTTACCTTATAAACTGTAGTATTTCAAGAGTTTCTGAATGCACATCCTGGCCTCACAACTTATTATTGTGTATACTGGTGTCTTAGTCCATTCAGGCTGCTCTAACAAAATACTATAAACTGAATAGCTTATAGACAGCAGAAATTTATTTCTCCCATTTCTGGAGGCTCAGAAGTCTAAGATCAAGCTAAGATTTGATGTCTTGTGAGGGCCTATTTTCTGGTTCCTAGTCAACAACTTCTTGTGTTTTATATAATGGAAGGGGTGAGGGATCTGTTTGGGCCCCTTTTATAAATGTACTAATCCTCTTCATGAGGACTTTACCTCATAACTAATAAACTCTCAAAGGCCTCACCTCCTAATACTATAATCTTGGTGGTTAAAAATTCAACACATAAATTAGGGGAGTGGGAGACATAAATATTCAGATCATTGCAACTTGTGCAATTTAGAGGACTTCCTTTTGCCTCGACCTTCTTCTATGGTAAAATGAAGGTGATTATAATAGTAACTACAATGTGCAGATTAACCATATAAAAAAGCATGGAAAACCCTAAAATAATAAGATCTAAATTAGGTTTTCATATTATTAGTTTTAATTTCTTATCATCATCATTATTACTAACATTTTGCTTCTAACATTTTCCAGTCTAAAGTATTCATATCAAATTTTTGTGCCATCCATTATCATTCAAGTTTTCGATTAATTGTGCTAGAATGCTTTCCTCGAATCGTCATCTTACATTTATATCTGTCTCCACTTTCCAGGGTTGTTGTATATTACATTCCCTTAAGATTAATGCCATGTTGAAATTATCGGTTTATTTTTTTTTTCCTACTAGTTTCTCAAGAGCAATGTATCGTCCAAATTGTCTTTTGATCACATATTGCCACACCACACATACACACATCTCATGAATTCACAATTGTTCAGTTGAACAGTGTCATCTACATGATTGACATATACTTTGTTTCTTTCATTGAAAATATTTTTCCATTTAATTTTTGCCCAATTATAGCACTAAAAATGTCTGAAACTCTCAATTTCTCATATTAAGGTAAAAAATAACTTAATAATGCATTCATTTAGCAAATATTTAGTAGCACTAACTACCGGCGCAGCACTATGGCTGTGATAAGTATTTCAACATTAATTCTCAAAATATTTTTGTTTGCATCTAAATTTAAGTAGGAAAGAGAAAGTTATTGATAATGCAATGTGAAACTTCAGAAGCTATGACTATAGTTACATGCTGGCTAGGAGTTTCACTGATTCCCAGCCAGATCTTTTTTTTGGAAAAACATATATTTTTTCCTAAATGACAAGAAAAAAACATATAAAATTAGATTATGAACACATTTTTTGGCATAGGTCTCTGTCTCTTAATCATATGCATGTTTAATACTTTAAATATAACTTAAACAATTGACATGCTTAGAATAAAAGAGAGTATGATACAGTGAAACTGAATATACCATAATATTATCAGTTTGGTACAAAAGACCAAAGAAATGTTGGGTTACATCAGTATGTCATTGATCTATTAGGAGAGAAAAGCTGAGAAACCCAAGAGGCTGTGATCCTTAACCTTGTTCACATCTAAGAAAGAAACACACATATACTAGCTTCTTATCCAGATACTGCAAAATTATAATATTATAACATATAAAACTATGTCTAGCGGATTTGATTTTGATTTCTATTTTGAATAGTTCTTGACAATATCCATGGATAACAACTAAATTTCTGTCAACACATTTTAATGATTATATACATGCATAGCAGTCATTTCATGCAGCTTTAGGGGGTAAAGATGGATCAGTTAGTGATATTGGCTTGATTTCATTTAAACAAATTATTTTCCATTTTGAGATATATAATACAGAATTTGTACTCTTTTTCATGTGTTTGTTTTCAGGAGCTTCTTAAGTGGGATACAAATTATTTTGCCCTAACTATATATAATGAAATCAAACCAATAATGGACACGGTGATAAGCAGGACCCCACAAGTTCTTTCAAAACCAGCATACATTTGTCAAAATCTCCATCAAGCTAGTCAGTAAGGAAAACAATATATTTACTGTTCAAGCCCTGAAGCTTTTGAAAATTTTATGACACAATAGAGAAAAAAATTATATTTGACAAGTTTGAATTAGAGTTTCATAACCTAGGAGCATTTATATTTTGGGAGTGGTTTACATGTCCATTAAGATATTAGAGAGATTAGGAAATGCTTTCATCCTCCAGAGGATGCCTGGGATGGCCATATCATGACTCAGGAGGCTTGTCCAGTTATCCAGATTTTTGTAGAAATGATGTAATTTTCTCTGTGTGATATTGTGCTAAAATCTGTGGGAGTCACCAAGACTGCTCTTGTAAAATGGGCAGAAAATGTCTAAAATCCAGTCCAAGTTCTGTTGTATTCACCAAGTAAAACAGGCCTTTCAGTAATTTATAGTTGTATTTTCATTCTACTTCATGTTTAATATCTACACAGAGCTTCTCTCATGCTATGGAAATACAGAGAGTGAGATTTTAGGGATATAGTATCCAATGTTAACTATAATAATGATACCCCAAAATTGAGTGATATCTTTGATAGGCACTGACATATATTTATTTACAAGTTTCATTACTATTCCAAGAGGCAATTAACAATAGTCCTTTTCAATTAATAAACATCATCAGGTACTTAATATTAGCTATATGCTATGAAAGTTTCTGCAGAATGAAAACATGAATAATGCATAGTCTCTCCTGAAAGAGCTTTCAATCTAGCGGTGGAGCCAAATAATAATGCCAGCTCAATGGGGCAGATTTTATAAAAGAAGTAGTAGAGGAAAACAGTATATTATAAAAACACAAAAGTGTAGTAAGTAATTCTGATTCAGCAATAAAGGAACACAATTTAGACTTAAAAAATTTGCACTTCAAAGTATGTAAAATATACGACCCAACGTGGAACAGACTAAAAGTAAGATGACCATGTTTAGTACAAAATGGAAAAATGGTTTTCTAGGAGGAATAAAATTAAAAGAGAAATTGTCTGAAAATGTCACCTTGATATTGAAACCAATAGACAAGTTGGAAACAGATTTTATCAGTTCCTCATCTTATTCTTGAGGCGAACTCCACTCGACAAAATAGTTTCCAAAATAGATGTCCTAAAACACAAAGAGTACCAAATACATGTAGCAATACCCCAAAGGACACATACTTTCCTTGCTTCCCTTTATTTTCTTTTATATTCCTACACATATGAATCTTTACAAAGGGAATTTAATATTTAATGTGATACTTGTACTCTAGTGATAAATATTTGGGCCATAAATTCTTATTAATTTCTTAGTAAAAGTTAAGTGTGCTATGGTTTATTTAGGATTTTTGCATGTAGATTTATAAGTGATATTGAACTATATTTTTACAATTTCAACTAACTTTATCTGGTTTGGTATTGAATCAGTTCTCTACTGCTACATGACAAATGTGCAGAAATTTAGCAACTAAACACCCATTTATTATGCTACCATTTGGTAGATCACAAGTCTGGGAGGGTTAATTGGATTCTCTGCTAAGGGTCTTTCAATGTGAAAATCAAGGTTTAGGGGCTGAGCTCTCATCTGAAGGCTTTAGGGCAGAAGTGTTTTTGAGATCATTAAGGTTGTTGGCTGAATTCAGTTCCATGTGGTTGGAAAATTGAAGTCCACATTTCCTTGGTGGCTGTCGGCTTAGGGGGTTGTTCTTGACTTCTAGACATAGTCTGCATTCTTCATCATGTAGTGCTCTGCATTTTTGAGCCAACAGTGGTATTTGAAATTCTTCTAGTGCTTCAAATCTCTGGACTCTGTGTGATAAGTTTAGACCAGTGGATACTATCTTGGTATCTCAAAGACAGTTGATTTAGAACTTTACATTTGCAAAAATCTCTTCACAGCACTTAGATTGAATATCGGTGATATGATTTGGCTGTGTCCCCACCCAAATCTCATCTTGAATTGTAACTCCCACAATTCCCAAATGTCTGGGGAGGAACCTGGTGGAAAGTGATTGTTGAATTATGAGGGTGGGCCTTTCCTGAGCTGTTCTTGTGATAGTGAATGAATCTCAGGAGATCTGATGATTTCAAAAATGGGAGTTTCCCTGCACAGGCTCTCTCTTTACCTGCCACGATCCACGTAAGATGTGACTTGTTCCTTTCTGCCTTCTGCCATGATTGTGAGGCCTCCCCAACCATGTCGAACTGTAAGTCCATTAAACCTCTTTCTTTTGTAAATTACCCAGCCTTGGGTATTCCACAACATGAAAACAGACTAATACAATAAATTGGTACCAGTAGAGTGGGGTGCTGCTGAAAAGATACCTGAAAAGTGGAATCGACTTTGGAACTGGGTAACAGGCAGAGGTTGGAACAGTTTGAAGGGCTCAGAAGAAGACAGGAAAATGTGGGAAAGTTTGGAACTTCCTAGAGACTTGTTGAATGGCTTGGAAAAAAATGCTGATAGAGATATGAACAATAAGGTCCCGGCTTATGTCGTCTGAGATGGAGATGAGGAACTTGGGAACTGGAGCAAAGGTGACTCTTAGTGTTTCAGCAAAGAGACTGGAGGCATTTTGCCCCCTCCCTAGAGAGGCCTGGAAATTTGAACTTGAGAGAAATGATTTAGGGTATCTGGCAGAAGAAATTTCTAAGCAGCAAAGCATTTAACATGTGACTTGGGTGCTGCTAAAGGCATTCCATTTTATAAGGGAAGCAAAGCATTAAAGTTTGGGAAATTTGCAGCCTGATAATGTGATAGAAAAAAAAAAAAAAACACATTTTCTGAGGAGAAATTCAAGCTTCCATCACAGGCCCAGAGGCCAAGGAGGAAACTATAGTTTCCTGGACTGAGTCCAGGGCCCCCCTGTTCTGTGCAGCCTAGGGACTTGGTGCCCTCTGTTTTAGCCACTCCAGCCATGGCTCAAAGGGGCCAAGGTACAGCTCTATTGTTGCTTCAGAGGGTGGAAGACCCAAGCTTTGACAGCTTCCATGTGGTGTTGAGCCTGCGGATGCACAGAAGTCAAGAATTGAAGTTTGGAAACCTCTGCCTAGGTTTCAGATTTATACGGAAATGCCTGAATATCCAGGCAGAAGTTTGCTGCAGTGACAAGGCCCTCATGGAGAACCTCTGCTAGGGCAGGGCAGAAGGAAAATGTGGGGTGGAAGCCCCACACAGAGTCCCTACTCGGGCACTGCCTAGTGAAGCTGTGAGAAGAAGGCCACCGTCCTTCAGACCCCAGAATGGTAGATTCAGCGAGAGCTTACACTGTATACCTGGAAAAGCCACAGACACTCAACACCAGCCCATGAAAGCAGCCAGGAGGGAGGCAGTACTCGCAAAGCCATGAGGGTGCAGCTTCCCAAAACCGTGGGAACCCTCTTCTTGCATCAGCATGACTTGGATGCAAGACATGGAGTCAAAAAATATAATTTTTGAGCTCAAAGATTTGATTACCCAGTTGGATTTCAAACTTGCATGGGGCCTGTAGCTGCTTTGTTTTGGCCTATTTCTCCCATTTGGAACAGCTGTATTTGCCTAATGCCTGTACCCACATTGTATCTAGGAAGTAACTAAGTTCCTTTTAATTTTACAGGCTCATAGGCAGAAGGGGCTTGCCTTGTCTCAAATGAGACATTGGACTGTGGACTTTTGAGTTAATGCTGAAATTAGTTAAGACTTTGGGGGACTGCTGGGAAGGCATGAATGGTTTTGAAATGTGAAGACATGAGATTTAGGGGAGACCAGGGGCTGAATTATATGGTTTGCCTGTGTCCCCACCCAAATCTCATCTCCAATTGAAACTCCAAAATTCCCACATGTTGTGGGAGGAACCTGAAGGGAGGTAATTGCTGAATTATGGGGGCGGGCCTTTCCTGTGCTGCTCTCATAATAGTGAATGAGTCTCACCAGATATGACAGTTTTAAAAATGAGAGTTTCCATGCACAAGCTGCCTTTTTGCTTGCTATTACCCATGTAAGATGTGACTTGCTCCTATTTCCCTTACACCATGATTGTGAGGCCTTCCCAGCCATGTGGAACTGTATGATCATTAAACCTCTTTCTTTTGTAAATTGCCCAGTCTTGGGTATGTCTTTATCAGCAGTGTGAAAATAGACTAATACAATCAGGGATAAAAATCTTGGAATATCATTTTAGAATTCTGCTTATCACAGGTAACAAGGTTATGATGGCTTGCTAAAATGAGTTACTTACCAATACCTCTCTAGTAGCTGTAAAACTTTACATGTAATCCAATCTTAGATTGTTGGTAGAAACTACTGGTAAAAAAATTAATTTGTTGGTAGTTAGTAGCTATTACTGGTAAAAATAGCTGCAACTCATGTTTTATTTAGTTTTGTATCTTGTGGGTAAATTCCATTTCTTTAATGATTATGTTAATTTTTATTATACAGGTTTACTATGCTTGTTTTAGTTTTTGGAAGGTTTGAATTAATTGGCATAAAGTTACAATATTCATTTATTTTTATATTATTTCTGCATATGTAATTATGCCTCCTTTTTATGTTGAATATTGTTTGTGATCCCTTTCTCTGTCCTTCTCACCATCTCTCCTCTCTTCTTGATCACTCTTGTTGAAAGCCTATATTGCCAGATTATATATATATGCACTTTTCTGATAAAATGCTTAGTTCAGGTTCCTGTAACAAAATACCATAGTCCAGGTAGCTTACAAACACAAGCATTTATTTTTACAGGCTGGAAGTTCCAAAATCAATATTTCATTGTTATCTGGTGAGTGCCCACTTCTTCACAGATAGTGCCTTCCAGCTCTGTCCTCACATGGTAGAAGGGGCAAACAAGCTCCCTAGGGTCTTTTTTATTGGACATTAGTAGCATTCACCTCTCAACGACTCCCACTTCTTAATACCATCACCTTGGGGGTTAGGATCTCTATTTATAAATTTTAGACAACACAAACATTCAGAATATAGCAAGTAATTTTGATCCTATCACCCTCTAAAATTGGTTAAAGTTTCATTTTATTCTGAGGTTAGTATTGCTCTTTCCTTACAGTTACTTGAATTAAATTTATTTTATTTTAATAACTTTCAAGTTGGATAATTACATTACTCATTTTCAGACTTTCTTTTCAAATATCAGCATGTGAAGATTTATTTTCCCCTTGGTTTTAAATGCATTTTATATATTTTGAAATATCGTATTATGATGACTATAGAGTATATGTATTTTCTAATTTCAAATAAGACTATTTATTGATGCATGGACTATCTCCATGTTATATTCTTTTAATTTCCAAATATACGGTTATGGTTTCTATATATGTCTAATTTGATTGTAGCATGCAAGAGAAGGTAAATGTAGTCAAAATTAATTATTCTTTATGCCCCATATTTCTGCACAAGCATTGATATTTGTATTATGACCAGATATTATTATTATTATTATCATCATCATTTTTTTTTGAGACATGGTCTCTCTCTGCTGCCCAGGCTGTAGTGTTGTGGCATAATCACTGCTCACTGCAGCTTCAACCTCCTGAGCTTAAGTGATCCTCTTCCCTCAGCCTCCCAAGTAGCTGGGACTACAGGCACAGACTACCATGACCAGCTAAATTTTTTACTCTTTGTAGAGATGGGTTTTTCTATGGTGCCCAGGCTGGTCTTGAATTCCTGGGGGTAAAGCAATCCACCTGGCTCAGCCTCCCAATGTGCTGAGATTGCAGGCATGAGCCACCATGCCTGGCAATGACCAGATAAGCTGTCTAGTTTTGTAAATACTGTACTCCTCTGTATCTTAAAGAGAATGAATATTTACAATGGTTGGATGTAAGATTCAATATGCATGCATTACACCAAGCTTTTTATATGTGTTCTATTTGTCTTTTATTTGTACTATTTTTCCTCAACAACTAGATTTCTTAGCAGTTTTCTTTAGACGAGAAGAACTTGCTCAATGCAGTCTGAATGAGAATCTTGTAACAAAGATTCACAATTCAGTAAACACATACATTGAATTGTCTAGCCACTATCACCCCCCAGCAAAATTTCACAATATAAATCACCAAGAAAAGTTGATGGTGGGTGAAAATCCCAGAGTATCACTGAGGATTTTGCCAATTTCTGTTTGAAATGACATTAGTAATTAGTTCCCAATATTTAGCTAAGAACTAAAAATGTATTTTGGGGAAAATGTTGCTGTTGTGTTATTACATAAGGGCTGATCTTTTGTTCTAATCATATTTTTAATAAATATATGGTTCCTGATGTTAGTAGACCTGTATCTGTTTTTATATATTTTGATCCTACTTTAGGTGTTTCTTTCATTTAAAAAAATCATTAAATATTTCATTCAATTTGAAAATGTGTTTCTTTTAGCAGGATCATTTTATCCATTTGTATTTACATTCTTACTGGTATATTTAGGGTTATTTCTCCACCATAATGGTTACTTTCTATTTGCCCTTCTTTAACTGTACCAAACATCCCCAAGTAATTATTACAGCTATTTTAAAGCTTTTTGTTATCTAGGATTTAGGTGTTTCTGATGGTGGTGGAAGCTTATCTGGTGCAGACGCTGTGGGGAAACCAGCTGCAGCAGGGGAGACATGGCCAGGCTGTGTGCTCCATGGACCCGGCAGAAGACCTTCCCACTACCAAGTTAGCGTGGCAGGAGCCCGTGCTCCTAGATGCAGCTGCAGCTGCCCAGCCATGGCTCTGGCCCCTGGCATGTCTGCGTTCTTTGGGGCCTGGGAAGTGCCTTGCCTTCACAGGCTTGAAAATGCCTACTTCCACTCCTTGGCCTGTTCCTACTCCTGGTGCCCACTCCGAGGCATAACAAAGTTGTGGCCAAACCTGGGTGCTGTTGCAACCCAGCCGGGTGTAAGTGTCAGCAGGGTGATGCTGACACGTCATCCCCCTGCTGCTTTGGCCCCCTACAGACTTTGGGCACCAATGATCATGAGAGGGAGGTCAAGGGGGCACTGAGGGCAGTTTGGGATGAGCCTGCAGGCACCCTTTGGCAGGAACAGCCTGGGTGTCACGAATGACATGTTGATGGCAGCAGGTGGAAGAGAGACTCCTGGGTGTAAAGAGGTAGGTCCCCACTGAAACTCCACCTTCAAGCCAGGGACAGCCTGAAGCCTGGGGCTGCCAGTTTTGGGTGGAGTCTGCAAGCCTGGAGTGAAAACTTATGGTTCTTTTTCCAAGCCCAATCCTGGCTGCCCATGGACCAATCAGAACAAAGTTCCTCCTTTTGTAGCCAATAAAAGTCCAAGACTCAACCAGACTTGAACAGATGTTGGAGCTACCAGCTGTGTGAAGGGGCTACCTGCCTCCGGTCTCTTGGACTCTTCAGGATGACCTGCCTGCAGAAAGGAGCTACTCATTTTGGGTCTCCTGAAAGCTGTCCTGTCACTTAATGAAGCTTCTCTCCACCTTGCTCACACACAAGTTGTCCTGTACCTCATTCTTCCTGGACATGAGACAAGAACTTGGACCTACCAAATGGCAGGACTGAAAGAGGTATAACACAAACAGAGCTGAAACACTCCCCCCACACCACTGGCCATGTTGTGGGTGACGAGAAGGAGAGATTAGCTGCAGCCCTTCTGGGAGCTTAGATTTGCAGACTCCCTAAGCAGGGGCTGTGACAACCTCTTTGGGACTCTGTGGTTCCTGGCATCTCCAAGATTCTGGGTGCCACCACCTTCCCCTCACCCAGAAGGGGGTGCCCACAGCCACGTGCAGTAGGCATGCCTGTCTGTGCACAGTGGCCAGAACCCATGCTTACTGCCCATGCACCCCTCACCGTTCCATGCCTGGCTTGACCTTAGCAGGTGTGGGATCTGGGCCAATAGCGCAAACCGAAGGCAGCTTGCTCAGCTGAGTGGGTGGGATGAGCCCAGCAAGCATGAGCAATACTCAGGCAGAAGGTGCCGTGTGTCACGGAGGCTTCCAGCTGGCCAAGCAACACTCCAAAATCCTGTAACATTTTCTTAATTAAAAAAAACATATAGCTAGATATTTCATTCAATTTGAAAACTTTTGTCTTTTAACAGGATAATTTTATTAATTTGTATTTATGTTCTTGCTGGTATATTTTGGGTTATTTCTCTCACCATAAGGTTTACTTTCTATTTGTCCTTCATTAAGTACACCAAAAATACCCAAGTAGTTTTTGTGTTAGCATTTCAACTTATGATCATGATTTTTTTATAACTGCTAAAAGTTTTATTGTAGGTGATTTTTTAAAAAAAATTTAAGAAATAATGTTTCTTAAATTGTAAATCTTTGATGTGGAATTTTCATTCAAATTGTATGATGGCATCCTATCCCAACTAAAAGTGCCAATAAATGTAATAATAAAATATGGTGGTCTCATACCAGTTGGTAATGTGATTTTGATCACCATGATTTCAAAGATTTAATAAAATATATAAATAAAATGTTGAAATTAGGATATAGCTTCACAATCTTTGTCTAAATAAAATACAAATAACATACAATTATTAAATTGATCTATTTTGGGGTGTACAAAATAATAAAACAGATATTTTTCTATGTTTTATTGGAGAAGTAAATGATTAAATCATTAAATTGTCTAAAATAAAAATAACTTTTTATAAACAAATTTTAGCAATTTAAGTATGAGTTATAGTGTTTAATTTTTCATTGTAAAGTGATTTTTTCATATATTTTGTGGCTACTAAAATTTTTAAAAAATATTTAGTGTTAGGTGAATTACAACACAATATTAACTACAGAAAAGGATGATATAAAGCTTCATATTTTAAGTACGACCATCACTTTTATTATATTATTACTGTACTTTTCTTTGAGATATAGGTGGTTTTTTGTAGATGAGTCATACAGAAATTCCCTCAAAGATTCTTTCAACATGCCAGTGTTGAAGAGAAACTATATTTCTCACAGATAACTTTTACTTTCAGTTTTTTGAAAATTCTGTAGGCTTAAATTTAATAACTCCAGGCTGAGAAGAAAATATTTTTATTACATATACTAAAAGGTATCAGTGGAATATGTAACATTTTAGGAATCAGAAAGCTGATAATCTACCCTTAGGTTTAACATTTACTTTCACCAAACTTCCCCCAAAATATATCACCACTTTCAGTCATGCAATACATGGTTGTCAGAAGAAAATATGAGATAATGCAATAGAATTTACTTTGTAATAACATTATAAATATCATTGTTAATGTGAATTAAATGTAATCAGATTCCAATTTCACAAAGTTGCATATTTTATGGATGCTCTTAAATGTTGACTATCAGTTTGCAAAAATTTTATTTATTTTTTCAAACTCTGTGAATAAACGAATCACAAATAATTACACAAATATTATGGTAAATTAGATTAAATGCAGTTATAATGTCACAAGTAACTTTAAAAAATATTCAATATGGGCATTATATTTTCAAGAACTCTGAAAGCTATCAAAATGTATCTATCCTTCTGAAAAGCTAACAAGTAACCTGATACAGTTTCGTGGATGCTTACAGAAGAGATGAGACTTCTGTACACAGTAGGTTGGATGAATTTCATGTTGATGTCAGTACCCTCTGTTTCCCCAAGTCTGATTAGTCTGAAGCGGTCCAGATGGAGGGTGAACACCTGGTAGATTTGCTTCTCAGTTGAGGATCCCTGAGCTTAGGAAGCCCAGATCTTTTAAAGGGGCTACCAGCAACATAACAAACCTTTGACCTGAAGAGAGACATTACCTTTTCTATTGTGGAGCACAATCTAATGTGGCCCCTGTTTTCTTCCTTCATAGGAAACACAGTTGACCCTTGAAGAACACACATTTTGAACTATGGCCCAGTTACAAGTGGATTTTTTCAGGAAAATTACACCGTGTCTGTCTGCCTCTCCTGCCTCCTCTTCCACCTCCTCCACCTCTTCTGCCTCTGCCAACCCTGTGACAGCAAGAACAACCCCTCCACTTTTTCCTCCTCTTCAGCCCATTCAATGTGAAGAAAAGGATGAAGATCTTTACAATGATCAACTTCTATTTAATGAAAGGTAAATATGTTTTCTTTTTGTTATTATTTTCTTAAAAACATTTTCTCTTTTCTAGCTTGCTTTATGATAATAATATAGTGAATATAACATAAAATATGTATTAATTATTTATATTAAAGGAAAGACTCCTGGTCAATAGTGATATTTATATTTTGAGACAGTCAAAAGTTATACCTGGATAGTCAATTGCATGAGGAGTCAGTGCCCCTAGCCCCTGCATTCTTCAAGAGTCAATTGTACTAGCTCAATCTTCCATGACTGATGTTACATAAGCATCCTTAAAAAGATATTTAAGGACAAAAGCTGATGCAAGACATGCAGAATTGTGAAATCCATGAAAAAAAACAACTCATTACGTAAATCAGCAAATTAAACCTCCTGTTTAGAATAGAATGTCTCCTACTTATTTAAACAAATTGATCAGACTCGGTCTATGCATTATGCTTATTAATACTCGTATTGTCAAGATATTGTTTAATAAATTCAATCTTAATATGTAATCAGCATAATGTATTTGGGAGAGGAGGTATTAATCCAATAGTAATCACAGTAAAAACAAAAATGCCATTGAAAGAAAACAGTTATTATATGCCTTGCAAAGGCTTCTGCAGTGAATTCTCCTTAAACATTATTTCATCCAATAATAGCACCTATTTTTAACCTCACTGCAGTAAAACACAGCTGCAGCTGACTGTCTTAGGAAAGACAGGCCTCATACTAACGACAGGGTTCAATTATCTTTAGGTAATTTTTCACTCCAAGGTTCTTCACATACATATATAATATATTATTGTGTGTGTGAATTTAAACAATAATAAAACATTTTCAGTATTTTTTTTCTTATATATCAGACTATGTTAATAAGTATCCTCATTTTCAATAATCCAAAAAATTGTTTTGATAATAAGATATTTGGAAATCAGCAAAAGTACATAACCAAATGTATTTTTTATTCATTCATCAAACAGCATTTAATTTCTACTATGTGCTCAGTACTGTCCAAGATGTTAGTGCACATAATGATGAAAAAAACAAAACACCATGTATAAATATTCTGAATTTGATGAATAAGTAACGCTGAAATTTTATGGTTTTTTTTTTCTGCAAAATAACGTTTTTACAAAGAAAAAAACCCAAAATTTCAGAGAGAGTTTAAAGTAGTCCCTGAAAGGTAAGTGTAGTAAGCCTGATGGTTGGTGCCTAAATATTGCACTCACTTTCCCCTACGGCTTATTTGCTTTAAGGACATATTTCAAAATAGTATAGGTGTAAAACTCGTTTTACAAAATAGTATAGGTGTAAAACTCTGTTTTATCTACATCTGACAAAGTGATGTCCTATGGAGCACCTCATTTCATCCACACCAAACATCTTGAATGAATAGGAACTACCAAACATAGATATATCAGTGGGCATAAGTGGTTGCAGATAATAATTAAATATTGAATCACTTTCTCTCTTACTCTCTCTTTTTCTCTCTCTCCGTGTGTGTGAAGGTCTCTCTATATACTCATATATATTTATATATCAGTA
Organism: Homo sapiens; assembly: GCF_000001405.40. Classification (NCBI taxonomy): domain Eukaryota; kingdom Metazoa; phylum Chordata; class Mammalia; order Primates; family Hominidae; genus Homo; species Homo sapiens. The sequence continues at coordinate 29,538,202 of NC_000004.12, read as the reverse complement.
TATTCAATATTTCTCTCTCTGTCTTTATATATGCACACATGTATATATATGTAAGTGTGTATGTATACATCAAATCAAAACAGAAAAATAAATGATATCTATATTCTTTTACATTAAATTTTTGTTAAAAATGCTGCAAGTTTTCTGTGTTTTTATCTGAGATTGAAAAAGGATTTCTCTAGAAAATCAAATACCACATGTTCTCACTTATAAGTGGGAGCTAAACAGTACATACGGACATAAAGGAGGAAACAATAAACACTGGGAACTACAAATGTGAGGAAGGAGAGGAGGGGACAAGGGTACTATGTATTGGGTGCTACCTACCAGGTACTATCTATTGGGTTGTATCTTTTGGGTACTACCTATTGAGTTCTGTGTTCATTATTCATGTGATGGGTTCAATAGAAGCCCAAACCCCAGCATTATGCAATATACCCATGTAACAAAACTGCACATGTACCCTCAAATCTAAAATATTTTTTTCAAAAAAGAAGCATTTATTATAGGAATAGTTTTCCTTTCTATTTTATATCATTTTTATTCATCTTATGGAAATACTATAATGTGTAATCTGCATTGGTTTAATGCTGCTGATATAGTCATGATTAGTGTAAATTCAGGTAATGTAATATGTGCTGTATTGTATACATTGTTCATTAATTTCTACCTCTTGGTGACAACAATATTGTCTAATGATTGGGTTCTAATTGTCTCTGCCAATTCATAATTGGCCCTCCTAGAATAAATGGAACATTTACCATTATCTTTCTCTCTCTGATATAAGCCCTGGTCCTGAAAGGATAGAAACATGCATGTAAAAATTTTATATTGTATTGAATTTCCAAAATATTTCTGGATACGCCTGCAGGTAAGTGTACCTCATAAGTCTTAATATGATAATTGTCATGGTTGTTATGAGAGTATTCAATGAACCAATTTGATTTTTTCTCCCTTTTTTTTTTCATTATGTTGAAATGCAGTAGTCTCCCCAAATTTGTGAGGGTGATGTTTCGAGATCTCCATTGGATGCCTGAAACCACAAATAGTAATTAATGAGAAATTTTAATGTATAAATCAGGCAGAGCAAGAGATTAACAACAATATATAATAATAAAATAGAACAATTATTACAGTTTGGCAGTATAACTACTCTTATGCTTTGGGGCCATTATAAGCAAACCAAGGGTTACTTGAACACAAGCATTTGTCAGTCTGATAACCGAAAGTGCTACGAAGTGACTCACAGGTGGGTAGGGTCTATACTGTGAATATGGTGCACAAAGGAAGGATATACATCATGGGCCGAATAGAACAGGATGGTATAAGATTTTATCATGATACTCAGAACAGCAAGCAATTTAAAACTTGTAAATTGTTTGTTTCTGGAATTTTCCATTTATTATTGTCAGACCACAGTTGACAAGTAACTAAACCCATGAAAAGCAAAATCACAGATAAGCAGGGGGAACGACTGTAAATAGGATATATCACATTGTTCATATGAGAACAATTTTACTTCAGTATAAGAACTAGTCAAACACTTGTTACTTTTGAGAGTGAGGAGGCTATGACATCTGTTAAATAAAAAATATATTTCCACTGCCAACTCTGCTGAGACATATTCCTTAAGTCATCGCCAATCTAGGTATTTTGGTTCTAAACGCTATACTGTTTTTTAACATAGCTATACATAGTTACACAATTAAATGTTTTCTAGATGATTGATTTAAAGTGTATCATAAGATACGTAAGCAAATAAACTATATAGAAATTTAAAACTGTATTTTTTGATTCAATGTATTCAAACAAAAATGATAAACTGGATGGATATATTGTGCCAGATAGTGTCTGCCACTCAGGATTCAGTTAAAAGAAAAAAATCATCCCTTCTTCCCTGAAACTGGAGACTCTCCCTTCCCAAAAGAAAGAAAAATGTGAAGTGAAGACATGTTATAGATAATATGTAACATGTCTATATCTTGTTAAAATGAAAAATAATCTTTATGGAATATATACTTATAAAGCAAACAACAATATTACAACCTATTTTATGACTTCAAATGTTTGTATATGTTTCAACAATAAGTATTTTATATTATTTAAAATGATCATGTATTCAGTCTATTAAAAACACTTTTTTCTATTTTTCAAAAAATATATATTTATTTTGAAAATTGGAACACGTTAACCAAAATGAAAATGCAATTTTCATGTGACCCAAAGATCTCAGAAGTACAGAATAAGATTTTTTATTTTTTTTTTAATTGAGAACACGGGCTTGAGAGATTCAGGGAAAGAAACATAAATTAGAGAAGTCAATTTTGTTGGAAGCAGTGCCTTTGACAGATTCATGCCAAGATGAAAGAATAATTTTTGTTTTGAACAGTAGGTTGAAAGATTAACAATAAGAAATAGAAAAATCATTTTTATTGGGAGATGCAGGGCTAAGAGATTTGTGATTTAAGAATCTATTTTTTTCTTTTTTCATTCTTGGAATCTGATGGTCTAAGAGTATTTTTTTAAGATCCTTTTAATTGTCCATAGTTTTTTTCTAGAAACCTCAGCTAATGATTTTGTAAGAGCTAAAGTCAAGTTTGCTGATAGTTTTCCCTTGCATTAAGGTTATTTTAAATAAATCATAAGAAAGTTACTTTACAAATACGTCTTTACTTCTGTATTTTCATCTGTTTACGTCAGAGTAAAACATGCAAAGATTCTGAGAGACTTAAATCACCAAAAGGTCAGCATTTGTGCCTGTTTTATTAAATTCTATATTTATCAGTCTTTTGGTGCCCCATATGAGAAAAATAAATATATCTGCTGATAGCCATAAATATATATAAGTTCTTCCATGGATTTATGGGTGATAATTTCCTGCCAGTAAAAAAAAGTAAGACATATTTACCATTAACATGGTCTGTCATCAATTCTTTAAATTCTAGAGAGTTACTTTCTTCAACATGCAATTTAGAAACTATTTTAAAGCCCCTGTATAATTATAAAAATATTAAAATTTGAAGCAATTGCATCATATCAATTTAAAATTGAAAAGGGTTACATTGTAGTATTCAAATTTTCCTATTTACAGTGGTGGCCCACAAAGGACAACACCCAATTCAGGGAATATGTTCACAGTATACTCCAGTGACTCTTTAGACTCAGGTACAGCAGGACCCGCATCCTTGCTCTCCCAAGTTCTTCCTGTGGAAACTCCACCAGGTTCTTGAACCTCTTTAAATACCTTTCCTCATCTGTAAAATAAAAACACTACTAGTACATACTTCATTCACTTTTTATAAAGCTTAAATAAGGCATTGTTTCTAAAGTAATTAGCATGGTGTCTAACAGTGGGAAAAGTCAATAAGTGAGTAGAAATTACTTAGTAATTGTTGCCATTAGTGGTGTAGTAATGATAGGTAAATACAATGCTTTGGACGATAACCCAGATTTCTCCCTATATAGCTATTTCTTTTTATATGTCATTCAGCTGGATCTTTCAAAGAATATATTAAACATTGTTTCTTACATATATTCTGGAAATAAATTAAAAAAAACTAATGCAGAAAATTCCTCAATATCACAAGATTTTTACAGTCTGTTTTTATTTTTCCATCTACCATCTTTGGCAAATTTGCTTGTGTGGAACAGTATACTGGATTTGATTTTAAACAAATAATGATAATTAACAAAATAGTTGTAAATCATCTGTAATCTGACAGTTATTGTTACGCCTTGTATCTGCCTGCTGTGACCTTTTATTTCTAAATCTATAAAAATGTTCCTCATTATGAATGGCAAGATTGAGTTCTATTTGTCCAATGTTATTCCATGAAATTTATTTCTATAAGTTTTTGAGTCATTATAACAAGGATATGAGTTAGATAAGTACGATCCCTGTGCTAGTGTGCTAAGGATGCCATTACAAAGAACCACAGACTGAATGGCTTAAACAACAGAAATTAACATTGTCTCTGTTCTGTAGGCCAGGAGTCTAAGATCAAATTGACAGCAGAGCTTATTTCATTCTAAGGTCTCTTTCCTTGGTTTGTAGATAATGTTCTTCCTCTGGTATCTACAAATGGTCTATTTTTTGTGTGCCTGTGTCCTAATCTCCTCTTCTTATAATGATGTCAGTCATGCTGGATTAAGACCACATTTAACCTTAACTATTTTTTTAAATACCTGTCTCCAATTTCAGTCACATTCTGAGGTACTGCTGGAAATTAGAACTCCAACATATGATTTCTGTGGAAACACAACACACCCTGTAACAATCCCTATTGTTAACAGATGAGACCAGCAACGAACAAAGAAAATTTTCCCACAGGTACACGAGTAGCTATTATAATACTTGGGATTTTAGCTCAAGTAATCTAACAACAAAGGCTAAATTTGTAGTGGTAGTTAGACCAACTTTGCTAGAAATAAGTCAACAAATAATAGCCGTGTCTATGAAGCACCTGACTGTTTTTGCTATGGTAAAATCATAACTATTTCATTTTCCATCTGGCTGTCCAATGCTCTAGGCTTTCATATACTACATTAAAGAGTGGAGGTGACCTAAAATATTACAGAATATAAAGCAGAAAAAGAAAAACTTGATGACCAAAACATGTATGAAAATTTTTTGTCCATAAAAATGTTTCATGTAGAGTCAATCATATGGATAAAGTATGTGCAAATACAGATGTTAAAGATCTTTCCTTCATATATAAAAAGAGATCATAGAAAAATGACAGACAATAATAAACACTTAATAGATAAATGAAAAAAATTATACCAATAAGTAGATCATTTACTCATACAGTTCATTTAGACCTAATAAACTTTGATTAATGTGCCATCTCAAAAGTAAATATAATAATAATGAAGTAGAATTTTCCCATTAATTTAAAAAAAAACATTTGTTTAAGAGGAGCATCCAGTGTTAGTTGTCAAAGTCATACTCCGTTAATGTCTGAAGGATGTATAAAGCTCACAGGAAATTAAATTGATAATACACACAAAAAATCCTTAAAATGTTGTTGTTTTTTGAACTAGGAGTCTTCTGGGAATGTATCAAAATGAAATAGTATTAAATATATTATCAAAGATTTTACAAACATAATTATTTTAATGTTAGTTAAAATTAATTGGAAATAACCTCAGTGGAAGGAAAGAAAATTATTTGGTAAAATTTTTACATTCATATGATGTGAAATATCCTGTTATGTTTAAATGAGTTTGTTAAGAACAGGGTAATGTGAATATTGTAATGTAAAAAATGAAGGGAAAGACTGAAAGACTCAAAATGTAAACATTTTCTTTTCTGTGGAAAAATGTGAATGACTTTTAAATCCCTTTTTATACAAGTAGTATTTTGATACTTTAAAAAAATAAGTCAATATGAACAATCAAAATGAATTTAAAACTATACAATTAAAAGTCCTGTTTGAATTTTCTCATAGAGATTTTAAGAGTACAGTATATAATTTTATCTAATCCCAAATAGAGATATGGGTAAAAATAATTATAAATTTTGGGATATGATGAACTGGAAGAAGGAAAAATTTAAGTTTACATGAGAAATGTACTGATATTCCTGCATAAGGTCAGACCCATATATGAGCATAACCTAACCATTAACTAAAAGAGAGCATTTCAAGGATATTCTTATTCATTCATACATATTAATTGAAGACCTACTATGTAATAGACACTTTTGTTGGCACTGTGGATATCTAACAATCAGGATAGGAAAGAATCACTACTTTCAACATGAATTATTTGGCAGAGAGAGAGGCAAACACATAGGTATGTATATAATAAGTTAGATGGTAATGAGAACTAATAAAATGAAGTAGAAAAAAGAGAAATGCAAATCAAAACCACTATGAGATATCATCTCACACCAGTTAGAATGGCAATCATTAAAAAGTCAGGAAACAACAGGTGCTGGAGAGGATGTGGAGAAATAGGAACACTTTTACACTGTTGGTGGGACTGTAAACTAGTTCAACCATTGTGGAAGTCAGTGTGGCGATTCCTCAGGGATCTAGAACTAGAAATACCATTTGACCCAGCCATCCCTTTACTGGGTATATACCCAAAGGACTATAAATCATGCTGCTATAAAGACACATGCACACGTATGTTTATTGCGGCACTATTCACAATAGCAAAGACTTGGAACCAACCCAAATGTCCAACAATGATAGACTGGATTAAGAAAATGTGGCACATATACACCATGGAATACTATGCAGCCATAAAAAATGATGAGTTCATATCCTTTGTAGGGACACGGATGAAATTGGAAACCATCATTCTCAGTAAACTATCGCAAGAACAAAAAACCAAACACCGCATATTCTCACTCATAGGTGGGAATTGAACAATGAGATCACATGGACACAGGAAGGGGAATATCACACTCTGGGGACTGTGGTGGGGTCGGGGGAGGGGGGAGGGATAGCACTGGGAGATATACCTAATGCTAGATGACACATTTAGTGGGTGCAGCACACCAGCATGGCACATGTATACATATGTAACTAACCTGCACAATGTGCACATGTACCCTAAAACTTAGAGTATAATAAAAAAAATTTAAAAAAAAAAAAGAAAAGAAAAAAATTAGGTAGAAGTTTCTGGATCAGGGTGAAATTTTAAATTTAATTTTGAATAAGGGATTCAAAGAAGGCCTCCATGAAAAGACATTTGGGTCATGAGTGGAAGGTGATGAGAAGCAAATCTTATGGATTTCTGGGGGAGAGATATTCTAGAAAGAATGGCAAGTTTCAAAGGCCTTGGAAAGGAAAGTGTCTGACGTGTTCAAAAAATAAGGCTAGTATGGCTAAAATTTTCTGGACAAAAAAGAGATTAGAGGTAGAAAAACCCAGGGTCACTCAGAGATCTTAATAAATATTAACCAGTTCACCTGGCTAAAAATTCTTCTAAGCCAACTGGTAATATATACACCAGCTCCATAACAACTACTTACAAATGAACTAAGTCTTGAAGAGTAGTTTTTATTATTTATTTTGCATTACACCATTAGTTCCCATTATCTAAAAATACTTATGTTGAAATGCATTTTGTATGTTGCAGATGAATCTAAGTTTTTTCCAATTAGAACTACGAATGCCAATAATAAACAAATACACAGATAGCTTTCTAGAAATCTTTATTATTGAGTTTTCCCTCATATTTTAAAAGTTTATGTCACTTATATATTTTGGATTTGAGAAAGACGACATGAGATCACATGACATTATTCATCTGGGATATCTGCCATAAATTAATTTCTACAGCTATTTTTTTTCTTTCCAACTTTTTTTTTATACTTTAAGTTTTAGGGTACATGTGCACAATGTGCAAGTTAGTTACATATGTATACATGTGCCATGCTGGTGGGCTGCACCCACTAACTCATCATCTAGCATTAGGTATATCTCCCAATGCTATCCCTCACCCCTCCCCCCACCCCACAACAGTCCCCAGAGTGTGATGTTCCCCTTCCTGTGTCCATGTGTTCTCATTGTTCAATTCCCACCTATGAGTGAGAATATGCGGTGTTTGGTTTTTTTGTTCTTGCGATAGTTTACTGAGAATGATGATTTCCAATTTCATCCATGTCCCTACAAAGGACATGAACTCATCATTTTTTATGGCTATATAGTATTCCATGGTGTATATGTGCCACATTTTCTTAATCCAGTCTATCATTGTTGGACATTTGGGTTGGTTCCAAGTCTTTGCTATTGTGAATAATGCCGCAATAAAATTTATTTTAGGTTAGGTGTGTACATTTGTAGGTGTGTTACACGGGTAAATTGTGGACCAGGGGTTTGGTGTACAGATAATTTTGTCACCCAGGTAATTAGCATAGTACCCAATAGGTAGTTTTTCAATTATCACCCTTCTCCTACCCTCTGCCCTCAAGTAGACCCCAGAGTCTGTTGTTCCCGTTTTTGTGTCCACATGTATCCAATGTTTAACTCCCACTTATAAGTGAGAACATGCAGTATTTGGTTTTCTGTTCCCATGTTAATTCGCTTAGGATAGATAATGTGCGGTATTTGGTTTTCTGTTCCCATGTTAATTCGCTTAGGATAGATAATGCCCTCCAACTCCACTTGTGTTGCTGCAGAGGGCATGATTTCATTATTTTCATGGCTGTGTACTATTCCATTGTGTATATGCATCACATTTTCTTTATTCAGTCCACTGCTAATGGGCATCTAGGTTGATTTCATGTCTTTGCTATTGTAAATAGTGCCGCAATGAACATATGTGTGCATGTGTCTTTACTGTAGAATAATTTATATTCCTTTGCATATATACCCAGAAGTGGGATAGCTAGGTCGAATGGTAGTTCCATTTTAAGTTCTTTGAGAAATCTCCAAATTGCTTTCCACAATGTCTGAACTAATTTACATTCCAACTGACAATGTATAAGCGTTCCCCCTTCTCCACAACCTTACCAGCATGTGGTATTTCTGACTTTTTACTAATGGCCAATCTTGCCCGGTCAGTCCCACAGGCCCTAGCTGAGTGACGGATGAAAGGAGTACTCAGACACAGGTATGCAGTGTAAGAGCAGCTGGGGGCTTCTGGGCTCTAGTGGCCAAGGTGCAGCAGCAACCCCAAGAAGCTGAAGCTGCTTGCTTTTATTCAGAGCAGACAGAATGCCAAAAGCCTGGAGCAAACACAATCTGTGGGTAATTAACATTTATAGTTCCCCTTTCAGGGAACCTCATGTGCATGGATGATCAAAGATTGGGTTCCCAGTCAACATAAGTAAACAAGCCTGTTTAAGATAAATTCCCCTACACTTCCTTGTACCTACTCCTTGCCCTCTGCCTTAGGGTCAGAGAACAGCAGCCTTCAGCTATTCTCCCCTGGAGCTTTGCAAAGCCTTCCAGCCTTTTGGGAAGGCCTGCTCCTTTCCCTGTCATTTCTCCCACCACTCTGGCTGATTTCCTACACATTCTGACTGGTGTGAGATGGTTTATCACTGTGGTTTGATTTTCATCTTGCCATAGTTAGTGATGTTGAGCATTTTTCATATGCTTGTTGGTTGACTGTATGTCTTCTTTGGAGAAGTGTCTGTTCATGTCCTTTGCCCATTTTTTTAAATGGGTTTCTTTGTTTTTTGCTTCTTGATTTCATTAAATTCCTCATTGATTTTGGATACAGACTGTATTAGTCCATTTTCTTGCTGCTGATAAAGATATACCTGAGACTGAGCAATTTACAAAATAAAGAGGTTTATCGGACTTACAGTTCCATGTGACTGGAGAGGCCTCACAATCATGGTGGAAGGTAAAAGGCACATCTCAGTTGGTGGCAGGTAAGAGAAGAGGGCTTGTGCAGGAAAACTCCCCTTTTAAAACCATCAGATCTCAGCCAAGTGCGGTGGCTCATGCCTGTAATCCCAGCACTTTGGGACACTGAGGCAGGTGGATCATGAGGTCAGGAGATTGAGACCATCCTGGCTAAAATGGTGAAACACTGTCTCTACTAAAAATACAAAAAATTAGCTGGGCGTGGTGGTGGGTGCCTGTAGTCCCAGCTACTCAGGAGGCTGAGGCAGGAGAATGGCATGAACGCAGGAGATGGAGCTTGCAGTGAGCTGAGATCATGCCACTGCATTCCAGCCTGGGTTACAGAACAAGACTCCATCTCAAAAAAAATAATTAAATAGATACAATAAATATATAAATAAAACCATCAGATCTCATGAGACTTATTCACTATCACAAGAACAGCATGAGAAAGACCTGCTCCCATGATTCAATTACCTCCCACTGGGTCCCTCCTACATCGTATGGGAATTTAAGATGAGATTTTGGTGGGGACACAGCCAAACTGTATCATAGACCTTTGGTGGATGCATGCTTTGCAAATATTGTCTTCTATTTTGTAGGTTCTTGTTTTGCTCTGTTGATAGTTTCTTTCACTGTGCAGAAGCTCTTAAGTTTAATCAAGTTATACTTATCAATTTTTGTTTTTATTGCAATTGCTTATGGAATCTTCAACATGATATCTTTGCAAGGGCCTATGTCCAAAATGGTATTTCCTAGGTTTCTATCTAGGGATTTTATAGTTCTAGATCTTACATTTAAGTCTTTAATCCATCTTAAATTGACATTTGTACATGATGAAAGGGGTCCAGTTTCAGTCTTCTGCATATGACTAGCCAGTTTTCTCAGCACTGCTTATTGAATAGGGAGTCTTTTCCCCATTGCTTCTTGTTGTTGGTTTTGTCAAAGGTCAGATGGTTGTAGGTGTGTGGCTTTATTTCTTGGTTCTCTATCCTACTCCATTAATCTATGTGTCTGATTTTGTACCAGTACCGTGCTGTTTTAGTTACTGTAGCATTGTAGTATAGTTTGAAGTCAGGTAGTGTCATGCCTGTAACTTTGTTCTTTTCTTTTTGCTCAGGATTACCTTGGTTATTCAGGTTCTTTTACAGTTTTGCTGAATTTTTGAAAAGAATTTTCTAAATCTGTCTATGGACATACCACCCTGAACACACCTGATCTCATCTTAAAACTATTTCATCACTTATCCAAATATAATTACTGTGATCATTTTTTTACAAACTTATTTTCTTATATTATATCTCTTTTCATTGATTTCTTCTACTAACATGTTATTTAAATTCTACCTCATAACAACACTGTCATTTTTAAAAATATATGAGTGTGTGTATGTATATATGTTATATGTGTATATATATATTTAGAGTTTCTATGTGTGTGTGAGTGTGTGTATATATGGTGTAGATAAAATACACGCAATTTTTTTCCACATAGATGGTGTGAGAATGAGTACATGTAAAGAAAACTTTATCCAAAAACATCAATATTGAATCAAATTTTAATTTGCAAATTTTAATTCATATATAAAATATTTCCTAAATCTAAAAATGTTATGTTTTTCTATTTTTACATTAATATTTATTTCAAAATTAAATACATGGAAGAATTATGAATATTACTGATTAATGAATAATTTATACTAAAATAGCTTGTGTGTTTAAAGAAGGTGGGTTTTGAAAAGCAATTTCTTTGGATATTTAGAATCTTGATTCTCTTATTGGTAAAATGATGTTAATAACAATTGCTCTGCCTTACTCATAGGTTGCTGTGTGAGTCAATTCAGATATGATATGTAACAGTGGTTTGGATAAAGTAGATGACCCAAACCAAATATATGTGGTTGTTATTGGGTATGTTAATCTACCAAAATTTGATATCAGCTAGGAGTTTTGTCTAGTGCAAACAAACGATAGATGAAGAAGGAGGGTTGGAAATATTACAAGGCCTAATGGCTATTGAGCTCCAGTTTCAAGTAAAATGTCCTTTTTGGTTGTTATTTCATCATCTAATTAAAGACTCATTAAGGTACATGTGAAAAAGGTGAGTGTGGCAGCAAATGAGGATGAAAGGTTTTGTGGAAAAACTTAAATTTTCAAAGAGAGGAAAACAATCTATATAATCTATACAAAGAAAATGATATAGCTATTTATTGATAAGTAATTGAATAAAAAATAATTTTAATTAAAAATTTAAGATGTTAATTAAAAATAAAGTAAGTTAATAATAATAATAGGATAATGATTCAGCAATTTAAACTTAGGTATAAACAAAGGTATAGACTACAAAAGGAGAACTGTAAATGTCAATTACCAAATAACTCCAAAAGGCACCCATTTAGCAATGATAAACCAGGAAAGTTTTCTATGCCTACAAAGTAAAGTTTTAAGACTGATATTATTCTTGCCAACTATTTTGGCAACAGTTGATCTATCTTTATTTACATCGCTCTTCTCAATAAAATATCTTAAGTCAAATTGTTTATATTCTAATTAAATTCTTCCAATTTTACATTTTATAATTATTGTGTCAGTGAAGAAGTTTTATTGTTGCTCTTCTCTACTATAAATATTCAAGTGGTGGTTTTCCTCTTCTTTTTACCTTTTTAAAATTATTATTATACTTTAAGTTCTGGAGTATATGTGCAGAACATGCAGGTTTGTTACATAGTTATACACGTGACATGGTGGTCTATTGCACCCATCAACCCATCATCTACATGAGCTATTTCTCCTAATGCTATCCCTCCCCTAGTCCCCACTGCCTGACAGGCCCCAGTGTGTGATGTTCCCCTCCCTGTGTCCATGTGTTCTCACTGTTCAACTCCTATTTATGAGTGAGAACATGCGGTATTTGATTTTCTGTTCTTGTGTTGGTTTGATGAGAATGATGGTTTCCAGAGATATCCATGTCCTTGCAAAGGACATGAACTCATCCTTTTTTATGGCTGTATAGTATTCCATGGTGTATATGTGCCACATTTTCTTTATCCAGTCTATCATTGATGGGCATTTGGCTTGGTTCCAAGTCTTTGATATTGTGAATAGTGCCGCAATAAACGTATGTGTGCATGTGTCTTTATAGTAGAATGATTTGTAATCCTTTGGGTATATACTCAGTAATGGGATGGCTGGGTCAAATGGTATTTCTAGTTCTAGATGCTTGAGGAGTCGCCACACTGTCTTCTACAATGTTTGAACTAATTTACACTCCCACCAACAGTGTAAATCATTCCTATTTCTCCACATCCTTGCCAGCATCTGTTGTTTCCTGACTTTTCAATGATCACCATTCTACTGGAGTGAGATGGTATCTCATTGTGGTTTTGATTTCTCTAATGATCAGTGATGATAAGCTTTTTTTCATGTTTGTTGGCTGCATAAATGTCTTCTTTTGAGAAGTGTCTGTTCATATCCTTCACCCACTTTTTGATGGGGTTGTTTTCTTCTTGTAAATTTGTTTAAGTTCTTTGTCGATTCTGGATATTAGCCCTTTGTCTGTCAGATGAATAGATTGCAAGCATTTTGTTTCATTCTGTAGGCTGCCTGTTCACTCTGTTGATAGTTTCTTTTGCTGTGCAGAAGCTCTTTAGTTTAATCAGATCTCATTTGTCTATTTTGGCTTTTGTTGCCATTGCTTTTTGTGTTCTAGTCATGAAGTCTTTGCCCATGCCTATGTCCTGAATGGTATTGCCTAGGTATTTTCTGGGATTTTTATGGTTTTAGGTCTTACATTTAAGTCTTTAATCCATCTAGAGTTAATTTTTGTATAAAGTGTAAGGAAGGGATCCAGTTTCAGCTCTCTGCGTATGACTAGCCAGTTTTCCCAACACCATTTATTAAATAGGGAATCATTTCTCCATTGCTGGTTTTGTCAGGTTTGTCAAAGATCAGATGGTTGTAGATATGTGGTGTTATTTCTGAGGCCTCTGTTGTGTTCCATTGGTCTATATATCTGTTTTGGTACCCGTACCATGCTGTTTTTGTTACTGTAGCCTTGTAGTATAGTTTGAAGTCAGGTAGAGTGATGCCCCAGCTTTGTTCTTTTTGCTTAGGATTGTCTTGGCTATGTGGGCTATTTTTTGGTTCCATAAATAATTTAAAGTAGTTTTTTTTTCAATTTTGTGAAGAAAGTCAACGGTAGCTTGATGAGGATAGCATTGAATCTAAAAATTACTTTGGGCAGTATGGCCATTTTTATGATACTGACTCTTCCTTTTCATGATCATGGAATACTTTTCCATTTGTTTGTATCCTCTCTTATTTCCTCGAGCAGTGGTTTGTAGTTCTCCTTGAAGAGGTCCTTCACATCCCTTCTAAGTTGTATTGCGAGGTACTTTATTCTCTTTGTAGCAATTGTGAATGGGAATTCACTCATGATTTGGCTCTTTGTCTGTTATAGGTGCATAGGAATGGTTGTGATTTTTGCACATTGATTTTTTATGCTGAGACTTTGCTGAAGTTGCTTATCAGCTTAAGGAGATCGTAGGCTGAGATGATGGGGTTTTCTAAATATACAATCATGTCATCTGCAAACAAAGACAATTTGACTTCCTCTTTTCCTAATTGAATACCATTTACTTTTTTCTCATGCCTGATTGCTCTGACCAGAACTTGTAATACTATGTTGAATAGGAGTGGTGAGAGAGGGCATCCTTGTCTTGTGCCTGTTTTCCGAGGGAATGCTTCCAGTTTTTCCCCATTAAGTATGATATTGGCTGTGGGTTTGTCTTTTTACCTTTCTAAATAATGTTACTCATCTTTGTTGGTCTCTATTAAGTTCTAACTTTTCTATTTTTTTTGCACTGAACCCTGTATCTCATATCAATCTGCACACTAATCTGAAGTTTTGTAACATTTACTGTCCATTCAGTCATTTGGCATATCATCTACCTCTCACGTTGAATGATAACAAATGTTTGATTTTTTTTTCTTTTAGTTATAAATACTTCTCTTCCAGCTGATTTTTAAAGGACCTAAACCTTAATCTGAATTAGGTTAAGGTGGACCTTAACTTAATTAGTCTGATTTTTAATTTAGAGCATTAAGTTCATAGATTGAGCTAGAAAACTTGCTCATTTACATTCTTGTTAGAGAATATTCACTCATGAATTTAACTTATTTTAAAAAACAAATAATTATACATTTTAGTTATTGTTTACAGTTTTGGAGATGCAACAGAAAACAGGTCTGAAAAAGTATATATGCCCTCATCAAAACTATATTTTTATGAAAATAAAGCCAATACATCTATGATAAATAAATACATGTAAAGATGATGTATGGTAATTTATGTGATTAAAAAAAGAAAAATTTTTAAAAAGTTCTATCAGCTGATAGGGCAGGCATTTTTCTTTGGATAGAGTTGGCAAGGAAAAGAGTGGGACTACTTACCCCCAAAGCTCCATAAGGAGGGGCTCCCTAAGGTCATCATTCTTGAAATTAAGCTTGTCTGTAAGAAAAATTTGAGACCACATCTCAGGCAAGAGGATTTGATTAGCTTGAATCATCAGCTCCACTCTGAAATCACCATTCAAATCATGGGGAGAAGATGGAGTCCCAAGACTCTTGGAATTTTTTGCTGTATAAGAATAGAGTATCATTGTTTCTTCTCTGTTGTCTTCTGATGTCGGAAGTTTGCAGAGTCATCCTGTGCCACCAGGATAAATACCAATTGTGGTGTTGCCAGGCTGAAAATAAATAGAGGAGGGCAATTATTTATGTTTGTCAATGGTTCAGAACCATATGAATGAACATAAGAAATAGAGAAGAAAGAAACAGCTTAGGACTGCTTGATATGGTTGGCTCTGCCTCCACCCAAGCTATCATCTTGAATTATAATTCCCATAATCCCCATGTGTCAACGGGTGGACCAGGTGGAGGTAATCGGATCATGAGGGCAGTTTCCCCTATGCTTTTCTTGTGATAGTGAGTGAGTCTTAGGAGATCTGATGGCTTTAAAAGCATCTGGTGTTTCCCCTGCCTGCAGTCACTCCATCTTGCCACTCTGTGAAGAAGGTGCCTCCTTCTCTGTTACCTTCCACCATAAATGTAAGTTTCCTGAGGCCTCTCAAGCCATGAGGAACTGTGAGTCAATTAAAACTTTCTTTTATAAATTACCCAGCCTCAGATATTTCTTAATAACAGTGATTGATCCAGACTAATACACTGCTCAAGGGTCCACTCAGTTGACTAACAGATTGCTTTATCTTAAAAGGATATTTAAGAGCTTAATATTTTGGGAAGTTGAAAAATATAGGGCTACATAACTCTACATACTCACTCAGTGAAAAGAGTGAGCTGAAGTGACAATATCTACTGTTTCCAAAGGAACTAGATACCCCATCAACACATTGTCTTTGGGCAAACCTATCAATAAAAACCAGCAGAAGAGATGAAAACAGGGTGATCCAGAGACTAACCAAACATATTGCAAACACTGACAGGTAACACATTTGACTACTTAAGACACAAAACAAATACAGTAAGATATTCAGGTGTTTGGGGTTTTTAGAGAATGCCTGCCTACAGTTAAACCCATTGGCAGGACATGATTCTTAATGGGTTTAGAGCCATGTCAGACAACATTAAATTCTAATCCATCCCCCAAAGTACTTCTGATGTTGCATACATGTCTTCCCAAAATCATTTACTGAGGAAACATTGAAGAGTCTGAAAGAGTATTAGTGGATTACTGCAACTCATTACAGTTATTAGGAAAACAACTCACATGTTTGAGAGTGGCTCAGCAGATAACCCCAAAATGTTAAAAATCATTCCTAGAAAAGTACACGTCTTAAGTGAATTAGGAATTCTCTAAACAAGTAATCTCTAGGATTACTTGTTTAAACATATAATTCAATTTGTATTTTGAATTCATCTTCATATGTCCCAACTGCCTTTTACATTAGTAGAAAATATTTTCACTTGTTTGATGTACAAAGAGGCAATTCATTTCTATTTTATTTATTTATTTATTTTTATTTTTTGATCCACATTTCAGTTAGAAAAGAAAAAAAGTTCTATTGACTTTTATGTCCATCTTGTATTTAAGGAGACTTGTTGAGATGTAAATTAATGTATAATGTAAAAAATATAATGAAATCCCTTTTGCTTTTCAAACATGTTTATTATTATTCTAAAACGAAAATATCTGAATTTCCCTATTGGAAAAAAGAAGTCATCTTTGTTAAAATCTTACTTTACAGTAATTAGAAAGTTACACATTGTTAAAGAAAAGACCTGAGGCAAGTTAAATTTAGCAGAGTTTAAGCAGAAGAAAAGATTCATGAAGCAGGTTGCACTCAGGACCAAAAGCAGTTCAGAGAGTTCTGTCCTCCAATATGTGCAGGCAATATTTAGAGTCAGAGAAGTGAAAACGATGTACAGAAATAGCCTGATTGGATGCAGTATGACATTTGCTTAATTTGAACATATTTTGACAGCTTTCAGTCTATGATTGGCTGAAGTTTCAGCTGTTCTGATTGGCTGAGATTTGGCTACAGTAAGGTGCCAGTTAACAACCTCCATAGCTTATTGGGAACTGTGCCTTATAGCAGAAGCACACATAGGAGGTCCTCGAATAAGGTTGTCCCATTCAATTTTGTTTTTTATAAATGTAATAGGAAAATAAAAACTGGTTTTATGTCATTTCACCTAAAATCAGTTTCCAAGAACCTGTAAACTACATTAAATGAGGACTTAATATACTTGTAAAAAGAATATACTCGCAGATTAGGTCGCAGTTTGTTTACACATTAAGTTACATTACAGTTTCCTGGATACAGAGGCAGATTTAGGCTAAACTTATTTCAATTTAACAACATGTATGGATACACTCACAACTACATGGTTAATACATCTCGGTAAGCTACATACAAATTATTAGACTCTACTATACATATATGATTATTAATATGGTAAGATGAGTATCCAACCTAGAGCTTTTGTCAAGGCAAGACAGCTAATTCCTGAAAGTACAGACTGTGGAATCCTTTCACCTGTCGCTATTGCTTGATTAGTTTCTAACAAATCGGTGATTTTTACATTGCTGCACAGTATTTTGTGACTAAAAGAGTCATCATATTAAACAATTAATATGATGCTTTAATATGATGCTTCCACCTCAGTGGAAGAACTAAGCAGTAATAATGAGCAATTAGAAAATTCATATTGGTATTGCATCAACCTAAAGCATTTTGAAGGAAATGTAGTGATTTAATTTAGGCTCCAGAGAATAGAAAATTACAATCTGCCAAACTTAGGTATGTTTATCTTTCAACATCTAAATTATTATCATGTGCTCTTTTCTCAATGTGGTAATGTTAGGTCTCTAACATACGTGCCATAGAGAAAAGAAGTTAAGATTGTACTATTTGGGAAGGAGGCAGGTATTCCAAAGTAAACTAAAACTTTCTTCTATAAGGAAACAGTTATACCAGAGCTACTGAAGTGTAAGGAGGAGTGGGAACGTTTTTCTTTAATAAATGTGAGTGCACCTAGTGGGAGACAATCAGCAAACAAATTTTGGGAATCCTAACTGATGTGCCCTCCCTTTCAGGCTATTTCTCCCACAATATCATCACTTATCAAATAGAAGCAATGACCAAGGAGATCTCAGAGAGATGTTGTATGTACTCATAAATAAAAATAGAGTCACCCCAAATGTGATAAGACAAAACAAGTAAGTCTGAAGTATATCTCAGAATAATGAAAGAAGTACAGATGTTCCTGGATTTATTTCTGAGGTCACATACAATAAACCCATCATAAGTTCAAAATACTGAAAGTCAAAAGTGCATTTAATACACCCAACTTAGGGAACATCATAGCTTAATTTAGCCTAACTTTAATGTGCTGAAATAATTACATAGCCTACAGTTGGTCAAAGTCACTTAAAACAAAGCCCATTTTTTAATATAGTATTGAATATCTCACATAATTTATGAAAATGAAACACATAATGTTTGTATCGGTACTTGAAGTATGGTTTCTACTAAATATGTATTACTTATGTACCATGTTAAAGAAAATTTTGTAAGCTGAATCATTAAAATTTGGGGACCACGTGATCAAGAGTGAGTAGCTAAGTGAGTTTGCTCAAAAAACAAAAATAAAATTTTTGAGGAGACTGTAAAGTATAACAGATAAGGCAAATGAGGTAAGAATGACATTTGCCAAGTCTTAAATAAAAACTGAGCATTGTAACTAAAAATTCATTATTTTTTTATGATGAAATCTTAGACCATTGATTTAGAACTTCTTTGCTACTGTATTTAAAAATATAAGTTTACTTCCAGACATTACTTCAGCTGAATCACACAAATTTTAATACAGTGTCTTAAAAGTGAACATTGTAACTAAAAATCCAATGGGATTACAGGGCCAATCCCTTGCAGAGCAATGATGCAGTAAGAAAGGGCTAGAATAGTTTCTTCCTTGACTGTACCCTCAAAAACTTCAGCATATTTTGAAGAACAGCCGTGTCATAAATGTTGATAGAGAATATTTATCCATTTAGTTTATTTCCATGTAACTCGGTTTACATTTCTCAAATGTCTTGTAGGGAGCACTGTAATCAGCCATAAAGTTGGAAAAACAAAATAATATATTTCCACATTCCAAAAGTAATTATAATATAACAAAGAGGTGGAAAGGTCAATCAAATATTTCAGCATAATTTGCCAGGCTCACAGTTAAAGTATTTGTGGAAGCAATAAAAATATATCAGAGACCATCTAAATCAAATTTTCAGTTGGTGTTAAAGAATATACCAAGAGATGAGACTTGCATTGAATTATAAATGAAAAATGGGTACAAGCAAGATAAATAGATTGATTGAGAGTCTGTGAGAGAAAGAGAGATTAAGATGGACTGCATTTATGACAAAAGGTGTACTAGTCTAAAGTAACTTCTACAAAAGCAGCCTCACACATGTAGACACTCCTCAATGATTTTGGAAAATGAAATGAGCCATGGAGATAAGGCAAAATCTCAATAATAAACAGCTGTGGTATGCGAATTTATCAGAACCATCATTCCAATTTTGACTTAAAAATTGTGACTCATATATATATATGAGAATATGTCACAGAAAATAAAACACATGGGCACATGTAATTTTTAAAATTTCAATGTAATGTGCTATATTTAATAAAATAAAAACTAAATGTATAGCAATATCTATTAAGATATGATGTATATCAGGAAAAAATGCTTGGATCCAATATATAAGAAGACATATAAGGTAGTTACATGCTTGTGTCTACTTAAAGTGAGTAGTATTTACTCAAGAAATAAAAATATTAGAAGACATTTTGAAAATTAATATTTTGTGTAGGAAGGTTTTTGGAAGACAATTCAATTTCTTTAATTCGTATAGAGCTATTCTTATTCTATATTTCTTCTAGAATCAATTTTGGTAACCCTTCTTTCAAAGAATTTACACATGTATCTAATTTTTGAATTTGTTTGCATAAACTTCTTATAGTATTATTCATTATCATTTTAATTTCTGTAGTCCCTGTAGTGAAGTACCTTTATTATTGTTATTGATGACACATGTCTTTTATATCTCTATTGGTTTAGAAAAAGTATTAATTCTTTGTCTTTAAGGACTCATTAACCATTGGTTTTATTTTTTAAATTACATTAAATAAAATTAACTTTACCTTTTTATTATGTGTTTATTCTTACATTCGCCTCCAATTTTGTCTTTGTTCCACAACACTGTGGGTTGGTTATTCTTTTTCTTGTTTTTAAGATGGAAACTTAGACCATTGATTTAGAACTTCTTTGCTACTCTAAGCATTTAAAAATACAAGTTTACTTCCAGACATTACACAAGGTGAATCACTCAAATTTTGATATATTGTGTATTTATTAACATTTTTAATTTCATTCAATTAAGGATA
Organism: Homo sapiens; assembly: GCF_000001405.40. NCBI lineage: Eukaryota > Metazoa > Chordata > Mammalia > Primates > Hominidae > Homo > Homo sapiens. Next base: position 29,517,922 of record NC_000004.12, on the reverse strand, counting down.
TTTCCTATTTTCAGTTATAAAATCTTTTTAACCTGAGAATTACTCATAGTTGTATTTGTTTTCTAAGAGTTAGAAAATTTTCCAAATATCTTAATGTTAGTAATTTCTGATAATGCTGCTGTGGTCAAAGAACATATTCTGTATGATTTCAGTTCTTTTAAACTTAAAAATATGTGTTTTAATGGCAAAAATATGATTAATATTCATAAGTGGGTTCAGGTTGACTTAAAAAAATGCATTGTGTTGTTTAATTAAAGTGTTCCTTAAAGGCCAATGAGGTTGAGTTGACTGATACAGGCAACCAAATTAGTTCACATTTTCTACAGCCACCTAGATCTCTGTAATTGTCCCACCAAAGGCTAATATGGTTTCTGAGGAGAAATCTGGAATAATTTTTATCTTTTGTTATTCTTTACAAAATGTATCATTGTTGTCTGCTTTTACTATTTTCTCTTTTTCTGTTTTCAGTGATTTAATTGTGACATTTTGTATCGTGGATTTTGTTGTTTTATTGACAGTTTGGAATTGTTGACTGTCTTGAACTTCAAATTTATTGTTTTCATAAAATTGAAAATTTTGGCCATTAGGTTTTCAAATGTGTTTTTATTATCCCGGACTCCTCTAAGCATCTGGTTGCATGTAGCAGAACTACTTGTGATGTTTGGCTCTCTGAAACTCATTTCTTATTTGCTTCTTTTCCCGTGATTCCATTTGGACAGTTTCTATTTCTGTCCTCAAATTCAATGATTTTGCTTTATTTCTACAGTATCTAGTCTTCTTTGATCTTATCTAGCAAATTTTGTACGTTAGACAATGTATTTTGCATTTCAATAAGTTGTATTTGTTTGTTGTATGTATCCTTCATTTCATACTCATTATGCCTATGCTTTTAAAAAATATTTGAGCATGCTTATAAAAGCTACTTTAATGTTCTTGTTTGTAAATTCTTCATCTTTGACATTTCTGGATCTTACAACAATTTTTTTCTAGTTATAGATCTCATTTTTTTATTTGTTGGCATGTCTGTTGGCTTGATTAAAGGACATTTTGCTTTCTTTTATTATTTATGCCATGTGTTGTATGTTGTTGCCATTTTAAAGAGTGCTGAACTTTGTCCTTACTGGTAATTTTTCTTAGGGTCACCTTGAACCATTTGAGGCAAGTGCTTAAGGTTTGCTAGAACATGTTTATACTGGCTTTTAATCTAGGGCTTTTAATATAGTAGCTTCTATTCTAGGGCTACTTTATTTTTACTATTAAAACATTACCTTCTTGAATCTCTTTTGAATCCCCCAGTTATTCGCTGAGAACTCCCTAGTCCAGCTGGTTAGAATTTGAAAATATTAGAGTCCTTTAAAAGCTTTGGAAACACTAAGAGCTTCTGAGTCATTCTCTGCCTGGACTCACAGATTTGCATGCTACTCATACATATCTTAATACCCAGGAACAGAATAATATGAAATTCTGTGCAGTTTTCTACAGTTCTTTCTTTGTTTAGTTCCCTCTATTTATGTACTCTGCTTCACAAATTCCAAATATCTCTGAGTTATCAAACTCTAACCTCTGCCTCCCTAACTAAGCAACATCTCTTTGCTCTCAATGGGTTTCTCACTCCTTACCAGGGTCTAAAGCGTCTCCAGGCTCAAAGTCAGGTGACCACAGGGCTCACCTCATCTGTTTTTCTTTTTTTAGGGTTCATCTTCTGGCACTCTCTGTTGTCTGACGTCTGGAAGCATTTGTTTCATGTATTTGTTGATTTTCAAGTTCTTTCCAGTAGAAGTAAAAAGGTAATTTTCACATTAATTAAATTACCCCATTATGTATGGAAAGCAGAAATTCTCTTATAAAAACATATTCAGTCAATAATGTTATTTTGCTTAAACCTACAAATGTATACTATTTTTAGGCAGCAATATTTTGAAAATAACTACTTTGTAGTTCCAACAGTATTAATCAATAAATCAAGCAAGAAAGAAGCATTTCAAAAATATTAGGTACTAATTGATTTAATACCATATTTCACGATCAAGAGTGTCCCCATTTAAGTGATATATTATATGGTTATCCTATTTTTAAGTCTGTTAAAAGTTGTTTCAAATCTCCACTGTTGCATACTTGCATGTGAAAATTACCAATGTGGATTGTGTTAAACTGACAACTCAAATGTCACAAAGTCTCTGTCATATGTGTTTTATGGATTGCTTCAATGGTTAATAACTTTAGATAATGTCATAGAAGTGAAATACAGTATCTTTTTGATTATATGGTCATAGGAAAATAAAGAGTACATAAAAACTTTAAAATACTGGATTTTTATATTTTAAAAACTCAGATTCTAGGCTCTGTTTTTATAAATGGTTTTGTTGTTTCTGTTTTGTTCTGTTCTGTTTGATTTACCTGATAATCTAGATGGATGTTCAAGAATGGTAGGATACTGGGCAATTTTTACTTGGTGGTATTCTTCTTTATAAAAGAGAAACCTTAAACAGTTGTGGTTCCACCTAGTAAGTGTATAAAATTTCCCAAATATTAGGGAAAAAACATAAAACAGCCTTTGAAAGTAATACGATTCCCTTTGAAAACTACCCATAATATTGTGTGGGTTTTGTCTTACCCTCAGTGAGATGGAGACTTACTAAGGGTAGTAATGTAAGGAAGTGAAAATGTGACATAAGCATGTTAGTATTTTACTGGCTGTGTGTTGGATTAGAAATGAAGGTTTGTCAGAATAATGGTGGCAGGGAGAGAAGCAGACCAATTAGGGCATTATTTCAGAAATTTAAATATGAAGTTATGAATATAGATGTAACATGTTTAAATATATCAGCAGGGAGCAGAAGGAAAAACAACAGAGAAATAAGCATGTTTTCTAGGCTAAGATTCCAAACTGCCCAAGGAGAAAAGTGATGGTAATAGATAGAAGAAATTGGAAAAATAAGAGAAGAAAGGCAAGAAGGAAAAAACAGACTGAATTTTTACTAGATATTAGAGGAAACTACCTACATTCATTTAAAAAACAGGACGACAAATGCCATATTTTTGAAATAGAAAAGAAATAATCTTCAGGAATTATAGTACATTCTAAGAAAGCAATGTTGTAGAAGGATTTAGATAAATGTAGAAAAGTAATTTGTAAATTTAAATAGTGGTAACAGTTGGAATGTGGTTAAAAAGGACTATTGCTGTTTTTGTGATTATTAATAGCTGATGTGCTTCCTACTTTCTTGTCAGTGATACTGAGAAAAGTAGATGGAATAATTCAAAATTAATTAACAGACTTCTCAGTTCCAAACCAAATGTTCATGTTTTTAGAAATAAAGGTATTGTAAAAACCTTGGGCTTCATGTCAAATGTTATTATGTAATACGTATTGAATCACACATAATTTGAGAGCTTAATCCATTTTTTAACTTATTATATATTCCAAGTTGCTGAATCAAGTGTAACATTGTACTGAGATTCAGAAATTTCATGGGATGAACAAGATGTGGCAACAAAAGATGAAGACATGAACCTCTATCTAATAAAGATAAATTATTTTGGAGAATATTGCGTGACGAGTAATGGAAACTAGATTTCAAATATTTACTGACAAAGTGATCAATTATTGTTAAGAATCTGAAATTGTTTTTTTTGATATGTACTGAAATGTTTTATTCAAATGCTATTTTCTATTACTTACAAATAGAATCAAAATTCTAAGAGGAGAAACTATTATCCACCACTGTTTACACCAGCAAGTTATCCGGAAACCTACTCGGAACTCTGTGGGGTTGTTGTCCCTAACCGTGAGCTTCCTACTCATGCATCATAGTTAGGTTTGATGATTGTGGGGCTTGCACTATGTTCTTGAGGATCCTTATAAAAAAGACTCAACCTTTCAGGGCACATCAAATAAAGGCATTCAAACACAATGCCTGAAACTTCAACTCCATTCCCAGAAATAGGTCCCCTTGAAGATCTAGAAAAAGAGGACTATAAGGAGGAAAAGTAGAAAGTCTAGGAGGAGGAGGAAGAAAACTTAAAGAGCAGAAGGATAAGAAGGAAGGGTTCAGGTCTTGAAATAAGTAACATGGACAAAGAAGCTGAAACTGCTGAAAATTTATCTGTTAGGATACCCTATCAATATATTTTCTGTTGTGTATCTCTTAAATAGATTCACATCAACATCTGAAAAATATATATTAAAATAATACCAACATTATAAAAGACAACAATAACAGCTAACATTTGTATAGCATGTTCTACGTGCTAGGCAGTGTTTAATAATTTTGACAAATATTAACACATTGAATCCTCACTTAAAACGATTAAGTATTTTCTTTATTTATACATGAATAAATTAGGGTATGGAGAGGGTGCCTTCATGGGTAACCACTGATTATCAATGAATATCTTTTGAACTATCAAGCAGTGCTTTTTCAGGTACTTTTAAAGGTTTTATTAAAAAAAAAATCACACAAGCTCATTTCAAGAGTTTAATTTCTATAGTATTATAGTACTTAAGTATCCACATTAAATTTGAAATCATTAGATTTGAATCAAATTCATTTTCAATTTCACACCAGGCGTTTAGCAATAATCTATTAATTTCATTGTGTTCTTTTGTAAAATGGAAATAATATCTATCTCATATGTTTTCTGAGGATCAATTTTGATATATTTAGTAAGGATAATTGTTCATCCCTTCCCAAATTAAGAAGTTAATACATACAAATTTTCAAAATAGCCAAACGTTGCATTCCATTCCATTGCTTCTCTTTGGTATCATAACATGTAGAGAAATATTTTTTAGAAGGTCAAGTAAATGTTTTAGTAAGATGAATAGTGATGTGTGTGTATTATACGGGGGGGCCATATTCATCAGAGCAACCAAAAAATGTGATGCTTTTAAATATAATAGAAATATTTCAAATTATTTATTAGCTTTGTGATTTTAATAAAGTATGAGTTTATATTCTAATTTTAATGATATCTCTCATCAATTATATATCTCTATTCTCTATTTTATGACATAAATATGGCTTTGTCTTTTCTTGTGTTTATTCTAAGAACTCCTCTCAACTAGATTATCAATATTTGTGGGGAAAGAATTATGTTTGATTTGCTTTGTAACCCCTTTTTTTTGTAAACTTTTGTAAACAAAAGTTTAAGGGAATATTTATCCGGAGAAAAGGTAACTATTTGGAAATGTTTGTATTATTGTTTCTTTAAAAAGCCTAGACAAACATGATCTGGGTCATGTTTATTCTGCAATCAAGAAGGAAATAAGCACATGAACCAGACAAGCATCAAGGCTATTTTTATTATCTAAATATATTTATAAACAAATTAGAAATAATAAATTTACATTACTTTTACTATTAAATGGACTTTAATAGTAAAAAGTGACCCACTTCATGCCTTGAACAATGAGAACTCAAGATAAAAATGTGTAATATTGTTATAACAATAAAAATAATTTTCATCTCCCTCTGAACCAACATTCAAACTATTGCTAGATTTACTAGTGCCTTCTAAATTACAAATGTAATCATGTTTTCTTTTAGTGTAGAATATGTAAAGTGTTTGAAACTGGATACATTTTACTTTTCCATAGCTGGCCCTGACTTATCCCTCTGGCCCACATACCTTTTGCCTGTCCTCTTCCGTCTGCTGCCATGGCCTTACCAATGCTATGTTATCATAGCAAATACATACCCTTCCTTCATAACCCAAATTAATTGCCACACCTCTAAAATTCTTCTTATATCCTGAAGCCAAGGTCATCTTTCCCTTCCATGTGTTCCCTCATAATATGTGTAGTTATATTATGAGGTAATTGTTCCTTTTTATTCTTCTTACTTGGGTTCTTGAGAGGAGGTTATGTCATTAGTCCATACTCTCATCATATGGAACTGTGCCTGGTATGTAGTAGATTTATTTAAATGCATGTTGAAAAAGAAAAATAATAAATGGAGTAGCCACAGTGCTTCACAATGACTAACAAGCTCACTAGAGGTAACCAATAAAATAACTCTCTTTAACTACTCAAATTTTTAATAACCCACAATCTACACAACCCTTTTGCAGCAAATCATTAATATAATTAGAGGCAGATTGCTTAGTGAAGATTAATATTAAAAGAAAAAAATATATAAATATATATAAATAGAGGACATATTTAATAGAAGAATTGGACGTATAAATAAAAAATGCAAGAATTCTTGTCCTTAGAAAAGACCCTGTAGTAGATTTACTGAAGGTGGAAAAATATGAAATAATTAGAAGAATTTAAAATATGATAAAAATCAATGTATTCATCATTGAAACAAATCTGTGTTTGAACCACATGACACTTTTATGTGACGAGATATTTAAAGTAGCAAATGCTGACTCTTCATACTAATCGATGATAAAAGAAAAATTATTTCCTCCAAATTCTATTTTTTTCCTTATGAAAATAATTTGGGTACATTAAGCATATGATTGAGATTATGGATTTAAATTTTTCAATATGTGTGACAGGGAAAATGTGTAGATAAAAAAGACCCTATAAAACTGACAGGGAAAATATGTAGATAAAAAAGACCCTATAACATTGACATAGAAATTGTATCATAAGGAAAATTTGAAGAAGTACATGCTGAGCATCATTTTAGAGGAAAGTAACTTAAATAGTTTATAGAAACAGTGGTATATTTTAATTTGATTTTTAAAAATGTATAGGTAATAAATCTTACCCTCTTTGATGAGAAGTTTTATGAGTTTAGACACATGGATGCAATCATGTAAAGAGCATCATAATGAAGATTAAGAACAGTAATATCAATCTCCCAGTTCTCTGGGGATGCCCTTTTGTAATCACCATCAACTTCTGAAAATCACTGATCGGATGTGTTGTTGTTGCTTTTTGTTTTTTTTTTTTTTTTTTTTTTGCTTAAAATATGGAACACCGGCCGGGCGCAGTGCTTGTAATCTCAGAATTACTTTGGGACGCCGAGGCGTGTGGATCACCTGAGGTCAGGAGTTTGAGACCAGCCTGATCAACATGGTAAAACCCTGTCTCTACTCAAAATACAAAAATTAGCTGGGCATGGTGGTGGGCGCCTCGGGAGACTGAGGCAGCAGAATCTCTTGAGCCTGGGAGGCGGAGGTTGCAGTGGGCCGAGATTGAGCAAGACTGTCTCAAAACAAAAAGCAAACAAAAAAATGGAATGCTTCATGAGTTTACATGTTGTTCTTCAGCAGAGGCCATGCTAATCTCCGTGTTATTCTAATTTCAGTATATGAGCTGCCAAAGCAACACTGACCAGCTTTTAAACCTGTATTTTTTCCTTTTCAAAAATGTCCTATAAGTAGATTTATAAAATATTTAGTCTTTTAGGATTACCATCCTTCACTTAGAGGGATACATTTAAGATTACATTTGTGGTGTTTTATCTATTAATTATTCCATCAAAAATGTGTACCACAGTTTATCTACTCATTCTACAATAGCCATTTTATTTTAATGGATTGGTCAAATCTTACCACCACAAATAATGTTGTGGTAAAAAATCATATTAAGATAATTTCCAGGTATTTCTTTTCAGCTCTTAATATAAAGTTATATCTAAGATTTAGATAATACTTACAATATTTAAGACATACAACTTTTAAAATTGATTTTATTTTATATTTCTAAATTATTTAAATATTTGATAAAGTCTAACAATTATTTAATTAGTTTAAAAATCATTTCAGTTCATTAAAATAATGTGAAAATAATATAAAGAAATGTAGATAGATGATAGATTAGATTAGATAGATCTATTTTTCTTCTAAAGACAGGAATATGTATATTTCCAACATTCTGACCTATTAAATTCATACATTTTCTAATCAAACTCTGTTTAATTTTTTTTCTTTAGAATACATCTCAACCAGTTTTGTTAAAGGCACAAGACACAATGATGTTGAAGATGTATTGGTATTATACATGTATTAGTGTAACATTTTAACCTGCATTATTAAACCAGCTAGAAGTCTTCAGGACGTAAATCCATTCAATCTAATGCACACTAGTTAACAGAATTTCTATCACACCATTATTGGGGAACATTTAAAAATGACTGGTAGCCAATGATACATGCAATGAAGTTGTTTTAAAATTAATATATTCATATGTCATATTAGATTAGGCAAGTTATACAATCATGTAGTACAGCCGCCTGCCTGGAAATTGAGTTTCCTTAGAGAAATGCATATGGATAAAAATTTAGACACTTAAACCTTGCTTGCCAAATTATATTCTCCACAATAAGTATTTTATACAGATGTTTCATTGTCATATTCACATTTTTATTTCTATTTTCATTACAAAATAAAACATAAACATTATAAAATGATTTTCACTTACAGTACTTCAAATAAAGTAAAACATAACCAGTTAAACAGCTTGTTAGATCAACATTATTTAACATTCACGCAAGATAAGTGTGACATATAATATCATATATAATATAATTATATTAAAAAATAAGTGTGTCAAATTTTATTGAAATTAAATCCTGGATCATTACAGATGCTTCCTAATATTAATAATAGTACATATGAGGAAGAAGAATCAAGTAATACCACACATTAATATTAGCAAATAACTATTTAGTGCAAAGTACCTGCAAACAGAAATGGAGCAAATTGATGCACTACATTTCTAACTACATTATTCCAAGTGTGATTTAACCAAAGGAAAAGAGATCAGAATTGGAAAGTGCCCACTAAAATACTAACAGGGGCAATGACTCATAATATAAAAACAGTTTCTAAATTCATGGCAGACAGAATATACATATACTATATGGAGAGACAAAGCTGTTATATATAATGTATTATATATAATGTATATTATATGGAGGGAAAAAGCTGTTTTATATATAATATCTATCATATATACTATATATTACTATATGTATATTATATATATATATTAAGCAAGACTCTGTCTCAATTAAAAATATATACTCTCTCTATATATATTTTTAAAATTGAGACGGAGTCTCGCTCTGTCACCCAGGCTGGAATGCAGTGGCTCAATCGTGGCTCACTGCAACCTCTGCCGCCCGGGTTCAAGAGATTCTCATGCATCAGCTTCTCAAGCAGCTGGGACTACAGGCACGTGCCACCAAGCCCGGGTAATCTTTTTTTTGTATTTTTAGTAGAGATGGGGTTTTGCCATGTTGGTCATTCTGGTCTCGAACTCCTGACCTCAGGTGATCTGGCCGCCTCAGCCTCCCAAAGTGCTGGGGTTACAAACACGAGCCACCACGCCCGGTCAACAAATTATATATAGATATATATGTGTGTATATATACACATGTGTGTGTGTGTGTGTGTGTGTGTGTGTATATATATATATATATATATATATATATATATATTATTGACTCCATTCCTTCCACATGAATACCAGATTTTGTCTTATGAAATTACTTTCATTGAAGAAAAAGACACATTAACAAAATATTATGAGGCTCTACTAAAAGAGTTTTTATGTGAGTATAATGGATGGTGTATGCTTGGGAGTTATGAGTACAACAGAAAAGCACAAAATATTTTCGAGTTGTGAGGAGGAAAGTAGAACATATTCCCAAGAAACAATAGATACGCAGCAATTAATGGAACTTAGCCAACAGGAAAGGAGGGACAAAGCTGTTTTATAAGAAGGTAAAAAAAATATATGAATGTTACGGAGATGTGAAAAAAACAGAATGAGTTCAGGAATTTCAAATAGTTCAATATGGTTGAAGGTCAGTGTGCTTAACAGAGAGTAGTGGAATGAAATTAGAACACTAGACAAAGTCTGGATCACACAAGATTTTAGATTTTATCCTAAATAAGCAATAAAGAGCCATTTGAGTGGCTTAAAACAAAGGAGTAAATAATCAGATTTATAAATTAGTCTAAAACCTTAGAAAGTTTTGGGGAAGCCAGTCTGAAAGGAGAGCAAATCTGAGGCTATTGCAACAAATTCTGGAATTCAGAGTTTCACAGTGTGCTCTGAGCAGAATAATTTGCCTGTGAGATTCTCAACAAGAAAGAGGTTCTGTAAAATACTTCATACTTTATGGGGCTCTTGGCAATTCACAAAGTATTCTAAAAGTAGTCTAAAAGTATCCTACAATTAACAAATGTATCTGTTTGTTTAATGCACTTCCCAATCTTTATTTTCTTTTTCTTCCTTTTTTTTAAAAAGAGAAATCATTTTTATATAACATTTTATTAAGAATCAAATAATTAGTGGCCCATAATACAAGCTATGGGAAATTTTACCCTGAACAGATAGATGTGTGCTAGGGTGAAGAAAGAGAAACACAAAGGATATGAGAATTATTTCCAAGGCAGAATGAAAAAAAGTAGGTATGGACTAAATGTAAGAAATGAAAAACAAGGAAATTTAGAAAATCCCCCAGTTTTCAGCTTGAAAAATTGAGCATTTGTTGTTTATGTAGTTTATATCAGTGAATAAAATATAATTTTATAAATGGGCAAAGAAAGAAGAACTATGAAGAAAATTGGTATTTATGTCTTTGTGGTAAACCACCTAAAAGGTAATGCTCTAGAACAAAAGGAGAAGATAACCTATATAGGAGTGAGTTGTAAAATGGCCAATGCTATTAAAAACCCTTATAATAAAAGTTTGAAATAAGGTGTGGAGTGAGAGCTAGCACATGGAGCCATTAGCAATAATTGAGGAGTGTGGCAGCTGCAATTTCATAGGTACCATGTAGCTGAGAAAACCTGTCCCAGAAGTTTAGAAAGTGAAGAGAAAGTGTGAAGTGTGTAAGAGAAGAAATGGTATAAAACAACAAAAAAACAGGATTCCATTTAATCATTACACCATGTAAACATATAAGAGAACATCATTCATTTCCCATAAATATATAAAATTATTACTGCAAATAATAATAAACAAAACACTTGAGTGAAGAGATGAAAAGAATTTAGAAAATCGTAGGAGAATAATTAGGAAAACCTATAAACTTCTTTTCTGACTCCTTCACGGCTTCCACGTCCTTTACCAACATGTGAGCACTGATGTTTCCTGTCCATTATCCTCTGTTCCCCTATCTTCAAATGCCCAAATTTTGTATTCTTATACCCTTATTGTACTTCAACAACTTTCTACGTACTGAATCTTTTCAACCCTGGTCCAACCCTGATTCCTCCCTGTGCTACAGAATTATATCTCCAAACATCCGCTGTTCGTATCCCCTTAGATGTTCCTCTCTAACCATATGTTAAAAATGTGCAAAATAAAACCGTTTCTTAGAATGACAATCAGATCACCTCACTCCAATCTCCAAAACGATTGAATGGCTTCTCATGTTACTCCTCTAGAAGCCAAACACCTTAGGCATTGGACTGGGTCTACATGGTCTCAAAAGCTAATGGCTTTCTGAATTCAACTTCTATTAGTTCTTCTACTCTCTCCTCTTTACTTTACTTCACTTCAACTACACTCAACTTGGAACTGTCCTCTTCCTCCTCAATGATTAGAAGCTTTCCCCTTCTCATTCAACCTCTCTGCAATGCTTTGTGCACTTGTATCACTGCGTGGCTGACTCTTTTATATTACCAGGTTTTCACTCATATGCCGTGTTATCAAGTAGGTTTCCCTCAACCATCCTGTCTTAAAATGGCATTGCTTCTCTTGTGCCCAGGGATTCTCTACCCTTCTTTATTATTTCTCTTAATAAGAATCAGGCATACACTATATTGTACATCTTATTATTTTATAATGACTCAATTGATTATAAGCTCTTTGCATATAGTTTTGCCTTTTGGTTCAGTGTTGCAGCCCTAGCACCTACATCAATACCTGACATATAGAAGATACTAAAAAATATTAGTTGAGTCAGTTACTATTTAAATTTAACTTATGAGTTAAAGAAATACAACACTTTTAGTGCAATCAATACGTGATAGTTCAATTCTTTGAATTATTGAGAGAATTAAAAAAATTTTATATTTAAAAATTTAAAATTTTAAATTCAACAAAGAAATCAAACTTGAAATAAAGCATGATGGAAGAAGTTTTGGTGAATGAAAATTTCTGTACACCTATTAGTAAATCTAAATATTTGCTCATCTTAAAAAATGAGAGATAGAGATTCATTATGATTGTTGTCAATAAGATCAAATTAAAGTAGTGAAGTTGTGAGAGGAAGGGAGTTAAACTTTGTTATTTGGCAGAATATTGAAAAAATGATTACCTTGACATTGGTTAATTCATGCATGCATATTAAAAAGTAGTCATGTAAAATTATAACTTAACATAGTACTTGGCACATAGTGAGTGCTCAGCAAATGTTAGTAATACTATTATGTTTTAATAAGAAGAATGGTGATTTTTCTCCACCCCCATTTGAAATGAAAATGATTGACCATGCAGAATCAATATTGTTTTATATCCAGATTTTATGTTTAATTTTCACAAATACCAACCACTATTAAAAATAAAAAATATTAACTAGAAAATAAACAAATATATAAATAAAATATAAACATTTACAACTGGGAAAAAATAAAATACAATTTTAAAATTTAATTAATTTGGCTGAATTAGCAGATGAAAATAACACAAATAAATAAATGATGTTAGAAAATAACTGGAGTTTGAAAAAAGCAGACCAAATATATCTATAATTGATTTCCTCCACAATGTTATCTTGAAAGTCCCATCCAGTAGAGTAAGAATAGAACATACTTGAGAACATAACTTAAGAAAACTGTCATAAAAAAGAAAGAACATAATTATTATTTGCAGAAAATACAATTAGGTATATAGAAAAGTCAAACAAATCTATCAGCAACTATTTAAAAACATACTGAGTTCCACAAGGTTGAGTGAATGAAAAAAAAAGTAGATAAAAACAAAAGCAGTAGCATTTCTATACATCAACAGTAAAAACATTGTATATAATATGATAAAAATATGATAAAAATTACTCCCAAATGTTACTTAAATATGAGTCTAACAAAATAGTTACCAAATGGTACTTGACAAAATATTCAATTCATGGATGAATCAATAATTATATGCAGGGATGTGAGTACTCAATGTTTAAAACAATTCAGTTACTCAATAAATTCAATGCTATTTCAATCAAAATTCAAAAGACTTTTTTTTTTAAAGAACCAGACAAACTAGAAAACCACAAGTCCGTAAATTTGTGAAACAGAAAAACAAAAAATGGAAAATTGATATACATTACATCAGAAATTACTACAAAATGTTATTAAATTAGCAGGTGAGTGGGGAAGATTCTCTACAAACACACACACACTTTGTACAAGCATATATTCATCCAATTAATTATTCATCTATTATTGTACTATATAAGATAATACTTTTTGTTTGTTTGTTTTTGAGACAGAGTCTCTCTCTGTCGCCCAGGCTGGAGTGCAGTGGCATCATCTCGGCTTACTGAAACCTCCGCCTCCTGGGTTCAAGCTATTCTCATGCGTCAGCCTCCTCAGTAGCTGGGATTAGAGGTGTGTGTCTGATTACTTTTTGGATTTTTAGTACACATTAGGCTTTTCCATGTTGGCCAGGCTGGTCTCAAACTCCTGACCTCAAGTAATCCACAAACCTAGGCCTCCCAAAGTGCTGGGATTACAGACACAGAATACTATGTTGAGCTGTTGGGTAGAAAAAATTCCACATATATGACAAAATAAGAACATTTATATTAAATGATTAATACACTTGTCTGCTTCAAAATTTAAGTTAAATGTCACAGTAAGAGTTACCAATTTAATATAAAATTTAAAAACAAAACAAAACAAAAAGCTTTGACATTACCTGGTATTTCCTTTGGTAATGCTCAGAGTCAAGAATGCTCTTATGTTGCTGATTAGACTAAACATGTGTCCAGCTTTCAGAATCAGTTTTCCAGCAGCTAATAAAGCTAAAAAAGAAAAAAGATTATAAAGTTTGAATCAGCAAATAGGCATCAAGCTCCAGAGAAACACTTGTACATAAGTACTCAGGAGGCAGAGACAAGACCTTGCCTTGTTATTTGTAAACTTAAAAACGTATATATCATCGATGAGTAGCAGGAAAAAATTGTATGAATTCATGGTTATCTATTTATGCTATCAAACACTATGAACCACATGAAATTGTAAAAATTAGATCTATTTATAGCAATATAAACAGACCTAGAACTTAACTTATTAAAAGTAAAATTAAACTGCAAAATTATAATATCAGAACTTTGACATAAAAATGAAACATTGGCCCCATTTCGTGGCTCACGTGTATAATCCCAGTACTTTGGGAGGCCAAGGTGGAAGGTTCACTTTAAGCCAAGAGTTCGAGACCCACCTGAGCAACAAACAAGACCCATAACTCAAAAGTAAAAATAAAAATAAAAATAAAAATAAATAGTTGAGGATGGTGGAGCCTGTCTGCAGTCCCAGCTACTCAGGAGGTTGAGGCGAGAGAACCTCTAGAGCCCAGGAGTTAAAGGTGGAAGTGTGCTATGATCGTGTCATTGCACTCCAGCCTGAGTGACAGAAACTCCATTTCTGAAAAAAAAAAATTCAAAAAAATCAAACATGTGCAATCAACAATATATATTGCTTATAGATACATTCCTATCTAGTAATAGCATCAACAATTGGAATTTCATTTTTATTATTGGTTGGTTCTGTATAATATAAGGGAAAGGAAGGGGAGCTTCAAATTTATATATTTTATCCTGTTTCTTTTACTTAAAAAATTCCAAAATAATACAAAAACACAGTGGTTTTATATTATTTTGTATATTTTTGTTTGAATATTTTCTAATAAAGAAAAAATCATACATAAAAATTTAAAATATATAAAGGAAAATACATAAGGAAACACAAAGACCTCCGGGATTTTTTCCAGACCTATTTTGTCAGTTTTATTTTAGTTATCATGTTATATTGCTTCCTCTATTCAGAGACCTCAAAAATGCTTTGTTCAATTAGTATTGTTCAACTACTTACCTTTTTTCTCCCACATTTCACACAATTCCAGTTGCCTGGAAAGCTGGAAACTATATAATTAATTTGCTATCATTTAAAAATATTTTCTTAAAGAATTAATATAATATAATTTTTAATCATCTGTTAAAGATAATTTTTTAAAAACATTATCAATGCAGTTTTATATTTTCAAAATAAAATTGGGAAAAGTTACTATTCATATCAATTTTAATTGTATTCAATGTTCTTTAATGTACATGTCTTACTGTTTAGTCCTTGACTTTTCATTTATTAGAAATTTGAAAATAGATGTTTTACACTTTGTAGTATGACTATACTTCTGGGTCTGCAGAACAAATTAGAAACTCCACATAGATGTATTGAGCACTTGTGTAGATGCACAGCCTTATAAATCACTTACCAATAGAATACTGCCTATACTGAGAGAAACTATCTTGCTGCCTGTTGTCTTGAAATGCCTTTCTAAATTGCTTGAAGGAGAGCTTTTGCTGCTATATGGTAGAAAGGTAACTCTGATTGCAAACTAGAATTCCTACAGAAGTCTAGACTTTATTGACATTCTACAAAATGGGAGAAAAATTGTTCCGACAATGAAATTCGGTATCCTAAGAAAATAAATTTTCAGCTAAAAATGTTAAAAAGCATTTGGAAGAAAATGCACAACTGACTACAAATACTTCGCCATCAAACTACAATAGAATCATAGCATAACTTTCAGGCATTAAAAATAAACTGTCAAACGAATATATCTATCTATATATAGAGAAAGAGATAAAATATATATAGTTTAATATGTCTACATGGTGTCAAAAAACCTATAATAGTAGTAGTAATCAAGTAAAGATGCTAATGATTAACTAATTTCAAATTGAAAGAGTCTATTAGACTATTAGTATTTAATCCAGCCATCAATAGTAAATAAAATATTATGAAAATTTCATTGTTTAGAAAATTGTACATGAAAAAAATACATTTTTCCACTTCCTCTCTTTAACATTAGCCAAGCACAAAACATACCCAGAAGTCTATTGCCTTGACATTGGCATTGATAAAGAATTAGTTCTTAACATTTGTTTTCAAATAAATCTCCAGGAAATGCTGATACAAACCATCAACCTTTGCTGCTGCAATATTTCCAGGCATACAATTTTGAAATAGATTTCAGGTTGTTTGGGCCTCCCAAATAAACAGGCTGATTCAAACACCACATTTATGGTAATTCAATCTGCCTATTAGATAACAGGAAAATAAATACAGCCAAATTTCAACAGTGGTTATATGCTTGCATTGTGTCCAGTCACCACTTTATTTATTACTGCTTGTCTGTATTTTCTGCTTTCTCCATAATGACTGTGATTATTATGACAATATTGTTTTGTTTATTTCTTATGCAACAAAAATATTCAATTAAAGCAAATTAGAAAACCTAACAAGATTACCTATATTATTAATAGAAGGATACTTTTAGAAGTTTTTGTTACATTTTTTTAATCTAGTAGTGTCAACAAAGCAAGGCTAATAATTAACCCCACCAACAATGTTATAAGTACTATCTCACCTATTTCACACAACTACCTTTCTAAGAATCATGTATTCAATTACTACTCTTTGGGATTGAGCTACATTGACAGCTTCCTCAGGTAAACACACATCTTTTTTTATTTGTTCTAATTCAAACCAAATACAAATGTGAAATTCTCACCAGAAAGTTTTTCAATATTTCATGACACTCTTTATGATATGCATAAAAAAGCTATCTCACCATCATGTTATCTGCCTAATTCTATCATTTAATGAATGTTTATTAATTATCTGCTCTACCAAGCCTCAAGATATACACAAAGATAAGGAAGACAGACACTAGCCACTGCTCTCTCAGAGGTAAAGGATTAGTAAGAAAGACACATAGGCATGAAGTAATTACTTGCCGCTTACTAGATTTGTCACTTTGGACCAGTTAGTACAAGCAAGGCCTAATAGTTAGTTTGAAAATTGAGATTATAATATGGTGGCATCAACCTCAAGTGGTTGTTGTAATGACTAAAAGAGTTAATGAATGCCTGACATATAGTCAGAGCTCCATAAACATTAGTTGCCAAGTTCTCATCCCTTTACTCCCTCATCCTCATAAAAAGGCTTTAGGATCCAAAAACAAATGCAAACAAACCTAGATTACAGGAAGGCTTTCTGAAGAAATGTCACTAACGTGAGGACTAATTCAAAATCATTTTAGAATATTTCCGGCTGAGGAAGCTGTTTACTTGAAGGTCCTGGGGAATATGAGCATATGGCAAAGACCAGAAAGGAGCTAAAATGGCCAGTAATGAAGTTGGTTAAGAGATACAAAAAAAATATGTTTAGATGAGGAATCAGTTCTAATATTTAATAACACAATAGAGAAATTAGACATAACAATAATTTGTTGCATATTTCAAAATAGCCAGAATAGATTTGTAATGTTCTCAACACAAAGGGAAGATAAATATTTGAGATGATGGATATCCCCATTACACATTGTAAACAGGTATCAAAAGATCACATGTACCCCGAAATATGTACAACTATTATACATTAATCTAAAAATGTTAAAGTCCACTAAAATGACCAAGAGGAAAGACAGTGAAACTTGAGATTGCAATGTTGGGCAAGGACATGCCCGTTCAAGTCTCCAACTTCTTGAATGCTAAATAAAGCCTTTGTATTTTGTCCAAGAAATAGTAAGATTCTGGCACAGGATTTTTTTTTTAAGGCAAATGACATGATTACATCTTTACTTCTAAAACCTGCCCTCTAATCACTTCCAAACAAGGTCCACTTCACGTCCAGTGTGCTTTTAGCAGTAGTGTGCTAACATTGGAACTTTGGAATAGTTACAGGGCACTGATCCTTTTAGCTTCTTTTCTGAAGAACATTAAAATTAAAATTACATTACTCTAAGAAGTCTGTGGGAATTCTGTGAACATGGCCTCATTTCAAGTACAATTCTTTTGGCAGCCACTTACACTGGGTAAGTGGTCCAGGCAAGCAACTCACCTCATTTTGGCAATGACCCTGATCCCAAGAATTATACTTTAACCATGTCTACAATCTGCTTAAGACAGGTTAATGTGATCTGAAGGCCAAATTTAGGTGGAGGGAAAAAATACCAAAATTTTAAAAATCTGTAATAAATATCATGAGTAATTACAGTCAAGACATACATTCCCATGTCTAAGCTGAAATAATTTCTAGAAACAAAGTACATTGAAAAATTCTAAGCAAATTAAATCATTAATGTTGTCACTCATTTTCATAACTATTTTCCCTTGTGCCTGGTTGGTGGAAGTTAATCACATTTCCTTTCTGCTCTCAAATTTCCTTTATTAGAAGGAAGAAAGTCTAGAAAGGAGTTTCATCATTTCATAAAAAATATGGGTGGGCGTAAGGGTCTATAAAAATATCTACTACCAGATTGGAAGGATCTCCTAACATCATTTTAAAAAAAATAAATAAAAAGCTCCAACAAACTTTTTAGAAATGGCATTTTTACATACTAACATATTGTTTGTGCTATCAGACGTTCATGTGCTAGCTGTTATAAACACTGGATTATACCCGTTCCTTATGCCTCTATCATGGTTGCAAGAACCAGAGTTCTTTGATTTTTGATGCATGAATCTTCCGAAGAAATAATTATGTATAATTATGTGCCCCATTCACTTGTTTAGTTCATATGAAATTTCCATTGTATAGAATGTCTGCTGATGATTTAATTAGGACCTCCTTGACTTATTGAGAGTAAACACTTGGAAACGATCTGACTTGCAAGAGCCTCTTTGCCTAGACCATATATCCAAACATTCCTCTGTTTGATGATATGGAGACACATTTATGACTACAAAAATGCTTTACGGTGTGGTGAGAGATGTATATATGTATATGTGTTTGTATGTGTGTGTGTGTTTTCAAAGTTAAGGAAGAAAGATGAGCAAGGGGAAGTTGCATCTCCATCACAGCACTGCACCACTGCACTCTTAGATTGACTTTTGAAAATAGCCTATGTGAAAGTTGAGAATCTGAAAATTGATTACCTTAAGACTAATTGTGTGAAAAAATCCTTTACTCAGTTATTATGCACCTAAGGGGGTATTAATTTTTATAGATCCTTTATCAATCTCCGAAGACATAGTAACGTCTCTACACTGTTCCATGAAGTAAAAAGGCCACTATTCTTACTTTTTTAGAAAGAGAAAAGCAACACATATATAGCTAAAACCAAATCCAGAATTCCCTCCTGATTTTGATACTGGATTAGGTTACTCTTACCTTTTGTATCAACAGAGTACTGTATCTCAATGCATAGTGAGAAATGAAAAGTGTTAATTTAATGTTGTAATTGTGAGGGAGGCAAAATGAAGTCAGAAGCTGAGGAAGGGCAGTCAGAGAACTTACCCTCCAAATCCATCTTAGATACTTAACTTAGTTCTCTCTTTTTACATTTATACACACTCTCTGAGTTCCAGTTTATAATTTTTTTAAAAAATTAGATATTAATATTTTCAATAAGGAGCTCAAAAGTTTTTGTCTAAGTAAAAATAAATAGTATGACAAAGAGCTTTAATATATAAAAATGAGTCTTTCCAAGGAGCACATATTTGATTAAAAAGCCCATGTTGGCTGTTTCGATTATCTCTGTGCTCACTTACAAACGCTGATTATTTTTGTTCATCTTTTACTCATCTTCCACCCCAAACTTCCTATCAATGTCTCTCAAAACTTAAAAACAAACAGAAAACAAAAGCAAAAGCAGGACCCTGGCAAAGTCTTCCTTGTCCCTGTTCCCACTGTCCTGTGATTAAAGAGGATGAGACAGAAAAGAACAAAGAAGCATAGTGCGTCTCCTGTGCTCTTGGATGGGAGAGAGTCGACCCAGGAAAATTATTTAGTATATATACTTATACACACACACAATACACACATATAAACGTATTCTTATATGTTCATCGTACTTATATACATGTTCATACTTTTGTTAGGTATTTATAAGTATTTAATCAGATCAAACCTGTTTCCTGAACTTACCCCAACTATAAAATAGTCATTGCCTAGGAAAATACTCAAAAGAATGGACCGAAAATGAAA
This sequence comes from Homo sapiens, assembly GCF_000001405.40. Classification (NCBI taxonomy): domain Eukaryota; kingdom Metazoa; phylum Chordata; class Mammalia; order Primates; family Hominidae; genus Homo; species Homo sapiens. The sequence continues at coordinate 29,497,798 of NC_000004.12, read as the reverse complement.
TACATTGATTATTTGACGTGAATCTTGGTAATTGTTTTTATCTCACATCTTTCACCTGCTTTGCTCTGAGATCTGCTTTGGGTTCTGAATTATGAATTTAATTTACATCCTACCCAGGGATTCTGTTAATTCTGAATTCTGGCTTAGGCTCTAGATCAACTGCTTACTACAGAGTCATCCATTTCCTGTGTGTTTGTGAGTGTGTGTGCTCGCATGCATGTGTGTTTTTCCTGGTATTCTAATCCTACCACTGATTAATTTAAGTAGTTGCATTCCAGGATTATGTAGGAGATAGTGCAGCCTAAATTGCAGGGAACCTCATTTATCTAGGCCCATTTGAAGGCCCTGCGTGTAGCACCAATAATTTTTATATTCAAAATGTTGTATTATTTTCCATAATGAGGATTCCCAGATTATAGATTTGGACTTCACAAAACTTGAATGTTTCTGTTTGTGACTGGCCTGTCCATGTAATACCTTTCTTATCAGTGCCACTTACCTAAGTTCAGAAAAGATTTTGTTATATAATGCAGTTTTCCCCAATAAGAGTTGCCAATCTTCACCCTGACTTCCTGATGAAAGACAATGCCATGAAGTTATGGAAGAAGTTGAGAAACAAGGTGAAAAAATAGACACCACTGTCAAGAGCAACCAAGATCCTATCTTAACATTCTCTTGAAACTGCTCATATTCAATTAGTAAGAAGGATTTTGTTTTTTATAAGAAAAAAACACGAAGAAGAAAAGATGAGCTTTAGTTTCTTCTGTCTCAGAAGCACTGAAAAAAAATAAAATCACTGGGATACTTTTGTGGCATGTTTTCTTCCAGCAATTTCAACAGTACAAAGTAATGGAGCCACCCCCACACTCCCCAAATTGCACTGGACAGAGTTAAAAAGACAAGAAGACTTTAAGGCTATTGCAATAAAGGTCAAGACTATTGCAGTAAGAGAGACAAATCAAACTCAACTCTACTGAAGCAAAAGGTGGGAGAGATTTAAGCACTGGGGTGGGCTAATGAAAAAGCATTAGACGACATTAGGGAGAGGGAGCTGACAGGATTGGTCCACTTGTATAGCCTCATTGGCACTTATTTAAGTCTGACTCTTATCTTACTACAGACTGGAAGATAGGGGCTCTGTCTTCCTTGATGGTTACATTTCAAAATGTTGGTTCCCAGATCCATGGGAAGACATTCTTGGGTTGTAAAACTGGCAAAAGGCTGGGAGAAAACTTACATCTCAAAAGAACAGAGCAAGAACTTAGAATTCCAAATTTAATAAACTAAATAAGAAAAGAAAAGTCAGGGACGTATACTTAGGAAAAAAAAACTATCTAAAATTTAGACAAGTTGACCGGAATATTACGGCTATGGTGGTCACTAAGAAGCTTAAAAATATACAAAATATTTGGAGTTTGTCCTTCCATGCTAAATCACATGGTAATAAAATTATTGGCCAAATTTCTTATAAGACATGGCATTAGAGATTAGATAATAAAATTATACATAGTTATGAAGAGCTTAAATCACTTGTGATTTAAATTAAAGCACTAAAATGTTAAAGCACTAAAATTGATTATTGTGATATTTTGGTTCTAGAAGAGGTAGGAAAGATGATAAAGATTGCCAGGGAAAACTAGTTTTTAATATAACAGGCAGCAAGAAAAATAAAAATTTTCAGTGAATTATCATTATACGATGAAAAATTCAGTGGACTTTCAGTACTGCTGTATTTAAACATAAAAATCCCTTTCATTACACTGATGGCATATTAATTAGAAACACCTGTGTACTTTCTTTGTTAGAGTTATAGTCAAAACTCTTGAAGTAATAGATAAAAATTCAGCCTCACTTTGGTACATTTGAAAGCACCAATACAGGCTTCAATTTTTTAGAAATGAAATCAAGATCATTGTATTAGTAGAAAGGTACCTCCATAGACCTTCAGGAGCTGTCTTCGGTGAGATTCATACACAACGAATCAAATAAATCCAAGAGAAGTGCTAGAGAAAACACTTTAAAATATCCACTCAGAGACACCCATTTGAAATTATTATGGGGCTTTATTTTACATATATATTTTTTTTTTCTAAAGGAAATCTATCATGATTTAGAGCTCAAAAATTAAAACATTTATTGAACAGCTGTTGAAATGAAATATAGTTTTACTTTTGAAATATAAAAATTACACCCAGCAGATTTTGACTTCATAAAAATAAATATTAAGAACTATAGTTAAAGAATAGTTGATGAAGTACTGCCATCTTTTGGTTGTATAAATTACATATATACAAAATATAGAAATTTTAAATAGCCAAAAAAGCATATGTACAGCTTAAAAGTTTAGAAATTAAAATTTTAATAAACAACAAAGAAAATAGATGATAAATGTTAGGTTTTGGCAGAGATAGGCACACACCTTAGCAACAGAACTTTCAGAGGAAAACTGTCAAACTCTCAACTTCAAGCCTGTTGGCATTGATATAAAATAAGATATAACTAATATTATTTTAACACTCATTACTGGATTCATGTGCTCCATTTATGAGAAAAATTACCAATGAATGAAAAATTGTCAGATTTTTTGATGATATATTCATGAAAACCTGTGATTTAGAAGTAGATATTGTAGAAGAATTGTTTATTAACTTCCAAGGTTTTAATCTAGGAAGCTTAATAAATGCTATTAAATTTAACTAATGATACTTTTCAATGACAATTACTATATTCAGAGGTACATTTTCTATATATATCATCAGTGTAATAAAAAAACCCTGAAATTTCCCATTTGTATTTTTTCCCCAATTAATGATATAGAATAATTAAGAATTTTGACACTACAGAATTTGCTCTTGCATTTAGCATTTTAATTAAACTCTTACAAGAATAAAACAATTGGAACACTTGAATCTTTGATAAGTCATAAAGGTAGGCATATGACAACATCACATTTATATTTAAAAAATAAAGTTGTCTTTCTAATAGAGCCTATGTTTAAAAGAGAGGCAATCTAAGCATATTGCCTAACTTTATTTTAAATGAGCCTTCCCTACACATATTAATTAGTCTTATAGGGTTGTAATAATCAAATAGTTCACATTATACAGTTAAATGGTCAGAAAAAATAAATTTTATAAAGTAATGGCTTGCTGAGAAACAATCTAGAATATATAGTGCCTTGCATATACATATATATACAGTACTCATACTTGTAAAACATGTTTTATTTTGGGATTTCCATGATTTTAAGGAGAATATCACCTAAAAATTTCTGCAACATATATTTGTTTTTAAAGTAGAATACAATCTAAATAATAATTTTTAATGACATTAGCAAGATGGCAGATAAGTCATCGGGCTCTACCCTTCCCTCGCAGAAATCTAATTAGCAACTATCCATAGGCAATAATACCTTTGTGAATATCCCAGAATTTGAAAGTGAGTCTAAGCTATGTCCTTGAGAAAAAAAAAGAACTGAGAAAAGCACATCTGTGGGGTAGGAGGAACAGTTTTCTTTGACAACACAGCCCTTCCCCAAACTGGCACAGTGCCACACACAGAAAAATTCCCTGGATTCAGTTTCTATAGTGGAAAAAGTGAATAGGAGGTGTATATTTATTATAGCTTCCTCACCATTCTAGAATCCTTTGCCAGAGCTCATTCCTGTATTGTCTCATAGGAAATACTGGGAGTACCAGTAGGGCTAGACCACCTGGGGTTGGTTAGACACAAAGAATGGGGATGGAGCTCACAGCAATCAGTGTGCAGATCTTGGTTATTGTTCTGCAGCCTGGCCTATGGAGGTGCCAGACCAAAGAGAATAGCCAACAGCATCATACTATGGGGGGATGGTCCACAGATCTCCCAAGCTTGAGGCCTTAGCCATCTTTTCTACACAACCCCAGTGCTCTTGCTTAGTCCTCCCAAGTCTGGGAAGGAACTGAAGGTGAGTGATTATCTGTGAAGGAAGTATCTGGCTTTGCCCAACCCCAGCTGCTGAATGGCAACTCCCCCAGGCCTTTGTTTTCTACATAAGTCTACCCTAGGCCAGAACGCATCCCCAAACCAATGCATATCTGTGGAACATGCCCTCTGGCCTTGTTCACCCTGTTTTCCTGAGCAGGAACCCCAGAGATCTTACTCAGCCATAGAGCCAAGCATTCGGCCCTGCCCAGCTACAGATGTCAATCAACAGTATCACTCAGACAGGGAAGACAACCTGCAACCCTTCCCAGTTAGAGATGATCACAGAACTCAGCCAAAAGCTGCTCCTGACAACGGAATCCATCCAGCAGTCACACTGAACCACAGAGCACAGTCAGAAGTACCGTTCAACCTCAGAACACTGGAAGCAACCCATCCCACCTAGATAACCCAGATAGCTTTTCCTTTAAGATCAGGGACAAGGCAAGAATGCCCACTCTCACTACTTCTCTTCAACAAAGTATTGGAAGTCCTAGCTGGAGCAATTAGATGAGAAAGAAATAAAAATGATCCTAATAGAAAAGGAAAAATAAACGTGTCTCTATTTGCTGATTACATAATCTTATATATAGATAACCTAGATAACCCAGTACAAAAGTTTGCCTGTCCATAGATGCAACCACCTGGCCTCTCTAGAATTTCAGGCAAATAGTACAGGCTTATCATCACCAAAGAACATGTTCAAATGCCAGAAGAGGTGGATGTCTTCTTATATGCAGAGGCATCAACATAAGGACACAGGATTATGAAAAATCAGAAAAATATAACATCACCGAAAGAAACCAATAAGATTCTAATAATGCACCTAAAAAATGGAGATCTATGACATAACTGGCAAGCATTCATAATAATTCACTTAAAGTAATTCCGAAGACTATAAGAAAATATGGATAGAATATTAAAATTTAAAAAATTCATGAACAATATGAAACATTTGACGTAGAAAAAGAAACAATAAAAATAGAAATTCTAGAGATAATGGGTACAAAAACCAAGTGAAAAAGATCAGTAGATAGCTTCAACAGCAGACTTAATCAATCAGAAAAAGAAGCAGTACACTCAAAGATAGGACAGTTGAAATTATTCAGAGAAGCAAAAAGAAAAGAAAGAAAATAAAATGAAGGCCTATGAGAATTATGGAACACTATCAATGGAACTAACATTCACATAATAGAATGCAAAAAGGAGAAGATAGAGAAAAAAAATCTAGAAAGCATATTTTTAAAAATAATGATGGAAAGTGTCCCATATCTGAGGGAAGAAGCTTAAAGGTTATCAATTAAATTTAACCCAAAGAGAAACTTAAGACATATCATCATCAATTTATCAAAAATCAAATACAAAGAAAAAATACTGAAAGTAGCAAGAGATAGGAAATAAATCACATCAAAACAGCTTTCATTGTATTTTTCAGCAGACACCCTACAGGCCAGGGGAGAATGACATGTTATGTTCAAAGTGCTGAGAAAACAAAACAAAACAAAACAAACAAAAACCAACCAAACAAACAAAAACCATAAACCTGGTAACGAAGAACATTTAACTCAGCAAAACTGTTCTTTAGAAGTGAGGGAGAAATAAAAACATTGCCAAACAAAAGGGAAGAGATTTAATCACCATTAGGCCTGCTGTACAAGAATTGCAAAAGGGAGTTCTTTAAGCCAAAATAAAAGGCAGATAATTAACAAGAACAACAACAACAAATGTGAAATTTAAAAAAACTCAATGGTATAAGTAATATATAGTCAAATTCATAATTATTAAACTGTAAGGGTGGTATGTAAGGCATATTCCAATTATGAAAGTTAAAAATTAAAATATTGAAAACAACTATAAATACTATAAATTGTTAACAGATACAAATTACAAAAAAAATTGTAAATGTTGACTTCGAAATCATAAAAGGTAGGAAGAGAATGAAAGTATAACATTTTTATATTCCTTTAAAATTAACTTGTTATCAGATTAAAGTATCATTTTAACTTGTTATAAAGATGAGATATTTTGTGTAAACTTCATGATTATCACAAAGCAAAAACCTATAGCAGTTGCACGCACACACACACACACACACACACACAAATTCAAAGCATTCCACCACAAAAATCAAACAAACCATGAAGGAAAAAATAAAAATGAAAAAAAAAAATACAAAAAAACATAGGACTTAAAAAATATATCAGAAAACAAGTTCTGAAATGGCAGTAGCAAGTCCTTACCTATCAATAATTACCTTGAATGTAAATAGATTAAATACCCCAATAAAATATACAGAATGACTTCACAGAACTGTTCAATGTTGTAAATTAAGGACCATTTTTCTCCAATGTGTGCCATGTAGAATATCTTCCACAGGTTCCAAAGGTTTGTGACGGACTTCTCTATGATGTGCAAATATGAGTGATGCCTGAACTTCAATAAAAAGTCTTGGTAAAAGGAAAGTTTCCAGATTATGGCTCATAAGAAATATAGTAAAGCCTTCCATTCTGGTGTTTTCCATGACGCTATCAAATGTCTCCTAGGCTGAAATCTCTTAAGAAATTGTCATTTTAATTTAACAGGATATGTAAGAGTCCATATTACAGGACTTATAATTATTCAAAAAAAGGTTTACAAACTCTTCTTTAAAAAATGTTTTCAGATCTCCCAGGGCATTCACTGCAATATGCTCAAGGATGCTTATTTCTGGGATATATTTGTTTTTGGGAAGTGAACAAAAGTTAATTTGAGCAAAGCATATTGTACTTTAGATTCCAAATGTGAAGAATGAAAACAAAGAAAGTGGAAAAATAAAAGCTTTGGTTGATCCTGTCACTGTTTTTAGTGAACGTGGTGATACAGTATATCTTAATGCATCTATTTTAATAACACAGAAAAAAGTAGATATAATTTTGATCTGCAAAGAAATAGTAATAACAAATTATTCCTAGCACTTTTGATTAGTAAAAAAGTATGACAATGGTCGAAATAGGAAAAGAAGTTATACCAAATGTAGGGAAAATCTAAGAAAATTTTGCTACAGTTAAAAGTGCACTATGAGTAAAATGAGGAAGAAAAATTATATTCAAAGAATTTAAAAATAATACTTTCAACTACTAACTGAAACATTTTAAGGTGGACACTTTCAATAGTACACCTTGGAAAGAAGGCCTTATTATCTACTATATTTTCTCTGAACTTCAAATAATTTTATCAATTTGCTTCATCTATTTTTAATTCAATGCTTAAAATATTTTTTAAAAGTCTCTGGACTTGATATTTTTAATAAAAATCTGTAATTTCTCCAGGGTTGGCAAATCTCATCATACACTGAATGTTTTACGGAAAGGTAATTTCAAATTGGCCAAGAATCTTTAAGAGATACTTTTAAAGTTAAAATGGACTGAGGTCAATCTAGATGTGCATAAATGATACAATTTAAGTGTTGCAAGGGTGGTCTAGGGTCTGACTTCCAATACAACGGCTCTCTTACAGCATGGTTCCTTGGGGTCCTAAAGCATTTTTAAAATATTATGTTAACTATCTTTCAGTATCATCATGAGGGAGGCTGAACCTATTATATCCAATTTGCAGGAGATAAAAATAAGTCAATGAGAGGTTAAGTAGCTTATTCAAGGTCGCCAAGCAAGTTCTAGTGGAGCTAAAAATGAGTCTCATCTTGAAATGATGTCACCTGGCCAGGGGGACTCATTCAGAGCCATTATACTAAACATAAGTCTTAGGTAAAAGCATTAATTTCATTGAAGGCAGAACCTAAAAAGGTAAAAAAAAAAAAAAAAAAGAAACCCTCATAACACCACAATTATGTTTTTCATACTTAACATTTTGTTTTCCCACATTGCTGCTTCAAATTTCTAATTCCAAAAGCACCTCATTTTCAAGAAAAATAATGAAATTAAGGTAAGGTAGAGTTAAATGACAATGAAGATGATGTTTATCAAATGGCAGCACAAGCTTGCAGACATCTGGGAAATTTGGGGGCTATGATTACTAGTTCTATAGATGTAGTGCTAAGGTGCCACTAGTTGTCTAATTTATGAAGCCAAATTATTAGCCTTTGTGAAATTAAAGCATGATTATTTGAATCATGCCCAGAAAAAGAGATTGCATTGCAATGCTGTCATAGGAAAACAAGAATCACTAAAAGACACTACAGCTGTTCAAGCAGCAACTAGACAGACAAACAAATGAAGGCACCTTGTGGTCTCTCCTGCCAATGTCTAAAACAGCCAGTTCTTGACAGTTTTCAAAGTACAAAGGCTATTGCAAAATAGCTAATCAATTCTCTGTGCTTCCTATATACAGCCGAATAAATTATTTCCCACTGAAATCATATTGATTATTTAGGAAAAACAAAAGTAACACATCAAATAGTTCAGTAATTGGTGGCTCTTCAGTAGATAGAGTTTACTTTCTTATTTTTCTTCCATAAAAATAGATAATTTTTCCCAAGAATTGAGCTACAGTGAATAATGAAAGATATAAAGCATGTTAAATGTTATTAGAGAGCTGTAAGCAAAATATTTTAACACATAAACAACAACCAATGAGGGATTCAATGAGAAAAATTAAATTTGGTAACACCTGCACACCTTGGGTGCATTCACAGGGTAAGTGATTTATTCCTCCAAAATCCTGCATAATGGTTAAACTACATATATATTTGGAGCAAAAAAAAAAAAAAAATTCCATAAATGTTTTTGTCACTTCCTGGCCATCATCATAGCTTTAATGGAATCTTTTTGGGATACAAACACCCCTAGAGAACCAATAAGTTCTCTATTTTTATGCTTATCTGAATTGGTAATGAAATTCATTCCATGTTAAACACCCTAAGGGGTAGCAGAATTGATTTTTTATCCAGTGTTCTGGATAACATTTAGTTTCACAATTTAAAAAGGTTACCACTGTTGTGCTCAATTGGCATCTACATTTGCCATGTAACTGGGAGTGATATATGTATGTCCCTTGACAAGGTAAGATGCCATGACGAATTTAATTTCTACTCATCATAGATAGCTAAAATATATTTTTTTCTATTTGATAATATGAAGAGTCAATGTATGACAATGCAAAACAAATAGTTTGCCCGTTCTAATTATACTATTTCTAATGATTTGAACTACAATCAACATGTTTTACCAGTCAATCAGAACATAGTTTATTTCCAAAATATAACCTGTTTGCCATATTGCCAATTCTGTTCTGATTCTAAAAAGCAATGCCAGAAGCTTTGTACTCAACATACAAAACTTCTAATCTGGAACTGATTACCTTTCCCTCAAACTACTGTTGTCAGAATTATTTGTGAACTCCCCAGAAAGAGCATATTCCAGGCATAACAAAAGCCAGAGCTGGAGATATACATTTTCTTGCCTGTGTTAGTTTGTTCTCATGCTGCTATATACTACTACCCGAGACTTTGTAATTTATGAAGAAAAGAGGTTCAATTGACTCAAAGCTCTGCGGGCTATACAAGAGGCATGCCTGGGAAGGCCTCAGGAAACTTAGTCATGGCAGAAGGCAAAGGGGAAACAAGCATGTGTTCACATGGCCAGCAGGAAAGAGAGAGAAAAAAAGGGGGAAGCACTATAAACTTTCAAACAACCAGATCTCATGAGAACATCATAGAGAAAGTTCACCCCATGATTAAATAAACTCCCGCCAGGTCCCTCTTCCAACACTGGGGATACAATTCAACATGAGGTTTGGATGGGGACACAGAGACAAAGTCACTGTCCCAGCACTGAAGAGATGCATATGAAAGCTATTTCCAACATAAATTGGTGGACAAAGTCATTCGAAGGACTACCAGAAAGATCCATTAATGGAATTTTACTTCTTAAAAACAATAAAAAGCAGCTTCCTTAAGCTGATATTCAATTATTTCTATAGTTTAAGTGTCATATACTTCCTGGGATTTACCTTACATCACATTATTTCTGAACCCCTTGCCAGAGAAAATGAAGTTATTATTAAAAATTCTATGAAATCATGATCTTATGCACATTTGTTTATTCTCTTCTTTATCTTTTTTTCCTCCACTGATCTAATCCTGAATACAGCCTTTCTGAAATTCTCCAGCATTCACTTAAAATATTCATAAGTGTTTTTGTCACTTTTTTTCCCTCTCCTTTTTCTTTCCTGTTTTATGGAAATAATTGAGAAAAATAGAATATCCTAGCATGTTTTTCAGGGTTAAATGGGATACTAGCTGTAAATTACTTAGCCTACCTCTTGGATAATATAACCTTAAATTCTTCTTTATACATTAAATTATATGTCCTGAAGTCCTGACATGTTACAGCAACTGAAACCAGACTGTCATAAAAACAAACAAAAGCAGCCTAAAAAATCGTACAAAATATATGAAACTCTAAAAATTTTGAAAAGAAACAAAACAGGACTATGACACTAGGAGAAAAAGAAAAAAAAGCAAGGTGAGTCCTGTGAACAATCTGGCTTTCTGTGTGAAGGAACTTTCAAGACTATAATAAAGTCAAAAAGAAACCAAAAGGATCCTGAAGCCTTGGTTAGGTAAGGAGAAGAGATTGTAGCTGAGAAAGGGGTGGGAAACACAACTGGAATTTACAGGGCGTAGAAATGGAAAGAGCTTTACGGGAAGTTCCAAAGAAATAGCTCCAAAAAGATGCATTATTTTTAATCTTTGGCTGAATATAAATCCAGACATGCATATGATGAGGCTCTAACAAGCTGACCAGAGAACAACTAGAAATTGGTTAACTAATGAGAAGCTGTAAGTCAAAGATCTTCCAGAACTCACACATGATTGAGAGATGTTCAGATTCTGACTATACAAGGTAGAAATACCTCCCTGAACATTTAACACATTCAACAAAAACACCAGGCAGGCAGTTTTTAAACAATGAGGTCAAAAAACAATGCTAGAATAAAATGTTTACTCTAGTCCTAAACTAATAATATTTAAAATGAAGATTATACACAAGAACATTATCTGAGAGAATAAAACTCATCATTTTTAAAGCTAGACAAGAAAACCTATGTCCTCAATAACATAGTGTTCACAATATTCGTTACCCATTGGAAAATTATTAGATATGCCAAGAAGTAGGAAAATTAAACCTGTAATAAGAAAAACAATTGAGTTGATAAAAATAGAATCTGAAGCAGCAAAGATGATCAAATTATCGTACAAATGCTATAAAGAAGCTGCTGGCAATATTTATATGTATTTATGGAAATAGAAGTCATAAGAATAGAATCACAGGAATATAGAATAAGAATAACATGAACATAACAAAGTATAGAAAGAAAATAATTAGAATTTTTAGAACTAAAAAATAAAATACCTGAAATGAAAAATCCACCATTTGTATTGAACAGAAGATTAGATGCTACAAAACCAACAATAGGTTTTTGAAGAGAATGCAAAAGAAAATATATAAAATGAAGCCCAGAAAAAAATTAAATAATCTTACCAGAATTTTAGTAGCCTGTGAGAAAAAAAGGCAATCTACAATACAAATAATTTGAGCTTATGGGGTAGGGGTGGGGAGAGAAAGCAAGAAAATCCCTGAAGAAATCACAACGAAAATTCATTCAATTTTAATACAAAATCTAAACTAAAATTTTCAAGAAGCTCAAAAACTTTATGTATGATAAAGAAAACCATATCAAGGCTCAAGATATTTAAAAGCAGTGATAAGAAACTTAAAGATAGACATTAACAATAGTAACATAAAGACATACTGCATTAGAGGGAAGAAACGATGTCAATCAGAAGAAAATACAGCCAGGCATGGTGGCACACACCTGTAATCCCAGTACTTTGGGAGGCCGAGGCAGGCTCAGTGCTTGAGGTCAGGAGTTTGAGACCAGGCTGGCCAACATAACAAAAGCTTGTCTCTACTAAAAATACAAAAATTAGCCAGGCATGGTGGTGCACATCTGTAGTCCCAGCTACTTCAGAGGCCCAGGCACAAAAATTACTTGAACCCGGTGGGTGGAAGTTGCAGTGGGTCCAGGTCATGCCACTGCACTCCATCCTGGGCAACACAGCAAGACTCTGTCTCAAATAAACAACAGCAACAAAAGAGATAATGGAACTAATTATACAAGTGTTGAAATAAATAAATATGAATGTAACATTCTATATTCAATGAAAGTACAATTAAAAACTAAAAAATGAAAGCAAACAAAGATCAAACAATTTGTGGTCAGTAGACTCAAATGATAAGAAATATTAAAAGGTTTTCAGGCTTAAAAAATATTGTATCTGAAAAAATTTCAGATCCATAAAAATAATGAAGAGAGGATGAATATTAAAAAATGACAAAGCAAAAACAATATTAATAATAAATTCTAGTAAAGCAATGAAAAATCAATGAAACTAAAATTTTATTATTTGAAAATAATCCTACTGATAATTTTGTAATTATCATATTGATAATTTTCTACAGGCACATGTAATCCCAGCTACTCGGGAGGCTAAGGCAGGAGAACTACTTGAACTTGGGAGGTGGAGGATGCAGTGAGTCAAGATCATACCACTTCACTCCAGCTTGGGTGACAAAGCGAGATTCCATCTCAAATAAAATAAATAAAAATTAATAATAAAAAGTGTGAAAACACAGTTTAGTAGTATTTGAAATGAGTGATGGACATCAGTTCAGAGGTTAAATACATTCAAAATGATAATCAGGTAATGTTATTATTATAAAGTAATGCCAATAAGCTTAAACTAAGATAAAATGCACCAGTTCTTTGAAAGATACAATGACCAAAATTGAAACAAGAATAAAAAGACTTAACAACAATCCTATATCAACTCATTAAATCATATCTGCAATGAAAGCCTTCCTACAAAGAGAATTCAAGACAGGTTTTTCTTTGTCAGTTAAAATCTATTCGATGAGGGCAAAAGTAATTGCAGTTTTTGCATTGGAATTTGCCATTTGATATTGGAATACATTCTTAAATGTGGTTATGTTATACATCATTTTAATGGGCATTTCTCGCTTTTTTTTGGCTAATGACTTATTTCTTGCTATTATTTTATGTTTATTTTATAATATGGAAATAATGTTGGAAACAAACCAAATTCAAACGAATTTCTTATTCGAGTTCAAAATGGGTCATATAGCAGCAGAGACAACACACAATATCAACAACGCATTTGCCCAGGAACTGCTCATGAAGATACAGTGCAGTAGTGGTTCAAGAAGTTTTGCAAAGGACACGAGAGCCTTGAAGATTAGGAGCATAGCGGCCAGCCATGGGAAGTTGACAACCACCAATCGAGAGCAATCAATGAAGCTAATGCTCTCATAACTACACAAGAAGTTGCCGAAGAACTCAACGTCGACCATTCTATGGTCATTCAGCATTTGAAGCAAATTGGAAAGGTGAAAAAGCTCACTAAGTGGGTGCCTCATGAGCAGAATGAAAATTTTAAAAATCGTCCTTTTTAAGTGTCATCTTTTCTTATTCTGCGCAACAACAACAAACCATTTTTCAATTGGATTGTGACGTGCAACAAAAAGTGGACTTTATACGATAAGCAGGGATGACCAGCTTGGTGGTTGGAATGAGAAGAAGCTCCAAAGCACTTCCCAAAGCTAAACTTGTACCAAAAAAGGTCATGGTCACTGTTTGGTGGTCTGCTGCTGCTCTGATCCACTATGGCTTTCTGAATCCCAGTGAAACCATTACCTCTGTGAAGTATGCTCAGTAAATCGATGAGATGCAACAAAAACTGCAGTGCCTGCAGCCAGAATTCGTCAACAGAAAAAGCCTAATTCTCCTCAACAACGCCCAACTGAGCGTCACACAACAAACACTTCAAAGGTTGAACAAATTGGACTACAAAATTTTTTCTCATCCTCCATATTCACCTGACCGCTTGCCAATTGTAAACCACTTTTTCAAGCATCGTGACAACTTTTTGCAGGGAAAATGCTTCCAAAACTAGCAGAATGCAGAAAATACTTTCCAAGAGTTCATTGTATCCCGAAGCATCATATTTATGCTACAGGAAAAAAATTGTTTCTCGTTGGTACAAATGCATTGATTGTAATGGTTTCTTTTTTGATTAATAAAGATGTGTTTGAGCCTAGTTATAATGACTTAAAATTCTCGGCCTGAAACTGCAATTGCTTTTGAACCAACCAACCTAATATTAAACAGTAAAAAAGTAATACGTACAGCCTTCCATAAAATTTCAGCATACAGGAAAGTAGAGCAACACTCCTCAACCCATTGCATGGATCAAATTTAAATTAATATTAAACCACACAAAAAGTACTTCCTTCAAAAAAAGAAAATTATATAGATATATCCATCACAATCATAGAAGCAAAATTCTTAACAACATATTAGCATATCGAATGCAACTGTATACCACAAGCTTACAGTATCATCACTAAGTAGGATTAAACCAAGGAAGCTAAAGTTGGTTATGAAGTTGCTCTCTATGATTACTCTCATTCTTGTACTAAAGATCTTAGCAAAATATTATGGAGAAAAATGAAATAAAAAGTATATACTTTTGCAAGCATAGTGTAAAATTGTGTTTATACAAAGACAATGTAATTATTATGTAGAAACATTAAGGAATCTTTAAAAAAATCAACTAAAAGCAATTTTAAATTTAGAACAGTTGTCTTATACATGGTCAACATAAACAGAGAATTGTATTTTTATATACTGGCAACATTAAGTTTCAAAATAAACTTTAAAAATTAGTGCTTTTACAATAACATTAATATATACAAAATATTTTGTGATAAAATTGAGAAACTGTTAGAAGACCTCTACTTCAAACAAAACAGAAACAAAAAAACGAAAGAGGAGAATTTTTTTTTTTTTTTTGGAGATGGATATTCTCCCTGTTGCCCAAGCTGGAGTGCAATGGCCCAATCTCGGCTCACTGCAAACTCCGCCTCCTTGGTTCAAGAGATTCTCCTGCCTCAGCCTCCCAAGTAGCTGGGATTACAGGCATAAGCCACCAAGCCTGGCTGATTTTTTGTATCTTTAGTAGAGATGGGGTGATTTCACCATGTTGGCCGGGCTGGTCTCAAACTCCTGACCTTGTGATCCTCTTGCCTCAGCCTCCCAAAGTGCTGGGATCACAGGCATGAAACACTGCGCCTGGCCAAGAGGAGAAAAATTTTATCGACATAGTATAGAAGGCCAAAATACGAAGTGCACCTCTGTTATTGATTGAAAAACTCAAAAGTGTTAACATAGCAACATTACAAAAATAGATCAGTAAATTTAAAAAATATCCCAGTCAAATTTTGAGCAGATTTCTTTCCTATGTAATATCAAAAAAAATCTAAAATTTATAAGAGAATGCAGGAGACCCAAAATAGCTAAACATATTTTTAAAATGAAAAGAAAAACTTATAACTTAGTTCCTAAATTCAAATTTCAGTTTGACTATACTATCATGGCTCTGTGTTATTCTTGTAAAAATAGATTTTTAGCTTAATGAAACAGAGTAAATAATTAAAGAAAATAACCTAATACAGGTTGACTATTACTTATCCAAAGCGCTTGGAACCAAAAGTCCTTCAGATTTCAATTTTTTACAGATTTGGTTAAATTTGCATTATATTTACCCGGTAGAGCATCCCTAGTCTGAAAATCAAAAATCTGAAATGCTCCAATAAACATTTCCTTTGAGCATCACATCAGAGCTCAAAAAGTTTCAGGTACTGGAGCATTCTGAATTTCAAATTTTTGAAATGGGGACACTCTAGCTGTGTATATGTCCTACCAATACCTGAAAAGTGTTAAATATTTTTTTTTCCTCTAACAACTTGAAATTCATATTAAAAAATATTGATCCCTGTTTGAAATAATATG
Organism: Homo sapiens; assembly: GCF_000001405.40. Taxonomy (NCBI): domain Eukaryota; kingdom Metazoa; phylum Chordata; class Mammalia; order Primates; family Hominidae; genus Homo; species Homo sapiens. The sequence goes on along the minus strand of NC_000004.12, from coordinate 29,481,964 downwards.
TAGAGATTAATTTTGAATAGGTCACAGATCTGTATTTTAAAGTTGAAGTGATAAAACTTCTAGCAGAAAACATACAATATATTCATGATCTTAGAATGGGCAAAAATTTCATAGACAGGACATATAAAACAACTATAGTAGAAAAAAAGGATAAATTGAATGCCATCAGTATTAACATTTTCTTCTCTAAATAAGACAGCTTTACAGAAAAGAAAAACAATTTATAGGCTGGAAAGATAGATTTCCTTCATCTATAGCTGAGAAAGTGTAAAACCTTTATAAAATAAACTTGATGTTCAAGACTAAGATGAATAAAAAACTAAAGATGGACTAAAAGTTGATTGGGCATTTTATAGAAGAAAATAAAAATGACATATAAGTATCTGGAAAAATTCTAAAATTATTAATCATAGGGAAGAGCAAATTAATACAATTAGATATAACTGCACATGCTTTAATATGAGAAATAGCAAAGTTGGGAAAGATACAAAGCAACCAGAACACTCATGCATTGATGGTGGATATGAAATACTACAGTCAATTTGGAAAATGATTTGGCAGCTTCTTATTCAGTTAAACATGCACTTACTATTGACATAACAGTTTTACTCTTAATTACTTCCTGAAGAGAAATAAGATTTCCCTGTGTAAAGACATATACATGAATGTTCACAGCAGCTTTACTCTTCAGCTAACAATTGAAAATAATCTAAATTTATGTAAATAGGAGAATGGATAGAAAAATTGCATTACATTCTTACAAAAGGCTAATATTTACAATAAAATGGAAGGTACTATTGATACACACGGAAACATGAATGCATCTCAATAGCATGCTAAGGGAACAAATCTAGACAGAAAAGGCCACATGTTGTATGATTCAATTAAATAAAATGATTCTGAATACTACTCAGCCCACTTAAGTAAAATCACAGTTTTCTTGCAATCAAATAGACGTGAAGTTGTAGTTCAACAAAAAATTATAAAACATTTACTTTAAAATGGCGATTAAGCTTCTTAAAAACGTGTATATTTTTATGCTTGTATAAACATATGCATATATTTAGTGGAAAATTAGGTATCGTGTGATAACACTTTAAAAAGAAATTAAGGGAAAAAGTAGAAAAAAGCAGGGTGGAGTAATTGTCTTTTCATTTGAAGACCAAAATGAGTTGTTCCCGGGATGACTACGTATTTAGCAACAATAATCATTTGTTGTGGGGTACTATCCTATACACATTGTTTAACTGCCTCTATGACCTCTGCCGACTAGATTTCAGTAGCACCCCCATCCCAAGTCATGACAACCAAACATCTCTTCAGACATTTCCAAATCTCCTCTGAAAGGAATCATGACACTTGGTTGACAACCACTGGTTTAGAATGCTTCCCATACTATCTAAGCAGAATTAAGAAAATGTATGTACACAAGACTAGGAGAAGAAATCCATGAGCTTTTATTCTCAGTGCCACACTTGGTTTAATTGAAAGGGGGTTGTATATTTCTAGGTCCATTTCAATTTTATAACCCAAATTTAATAATTATGCAATGCTTCCAGCTGCAGTTTATATTGTCCAATATTTGTCTAAGTGTTTGAATCCTGGTATTGATTTGTGAGGCCTTATTATTTCTCATGAAATTATGCCTTTCCATTTCAGCTGCTCACGAATTTGTCTCTGGTTTTGTTTTTACTGGAAAGCACTATAGCACATATTTTTTTTTCTTGGGGTACTAGCAATCAATCACCCTTGTTTATAAATTTCAGTAAATAAATAGCAATGGCATTTTCTCAGGTGTTTATGGAAAGAGATACCATGTGCTTTCATAAAGGAAGGGCTAAATTTTATGTACTGCAGCAGTATACTGCAAAATATTATGCATCTATAAAATTATTTTCTGTAGGTAAATCTATATTAAATAAATAAAACAAGATGGTCATTTTTACATATTTCTTTAAAATCACGCTGCATTAGTCCATTCTCACATTGCTATAGGAAAATACCTGAGACTGGGTAATTTACAGAGAAGAAGTTTAATTGACTCACAGTTCTGCATGTCTTGGGAGGTCTCAGGAAACTTACAATCATGGCAGAAGTCACCTCTTCACAGGGTGGCCGAAGGAAAAACGAATGCCAGCAGGGGAAATACCAGACGCTTATAAAACCATCAGATCTCATGAGAACGCACTCACTATCACAAGAATAGCATGAGGGAAACAGTCCCCATGGTTCAATTACCTACCGCCAGGTCCTTCCCATAACATGTGAGGATTCCAGGGGTTACAATTCAAGATGAGATTTGGGTGGGGACACAGAGCCAAACCATATCACATACCACCAACAATTCCATGAAAAGAGTGCATTAACACGACAAAGTCAATACTGTATAACGTTATGAGCCACAGGAAATTAAAATTTAAATTATGCAATCCAACTGAGAGAGGTATTCACAATAATAACCATCATACTTTATAACAGAAATTCTCAACCGAGAAAGTAGGCATGTGAAAATCATATAGAGACACATTTCTATTTCGTGTGGTTCTTCTAGAGCACATATTTGAAAACCACTGCTTTATGGGAGGAAAATACTACTGTCTAAATACTTAAGGTTAAATGATTATTTTATTTGCTTTTACAAATTGTTTAATTTAATAAGCTATTATACCATTTTATAATAAGTCAGATTCATTTATTTTAATATATATTTAAATCAGAGTTTATGGATTGGGTTGGAACAAGTGTTTGCTGAGTAGGAGAATATGTCTTAGTTCTATTAGTGTAACTAGCTAGATAAACTTTGAAAGCACAGAAAGAATTCTAGGATTTATAAAAAATTCTAGGATTTTTATAAATTCTATAAATCCTAGAATTTTATAAATTCTAGGGTTTATAAAAAATATCTTGTATATTGGACAAATTTGTATTTTTACAGAAGAACAAAAAGGGAATGGGAAATTACAATGGGTATAATGGCAGAAAATAATTTATTGAAAAATTATTTAATTTAGCAGGTATACATATTACAAAGCAGTATTTCTGAAACATTAATGATAAAGCAGTGTTGACCTATGAAAAAGATCAAGGACTGGGAAAAAAAATAAATGTATTAAAAAATGTATAACTCAGGTTAACTCTTCCTGAGTGGGAAACTATCACACTTTGGGATTGTCTATTTTAATACAACAATGTTAAAATCTCCTTTCATTAGTTGTGTTTACTGCTTGTATATTAGGCAGGTTAAGGTTATCTGTCCTTCCTTCCTTCCCTCCTTCCCTCCTTCCCTCCTTTCATTCCTTCTTTCCTTCCTTCCTTCCTTCCTTCCTTCCTTCCTTCCTTCCTTCCTTCCTTCCTTCCTTCCTTCCTTTTCTTTCCCATTATTTCCCTTTCTTCCTCCCCTCCCCTTCCCTCCCCTCCCCTCTCCTCTCCTTTCTTCCTTTTTGAGATGGAGTTTTGCTCTTTTTGCCCAGGCTGGAGTGCAATGGTGCGATCTCAGCTCACTGCAACCTCTGCCTCCCAGGTTCAAGCGATTCTCCTGCCTCAGCCTCCCAAGTAGCTGGGATTACAGGTGCCTGCCACCACGCCCGGCTAATTTTTTGTATTTTTAGCAGAGACGGGGTTTCACCATGTTGGCCAGGATGGTCTGATGACCTCGTGATCTGCCCACCTCGGCCTCCCAAAGTGTTGGGATTACAGGCGTGAGCCACCGCGCCCGTCCTGTATGTCCTTTCTTAGAAAAAAAAAAAATTAGTGCAATTCTTTATGTTGGTAGAATTCCTTTTAAAAGTTTAGTCTTTTATAAAACCTAAAAATCTAAGAACTATTTATTTTAAAAATTTTGTTGAAAATAAATACCATTTTCTGTTGGAAGTTACCTCCTCATTTCAAGATACTTATTTTTAAAAAGCACTTTTTTTGAAAGAAATTTGTTTTGTAGTCAGTCTTATTGAGATTCACTATTCTTTAAGGTGAGGGACAATAACCCTTAAAAGTACTTAAAGACTAAAAAGATGCAATAATGTTAATAAAGAAAAGAAAGCTAAGATATTATAAATTGTAATAGGGATGATCACATTTCTGGATGTCATTCTTAGCAGGCTTCTGGAGTCATTACTATTTCTTTTGAAAATGTAAAAAAAGGGAATTAGTATAATAATCCTTCATTAGGCCATAAAATGGTGAATTTGGATAAGATAAAATTCATAATATGTAACATGGTTTCAGTTGTCTCAAATAATTGTTCTGAATGCATTTAACTATATATCACCATCTTCCTATGGCAGTTTGCATAATGTGCTAACATTTTTTAAAAGGCTAACACTATGGTTAATTTTAGAATAATTTAACCTAGGTGTTGAGTAGGTCTTTGGTATTTATTTGGTATATTGGATAATAAAAGAAATTTAATATGGCTAACATTGGACTTAAATTTGCAGATTTCAATCGGAATAAAGTAAAATCTGTATTTTCTTCCATTTTATTTATTTATTTATTTTTGGATATGCTACTTTTCTATCATAGATGTAGTAAATCACCATGTTAAGAAATCATGCTATGGTATCACACTCTTTTGATTTGAATTCTGTCTCAAAATTTATTAGCAGAGCGAACTTGAGCATATTTTGATTTCTTTTGATCTTTATTTTTATCTCTAGAATAAAGATTATCACAATAGTTACTTCATAGAAATTTGTGATGGTAATCAATATAAAATACTAAGCATATTGTCTGGCTGATACTAACTGTCTAATATATACATAATATTATTATTACAATCATATTTTAAAGATAGCTGGTGTTTAGGAAAACTGCATACAATTACAACATAGAATTTTCAAAAATATTTTATGAAGATTATTTTCAGAAGATAACTTAGCAGTCTTCTAGTCTAGTCATTTAAAGGTTGAGAGAATTAAGGTTTCCATAAGTTACATAACATACTTAAGGTCGTGCAAAGGCAGAAGGAGAGCCACAGTTTTCTTTACCAGGTAAAGGTCTATGTTATTAAAACTAGAAAGGAAGCACCTGTGTTTTGTGTGCTCGTGAGAAGGAAACTTACACCCCATGCCCTTGTGATTCACACGTTCACTTTGCCTTGAGACAACTAGGACTAATAATGTCATTCCCTCTAGCACTGCGTATAACAGTAGAAGAGGAAGTCGGTAGTCGGTTATGCACGCAGACCTTTACATCCTCTTTTTTTTTTTTTTTTTTTTTTTTTGGTCATCATATCTCATTCAATTCCAATCACTGAAATTCTTCCGTATACTCTCTGGAATTTATAATAAATACATCACCATCATCATTCTTTATGTATTCAAATTCTTTGAATATTGTTATCCCTTCTTATTCAGAAACTCATCTCTCTCCTAAGGATACGGTTTTCCCCACAGCTCTCTCAAATGGTAATTAGTTTTGCTCTCATCCTGCTTGAGCAACAAGATCTGGAGGTGACCTCTCCGCTCATTTGTGTTTTGTGACTAATTTTCTTCCCTTTACATTGCCACTTAGAATTTCAATGACTAAGATTTACCATCCCTCATGATAGCATCATGTTAACGAAATCGTAACAATTTTTATAGTCATTCCACGATATATTTTTTAACTTTCCTATTTCCTTTTCACATAATCTTGACTCTAGCCAAAGAAAAACTTATATGCTAACTTTTAGCTTCTGAGCTCTTGCAAATACTCTTTTTATTTTTAGTTTTTGTGGATACATAGTAGATGTATATATTTTTATGGTACATGAGATGTTTTGATGCAGGCATGCAATGTGAAATAAACACATCATGAAGAATGGGGTATCCATATTTTCAAGCATTTGTCCTTTGTGTTATAAACAATCCAGTTACACCCTTTAAGTTATTTAAAACTGTACAGTTAAGTTATTATTGACTATAGTCACCCCATTGTACTATAATATAGTATATCTTATTCATTCTTTCTTTTTTTATCCATTAACCGTCCCCACTTCCCCTCCAGCCACCCATTACCCTTCCCAGCCTCAAGTAACCATTCTTCTACTCTCTGTGTCCATGAATTCAGTCGGTTTCATTTTTAGATCCCACAAATAAATGAGAACATGCAATGTTTGTCTTTCTGTGCCTGGCTTATATCACTTTACAGAATGATTTCCAGTTCTGTCCATGTTATTGCAAATGACACAACCTCATTCTTTCTCATAGATAAATAGTACTCCATTGTGAATATGTACCACATTTTCTTTATCCATTCATCTCTTGATTATTAAATTGCTTCCAAATCTTAGCTATCATGGACAGTGCTGCATCAAACATGGGAGTGCAGATATCCCTTCAATATATTGATTTGCTTTCTTTTGCTTTCTTTTAGATATATACCCTGCAGTGGGATTGCTGGACGACATGGTAGCTCAATTTTTAGTTTTTTGATGAATCTCCAAACTGTTTTCCATAGTGATTGTACTGATTTTCATTTCCACCAACTGCACAAGTGTTCCCTATTCTCCACATCCTCGCTAACATTTGTTATTGAGTCTTCTTTGGATAGAAGCCATTTTAACTGGGGTGAGATGATATCTTATTGTAGTTTTAATTTGCATTTCTCTGATCATCAATAATGTTGAGCACCTTTTCATATTCCTGTTTATTATTTGCATGTCTTATTTTGAGAAATGCCTATTCAAATTTTTTGCCAATTTTTTATCAGATTATTAGATTTTTTTTCTGTAGAGTTATTTGAGCTCCTGATATGTTCTGGTTATTAATCCTTTGTCAGATGGGTACTTACAAATAAATATTTTCTTCCTTTTTTTTTTTTTTTTTTTTTTTTTGAGACGGAGTCTCACCCTGTCACCCAGGCTGGAGTGCAATGGAGCGATCTCAGATAGCAGCAACCTCCGCCTCCGGGGTTCAAGCAATTCTCCTGCCTCAGCCTCCTGAGTAGCTGGGATTACAGGCGCCCACCACCATGGCCATCTAATTTTTGTATTTTTGTAGAGACGGGGTTTCACCATGTTGGCCAGGCTGGTCTCAAACTCCTGACCTTGTGATCCACACGGCCTCGGCCTCTTAAAGTGCTGGGATTACAGGCGTGAGCCACTGTGCCCAGCCTTTTCTCATTCTTAGAGTTGTCTCCTCACTTTGTTGATTGTATGTTTTGCTGTTCAGAAGCTTTTTAACTTGATGTGATCCCGTTTCTCCATTTTTGTGTTGGTTGCCTGTGCTTTTGGGGTATTACTCAAGAAACTTTTGCCCAGACCAATGTCCTAGAGATTTTCCCTAATGTTTTCTTGTAGTAGTTTCATAGTTTGAAGTCTTAGATTTAAGCCTTTTATTGATTTTGATTTTACTTCTGCATACGGGAGAGACAGTTATCTAGTTTTATTGTTTTTCATGTGGATATCCAGTTTTCCCAGCACCATTTATTGAAGGAACTCTCTTTTCCCCAGTGTATGTTCCTGACACCTTTGTTGTAAATGAGTTCCCTGTAGATATGAGGATTTGTTTATGTGTTTATTCTGTCTCATTTGTCTATGTGTCTGTTTTTATGCCAGTACTATGCTGTTTTGATTACTATTGTTCTGCAGTATAATTGGAAGTTGGATAATGTGATTCCTAGAGTTTTATTGTTTTTCCTTAGGACAGCTTTAGCTATTCTAGGTGTTTTATGGTTCTATATAAATTTTAGTATTTTTTATATTCCTGTGAAGAATGTTATTGATATATTAATGCATTGACTCTGTAGATTGCCTTGGTAGTATAAAAATTTTAATAATATTTATTCTTCCAATCCATGAATGTGGAATATTTTTTCATTTTTTTGGTGTCCTCTTCAATGTTTTAAATTACTGTTTTATAGTTTTTATTATAGAGATCTTTCACTATTTTGATTAATTCCTGGGAATTTAACTTTATGTGTGGCTATTGTAAATGGGATTATTTAGTTATTTTTCAGTTTGTTCACTGTTGTCATACAGAAATGCTACAGATTTTTGTATGTTGATTGTGTATTCCACAACTTTACCAAAAATTTATTTACCAGTTCTAATAGATTTTGTGAAATATTTATGTTTTTCTAAATAGGAGATCATATTATCTGCAAAGAAAGATACTTAGACTTCTTCTTTTTCAATTTTTTTTTTTTTTTTTGAGATGGAATCTTGCTCTGTTATCCAGTCTGGAGTACAGTGGTGCGATCTTGGCTCACTGCAACCTCCACCTCCTGGATTCAAGCGATTCTCCTGCCTCAGCCTTCCAAGTAGCTGGGATTATAGGTGTGTGACACCATGCCTGGCTAATTTTTGTATTTTTAGTAGTATTTTTGGTAGAGATGGGGTTTCGTAATGTTGACCAGGCTGATATCAAACTCCTGGCCTCAGGTGATCCACCCACCTTGGCCTCCCAAAGTGCTGGGATTACAGGTGTGAGCCATGGCTTCCTGCCTTGTTTTTCAATTTGGATGCCCTTTATATCTTTCTTTTATCCGATTGCTCTAGCTAGAAATTCCAGTATTATATTGAGTAACAGTGGTGACAGTGGGCATGCTTGTTGTGCTCCAGCTTTTAGAGGAGAGGCTTTCAATTTTTCTCCATTTAGTAGGATACCAGCTATGGGTCTCTCATATATTGCTTTTACTATGCTAAGGTACATTCCTTCTATCCCCAGGTTTTTTTTTAGGATTTGTATTATGAAGGTATGTTGAATTTTATCTAATGTTTTTAAATCATCAGTTGAAATAATCAAATGTTTTTGTCCTTCATTCTGTTGATATAATGTATCACATTGATTGATTTGCATATGTTGAACAATCCTTGCATTGCAGGGATAAATTCTACTTGGTCATGATAAATGATCTTTCTAATGTATTATTGTATTTAGTTTGCTAGTATTTTGTTGATAATTTTTGCATCAATAATCATCAGCAATATTGGCCTGAAGTTTTCTCTTTTTGATGTATCTTTGTTTTGGTACCACAGTAATATTGGCCTTTTAGAATGAGTTTGGAAGTAATCCCTCCACCTCTAATTTTCAGAATAGTTTGATTAGTATTGGTGCAATTCTTTAAATATTTGAATTAGGTCATCAGGTCCCAGGATTTTCTTTACTGTCAGATTTTTTATTACAGTTTTGATCTCGTTACTTGTTATTTGTCCGGTTTTGGATTTCTTCCTGGTTAAATCTTGATAAGTTGTGCTTATCTAAAAGTTTGTTCATTTCTTCTAGATGTTCCAATTTATTGGCATATAGTTGCTCATAGTAGCCACAAATGATCCTTTGCATTTCTGCAGTATCAGTTGTAACGTCTTCTTATTAATTTCTAATTTTATTTATTAGGATCTTCTATCTTTTTTTCTTCATTAGTCTGGCTAAAGATTTGTAAATTTTCTTTAACTTTTTAAAGTACATCATCCCACTCTCTCCTGGCCTGTATGTTTTCCATGGAAAAGTCTGCTGCCAGATGTATTGGAGCTCCATTGTATGTTATTTGTTTCTTTTCTCTTGCTGCTTTTATAATCCTTTCTTTATTCTTGATGTTTGGGAATTTGACTGTTAAGTGCCTTGAGGTAGTAATCTTCTTTGGAATAAATCTGATTGGTGTTCCATAACCTTATTATACTTGGATATTGATATCTTTCTCTAGGTTTGAAAAGTTCTCTGTTATTATCCCTTTGAATAAACTTTCTACCCCCACCTCTCTCTCTGCTTCCTCTTTAAGGCCAGTAACTCTTCGGTTTGTCCTTTTGAGGCTATTTTCTAAATCCTTTAGATGTGCTTGTTGTTTTTTATTTTTTTCTTTTGTCTCCTCTGTGTATTTTCAAATAACCTGTTTTCAAGCTCACTAATTCTTCTGCTTGATCAATTTTGCAATTAAAGGACTCTGATTCATTATTAAATATGCCTATTAGATTTTTCAGCTTTAGAATTTCTGCTTGAGTCTCTAATTATTTCAATGTCATTGTTAAATTTATCTGATAGAATTCTGAATTCCTTCTCTGTGTTATCTTGAATTTTTCGAGTTTTCTCAACACAGTTATTTTGAATTATCTGAAAGGACACATTATCTCTGTTTCTCCAGGGTTGGTCTCTAGTTCCTTAGTTCATTTGGTGAGCTCATTTTTTTCTGAATGACATTGATGCTAGCAGACGTTCTTTGGTGTCTGGGCATTGAAGAGTTAGGTGTTTATTGTAGCCTTCACTGTCTGGGCTTATTTGCAGTCATCCTTCTTGGGAAGGCTTTCAAGATATTTGAAAGTACTTGGGTGTTGTGATCCAAGCTGTATTTTCTTGGGGATGGGGGCAGATACATTTTATAACCAAAAATTTCATCAGGTCTCCATTCAATTATTCATTTCATATATCTTATCTACCTGCTTTCACAGAGAGGAAGAGCACAAAATATAATACAGTCAATACTGAACTGATCAGGGTAATGGTGGGTAGAAACGAATATACAATACAAGGAAAATCTTCCTAGAGGCTTCACCAGAGTCTGGAAATGGGTTTATGTGTTCTCTTGATAAAAAAGGAAAGGTATACATTTACTCTAGACAAACTAGGAATTTGAGTAAATCAGATAGTATTGTATATTTAGGAAACCATCACAAATACATATCAAAGTGGTTCAAATTGATTAAATTGATGAAAGAATGTGGAGATATATCTAGAGAAATAGGACAGGGTTGACCTAAAAACAGTCTTATACAACATGAGTATGAGCTTGGTTTTTATAATGAAACATGTTGATTTATGTAAAAAAAACTTGATTCAGGATTATATGAATTTTAGCAACTTTACTCTGAGAAAAATGTGTAAGATGAGCAGAATAAGGCTGATGATATGCAAAATGAGTCAAAAGGGATTATAATAATCCAGGTGGGAAAGTATAGGGTCATAACATTTACAGTATTGAAAGAAGAAGTTATATGTAGACAATGCAAAAGAAGTAGGACAGCCTTGATGTGTGGTAACATTAAATGATGGTCATGAAGAAGAGGATAATTTGGGGAGCTTCTATGGTGTCATTCACTATGACGACAAAGGAAGAGCAAAATGTTTTCATTAGAGAAGAAAGTAAAATTACTGAGTGGGAATGAATGAGGAAAAAAAGAATGTCAGTAAAAGTGGACTATTATTTGAGGAAGCCTGACTTTGAAGAAAGAATCAATAACACACATTCAGCAAATAATTTTCCAGTGCCAGTTACTGTTCTAGGATCTGAGGATATTGTGATTAAAAAACAAAAAGAGATAGGGAGCTTGGGCAACAGCTGGAAAGACATATTTGCTTCAGAGGGTGGATTCTTTTATTTTTCTTAAGTTACAAGAAACATAACATAATATTAAGCTTCAGAGAGGAAGAGAGGAAAAAAAGAAAAATATAGGAGAAATAAGATAATAAAAAATATTAAGGCCCTTGGTCTGGAGGTCATGTATACAAAGAAAGGGATCAAAAACACAACTGGATGCATTGTCTTTAAAATACAAGAGGGGTAGATACTGATTATGTCATATTGCATGCCATTTTTACGTATATTAGGATGAGATGCCCATGCGATGAATTCCCGAAGACCTCATTTTATTCTCATTAAAATAGAAAGGTCCAGTGCTGAGAGAGGTGAGGGGTGAGGCTTGATTTCGTTCAGCTCTAAGTGTAATGAAACTAAATTACAACATTTCTGCTTAACATTCTAGAGGAAGTATCTGAGTCTGTATGCTGGGTAGAAGTTATGGAGGTATTCACAAAGAGAGAGGGGTATTATTAACTGGGATATAGAGAAGTAAGAGCATGTTTATGTCATGGAGCTGCATTTTGCCAAGATTAAATGTTTATCCATTGATTGAATGTGTGCTTTAAAGATTGGTAAAATGGCGTAAATGTAGGAGCACATTCTAGAACTAGAGCTGTTAGGTCATGAATTCAAGAGGCAACTACAAGAAGTTAGACAAATGAGACCACCTTTGTATGACTGGAATGTTTAGAACACGTTGGGTACCAAAAGAGAATATCATTAATGTCAGCCTGGAGTTAGACTGTAAAGTTCCTTTGCTGCAGGCTCTCCTGGAAATACTGCAGTCCCTGAGTTTCTATAGAACTTTAGATATTTTTTCTATGACCCTTGACAGTTTCTAATATATATTTTAATTATGTGTGTTAATTTCCTAAACACAGGGATATACATTAATTAAAAAACTAAATTGATATTGTGATAGATTCACAGCTCTTTTAATATTTGTGTAAGACGTATAAAATCGTTTTTATTTCACAATCTGTATTGCAACATAGTTTATAAATTAGGCTTTATTTTAAGAAGTGAAGGTTTATAAGGGCAAAGCAATTTTCCATTTTGCAGAAGTGTGAAATATGCCAAGAAGGAATGCACAATACCTTCTTCCATGGGGAATATATTTTCTATATTTTATCTTTCCTATGGGAAGTATTTAAAAATAGCAACTTGCAAAGTTTGAATTAAAGTAACATATCATCTTCTCAGGATTACCCCTTTAAATCAATAATCTCAGGAAACATCTGAACAAATACTGTAAACTGTAATCCTAAGTAGTATTTAATTCATTGACATAAGTCATTATAATTTCTTCTCTTTTTTCCCTATATCATTGCATCAGTTTTCCTTGCTTTCTTTTCCGAAATTATTTGTTGTGATATATTATTTATATAAACATTCCCAGAATGTATATGTAAATTTTTAAGACTATAATTGTCTTTCCATTTATATTGGTATTTTACTTATTTTCATTAAGTTTATTTATATGTTTTCTATAAAACAATTACACATATTTAGTTACATTTGTTCTTGGTACTTTATTTTTGTTACCATTATAAATGGAGTTTTAAAGCACATATTTCCTAGCTGGTTGTTACAAGTACATAGCAATAAACAGATATTTATATACTTTTTTCAGAAATACTACCAAATTTTCTTCTAAATTGTAATAAGTTTCCAGTTTCTATTAACACTCTTAAATCATCTAGAAGTGATGATGCTTCTGTTTTCCCTGCATTTTATACTTTTTATTTCTTTTCTTGAGTTACTACAATATATGGTGACTTCCATAGAAGTAGAAGTCGTAAACACCCTTACTTTCCTCTTCATATTAAAAAGTATGTTTCTACCATTTATTCATTAAGTTTCCCTCTTTTAGAATAAAAAAAGCACCTATTTTGTCTGGAATTATAAGTTCCTTGTTTATTTTGTTTTTAAATTATAAATGAGTTAATTTTTAATCAAATTTATTGATGGGGCATCTATTGAGATGATCATATAATTTTCATCCTTCAATAAATTAATATAATGAATAGAAATTATTTAACTTCTAATGTAAAAATCATTATTTTATTCCTTGTATAAACACCAATTCAGCTTTTTTGATGTTTGTTTCTTTCTTGGAGATTTTTAATTATATAATTGTCTTCATCTATTTTCACCGTATTTTTAAACTAATAGCATTTTAGCAAAAAATATGGTCAATTTGAGCCCAATATGTTTAAATTTGTTGAAGTTAGCTTTTGCTAGTAAGTACCTAATTTTTATATATATTTTCAATTATTGGGTGCAGTTATTTATGTGTTCATTTGTTCAAAGCTGTTATTTCTGCTGTTCAAATCATGTACATCCTTATTGATTTTGATCTACTGGTTTAATTAATTAATTTTCCAGTGAAATGTGCTGAAATATCCAACAATAATGGTGCTTTGTCAGTTTCTCTCTCTCTTTTTTTTTAATCTCGTATATGTTGAGGTTTCAGTAAGTGCGTACTAATGTAGATTTTCATAGTCCCTGGTGAATTAATTCTGTAATCAGTATAGAGCAAATCTGGTAATTTCTAGAAGTGCTATTGACTACAAGCATTTTATCTATTTTGTCTAATTCTTGTCGATACATGATCTTTCTATGGGTATGTTCCTGTTATACTATTTTCCATTCATTGTTTTCCCAGTTTTCTATAACTTTAACTTTTGAGCCTGCTCCAATTTAGAGAATACAGGTGGGAGGTCTTAAAATAAATGCAAGGTTCCTGTTGGTCTCATGACATGAAGGTGCCCTGGGTGGTGACTGGTAAGTGTGGGAGGGAGTGTTGACCAGGTGCAATGCAGAGCCCCAGGTGGGGGAAACTTGCTGAATTAGAAGAGGGGAGAGATACAGAGTTTCTAACTGTTGCATTTTTGAGCTTCACAAATGATTAGGGATTACTAGGCAAAGTGGAAGTGTGCACAAGCTAAACCTACAGATGAGGATGCTGCATTTATTAAAGAATGGTGGTTTGGATTAAAATAAGATAATTGAATAAACACAGATACCCACAAACTGTTGAAGGACTTTCTGATATATCCACAATAAAAGCATTGGTTTCAATTTGGACAATGACTCATTGCCTGTAAACCCTGGTTAGTTGAGGCTGATGTCCTTGGATCTCACATCACTTTGCAGATGAGTCTGTGCAGCTTCAAAATACAAAGCCAGAATTTGAGACACAGCAGACACTCTCCCCAGCTCCTCCTGTCTGCCCTGTTGTGAAGTTGAAAAGCTTCTGCTTTTTATGACATTATTCCTGTTCTCATTCAGTCCTTCAGTTTATTTCAGAGCAGTATTCAACTATTTCAATAGAAATGTTTGTGTATTTTTGTTTTATTTCTTTTGCTTATCTCTGACTCCTCAACCAGTTAGAGAGATATTTATTTCCTGGAAGAGATTACAGAGTCCAAGTTCACTGACAGTGCTTAGCAAAGACAAGCTGCCCTCAAGGAGATAATACCCTAACAATTGGAAAACAGAAGCTGTTTCTTTTGCCTGGTTATGCAACACTATCTTACGTTTCAAACAGAAGAACCTTGGATGTCCTTGATTAGTACATGATTAGTTAGTTTATCTTCAATACTGTTAAAGCAGATGCTTATTACCTGGGCAACAGAAACTGTAAAGACTTACTCCACGTATTTAATCTTATATCACAGCGCATGTCAGCTCTTTGTCAGAGAGACTGAAAATGAAATGCTATGAGAAATTGTTATGGATTAACTTGTGTTCCCCTAAAATGCATAGATTGAAGTCCTAACTTCCAATGTAACTATGTTTGGAGACAGGCCTTTTAAAGAGGTAGTTAAGATTAAATGAGCTCATCAGATGTTATTCTAATCCACTATGCCTGGTGTCCTGCTAGGAAGGAAAAAATAGAGGAAAGGCCCGGTGAACTGGCCATCTGAGAACCTAAGAGAGAGGCCACAGAAAAAAAAACAAACATGGTGACACATTGATCTTGGACTTCTAGCCACTAGAACTGTGTGAAAATAAATTTCTGTTGTTTAAGCCACCCAATATGTGAGATTTTGGTATGGCAGTCTTAGCCAATTAATACAAAAACTTAATAATTTTAGAGCACGAGTTAAATAAAATGTACTGCTGTTATAGTCTTTGAGTATCCTTGATGTGCCTTTTAGGAAAAATGAGACTGACAGTTCCATACCATGCTGTGGTCTGCACACATGTGCATTGTTTTGATATTTCTGTTCCTCTACAAATGAATAAGAAGCCTACCTGAAATCATGCTGCTTTGTCTTTAATACTAGACTGGATTTTTGTGGAGATTCCCAATTACTTTTCTGATGTTGATAAGATTAAATGCCACAATGTCTATCTGTATATCCAGAGAGACTAAGAACTGAAGCTACGAATGTAGCCAGTCAACAGTACATAATTATTGAAAGCCTAAGTCTTCTTAGCCTTATTCATGATCAGTGAAGCAAAGAAGGAGAAAGTGGATATTATTGGCCTAACTTTAGAATACGCTTCTGGTGGAGAAACAAAGACTCTTCTAACAAAAGAAGTACATATTGATGCAGGAAGTACAAAGCAGTTCAACCAAAAGGGTTTTTTTTTTTGGGGGGGACGGTGTTTATTTTTGGTACCTATCACCTTCTCTAGGGATTTCCACTGTGGCTCCATTTATCTTGCTGCTGTGTTCTAGCTTTATTGAGAGATTTCTTCACACTATTTCATTATACTCCAATGCCACTCATGACCTTAGATTGCTCAGCTTGAGATTTTCCTTTCCTTAATTCTCCTTGAAACCTAGTAATATTGTGTAATGGTTTTGGAAGTCTCATCTTGCCCTAAGGAGCAACCAGTTATGTCTATCAGAACTGAAAGTACCCACATAGCATTTTGCCTGTTAGTTCATCCTACAGAGAAGTGAGACAGGAGTAATAGCCAACAAAAGAAGGGACATCTCAATATCATCTTAATGGACTTAAGGAGGATTGACTAAGCTTCAAATATTAGCTAAAGCTGCTTTTTGTTGGACCTCTGATCCATGGAACCTATTTTATTGGCTGTTTCTTTGATACTTATTGAAACATCAGACAGATATTTTTGCTTTTAATTCTTATACTATTTTTGGGATAAAATACATTCAGAAATATCTGCATCTTCTGGAGAAATAGATTTAAGTGGTATGTGTTATTTGATGGATTATATGAATTTGTTTTAATACATAGCAGTAAAATTATGTAAGTATTCAAACAATATTTTCTGATAAGCTATAATTAAGTATTCTAGAAATATAATTAAACTTAACGTTTGTAAGAACTGATTTGACAGCTATTTTTTTCCTTCTGATCTATGTTCCATTCTTCACTCTCAATTTTGGGAGGATAATCATTGAGGAATCCATCAGCAGGCTCCTTTGACCATCGGTATTTAGTCGGATTACTCAACAGGGATTTCCAGTAAATCATAGGGAGTGCAGTGAACGAGGTTAAGATATTTATTCCCTTGGATTCCTCCTCAAAATGTCATCTTGAGCTACACTCAAAGAGGCCTCCTCAACATAACTCTTACCTTGCATTAACTGTTCCCATCTCTACACCTTTGGACCTAGAGGTAATAATAGTTTTAATGATTCTAAGCCTGGGTAATTGTGCTTCTCCCAAACCAACTCAAACTTTTGTAAATGGTCTATTTACTAATAAACCCCCTGAAACTTGCAAAAGTTGAGATACCATCTTTCCCTATTTGAAACTTGACTAGTATAATTGGAAAGGCTATTCTACTTACATTTACTCTGACTTCTGACATATATTTGTTTTATTTCCACTAATATATCCTCTTATTTTCATTGACTATTTTTTTGTCTTTCTTCTTTCTTGCCCTGTTGTTTTATAAGTTGAAATTCTCACCCTTTTTCCCATTCTATTTATCCTTTTTAATTTTTTGAGGAAGTTAAATACTCTTAACTCAGTCTTGTCTTTATAACCCTAGCGATTTTAACATGAGTATTTAAACAAAACATAATCAGCATTTGCTCTAGCTCTTTGGATAACAAATGTAACTGAACAATTTAATTCTGTCTCTCCTTCAAAACTTTTATGGTATTGTAGGTCAGCATTCTGTTCCATTATTGTCCCCCACCCATGGAAAACTTGGTATTATTATAATGGTTTCCTATTACCATTCCTTGGGTAGTTCTATCAATACAGTTGCCATTATCAATTTGTTCACTATTTCTATTCACATATAAGATCTCCCATGTAGAATCATTTTTCTTGTGCCCAAAGTATACAATTTTAGACTTTGCTTTAGCAGCATAAACTGTTTTGTTTATGATTGTAAATAGTTAATTCCTTTTTCATCCACAAAACATAGTTTAGCTGTTTACTGAAATTTAGATTGACAAATTCTTTTCCCTCAGTCTGCTAGAAATGTTCTTTTTCTTTATTCTGACCACCATTATTGCAGTTGAGAGATTATCCCCCAGACCTTTTAGTGAATAATCTGCCTTTTCTTTATTGCAACTTTTAAAAATCTTTCTTATATTTCTGGTCTTCTGTAGTTCAGCTAAGATATGTAGAGCTTGGTTTATTGGTTGGTTGGTTGGTTGATTGGTTGGCTGGATTTCCTATCCTACTTGCTATTTATTGGATTTCCGGGATCTGGCTCTTGGAAGAGAAGGACATTAGCAGAAAAACTTGTGAAATTTGAGTAAGTTCTATGCTTTGTTTTGTTTTGTCTGAGATGGGATCTCACTCTGTTGGCCAACCTGGAGTGCAGTGGTGCGATCTCGGCTCACTGAAACCTCCGCCTCTGGAGTTCAAGCGAATCTTCTGCCTCAGCCTCCCGAGTAGCTGAGACTACAGGCACATGCCACCACGAACGGCTAATTTTTGTATCATTATTTTTTTTTTTAAGTAGAAACGGAGTTTTACCATATTTTCCAGGCTGGTCTCAAACTCCTGACCTCTTGATCCACCCCCCTCGGCCTCCCAAAGTGCTGGGTTTACAGGAGTGAGCCACCGTGCTTGGCCAGTTCTATGCTTTTTAAAATAGTATCATCTCAAAGTTCATTTATTTTGGTAAATGTTCCATACTTTAATAAGATGTTAACGTAAGAGAAAGCCGGGTGAAATATATAACTGTACTATTTACACTTCTGTAGAAAGAAAATTATCCCAAAACTAATATAAAAAATATTCTCTTGGAGTTGCCCAAATATAACATATAACAATTATATATCCTATCTATGAAACCATTTATAAACCAAAGTTGTGACAAATAATTAAAAGTGAAATGAATGACATTAATATATGACATAAATGAAAATAAGTAAATGAGAAATTACAATGCCAAAACACAAATATTCAATTTAAAAACAAAATAAATAAATAGGGAAAAATGATTGACTGTGATTATATATGTAATTTAAGATGAAAAATATCATACATGAGCATAATATGCAAAATGAAATGCTATCATAGATTATTTTTAAATTACAATATATAGAAGGATCTGACAGAAACTACGCAGTAGTAGATGGGGGTAAACAGCATCTCTTTCTCAGTTCTGATAAGTTAGAAAAGACAAAAATTATATAAAGAGAAAATCTAAAACAATCTTCTTGATAATGTTGAATATCTATCTCTATTTGTATTTCATTTATGGTTCAGTCAAATAAAAACACTCCTTGCATTTCCAGTAGAAGAAATTAAAAGACGGAACTGATCGCATAAGTGATAATGAATTTAGAAGCCAAGCAGTGATTATGACACAACTCAGATTAGAAACAAGAGGCAACTACCACCTGAAGGGTATAAAGGGTCTCAGAGAAAGGTAAAATTGTCTCATTGCTAGTTCTGTGGGATCTGGAGCCACAGAGAGAACGATTGTTTTGTTGAACACTGGAGCCCAGAAGAAGATGACCCATGTTTTGAAAGCTTCATCTAATAGAGAACACGAGAACAAAATAGACCTTAATCTCCTGTTGACTCTTCTAGTTTCTCACCAGTAGTTCTATCTGGAATATACTTGTCAGAAGAAAGTTGAAAAAAAGAGTATAGCAAATCAATTTTGCAATTAAAAGGTGATAACTGGATTTGAAAGCAAACCTACAATAACACCCATGTTATGTCCACATAAGGGGAAGAAACATTTATGTACTGGTATTCGACAGACCACAAATAGTAGATGTTATGTTTTTAAACACTTATGTATTTTAAACAAAAATAGAGAACACAGGAGAATGAATATAATTGAATTTCTGCTCGTATATAGAGAGACTCTTTCTATTTACAAGGGCAAAAGAAGAAAGTGTAAAAGATATTTGATATTTTAGGTTTTTATTTTTTCAATTTCAACTTTTGTTTTAGATATGGGGGTACATGTGCAGGTTTGTTACATGGGAATACTGCGTGATGCTGAGGTTTGTAGTATGGATCTTGACACCCTGGTACTAAGCATAGTACCCAATAAACAGTTTTTCAACGCATGCCCTCCTCCCTCCATCCCCCCTCTAGTAGTCAGTAGTGTCAGTTGTTCCCATGTTTATATCCATGTGTACTCAGTGTTTAGCTCTCACTTATAAGTGAAAACATTCAGTATTTTGGTTTTCTGTTCTGGAACTAATTTGTTTAGGATTATGGCCTCCATGTTGTTGCAAAAGACATGATTTCATTTTTATATGGCTGTGTAGTATTCCATGGTGCATATGTAACAAGTTGTCTTTATCCAACCCACCACTGATGGGCAGCTTAGTTGATTATACATCTTTGCTATTGTGAATAGCACAGTGACGGACATGAGAGTGCATCTGTCTTTTTGGTAAAATAATTCGTTTTCCTTTGGATATATACCCAGTAATGCAATTGCTGGGTTGAATGCTAACTCTGTTTTAAGTTCTTTGATAAATGTCCCGACTGTTTTTTACAGTGGCTGGACTCATTTACATTTCCACCATAGTGTACAAGGGTTCCCATTTTTGTGTAGCTTCACCAGTATCTGTTGATGTTTTTACTTTTTCATAATAGTCATTCTGACTAATGTGAGATGGTATCTCATCATGGTTTTGATTTGCATTTCTTTGATGATTAATGAAGCTAATCATTTTTTTCATATTGGGTAAAGGACTCCTATTCGTTATGTGCTGCTGTGATAACTGGCTGGCCAATAATGGAAGACTGAAGCTGGATCCCTGCGTTTCAATATGTACAAGAATTAACTCAAAATGTATCAAAGATTTAAATGTAAGACCCCAAACTATACAAACCCTAGAAGACAACCTAGAAAATACTCTTCTTGACATCGGCCTTGACAAAGAATTTTTGGCTAAGTTTCCAAAAGCAATTGCAACAACAGCAACAACAAAAATAGAAAATTGGGACCTAATTAAACTAAAGAGCATCTACATAGCAAAATAAACTATCAAAAGAGTAAACAGGCAGCCTATGAAATGGGAGAAGACTGCAAACTATGCATCTGACAAAGGCCTACTAGTTATTATTTATGTATTAAGTACTCTATAGAGAACTAATATCCACAAGCAAAAACCAAATAATCCCATTAAAAGGAGAGAAAAACATAAGCAGTCAATTCTACAAAGAAGATTTTGGGTTTTATAATCATGAATAATTGCTGTAGTTTGAAAGTGATAGAATTAAAAGACACACAAAGGCTTTGCCTTTTTGAGGAATTTTATATAATTATTTAAGGGGAACTAGCTAATCTAAAAGTGAACACTGTGGGTGTTCTGATCTCCATGATCATTTTTGGTATTATTATGTACCCCCTCTGAATTTCTGAAATTTTTTCCTTTAAAGCTTATACTTTCTATTCTCCTTATAGAGATGTCACAGCACTATGGGATCTGCTTAAATGATACAACTGGAGTTTATGTTCCCCTCTGCCTTCAAAGGCTTTTAGCCCATGAACAGTACGTTGGAGCATCAGAACTCCGTAGTCCTGCCCCAGGTTTCAACAAAGCTGAGGTGTAATTTACTCTTGAGCGTGTCCTTGAACATCAGAGCATAGCTTCCCTCCATGAGACTGTGTATGACTTTGCACATTTGTTTGTCTTCTTCCCCTTCATGTTTTACTCTTTCACCTCACTGGCATCTCCTGAAAGTACTACCTTCGTAAGTCACTTGCACATGAAATCTCATGATATTTCTCCCTCACCCTTTCCTTTGGCCTCTATTCTCCACATCTGGTCGTCTCATGAACTCTTCAGACTTTGCATGTGGAGAATGCAATCTTAAGGAAGAGTGTATGGATGGTTTGAAGGTAGAATTTGTGGGGAGGACAGAAACTTTATTAATAGGTAGATCTTGCTACCAACCCTCCCTCAAATGTTTAAAGGGAGAGATAAGTGGAGAAGTTCACTGTTTTAGATATTGTTCAGAGGATGGTGAAAAGTATTGGAGAATCTAAGCAGAGTGGCTTAGCAGAATAGCTTTGGAGTAACGGTTTAGAACTTTTTCTTTTTCCTTTTTTTTCTTGTCAGAAAAGATGAGCTAAGTGTAACTTAGTGAATGCATGAATGGATGGAAAAAGATAAGGCTAGATTCAGGGATACCATGTATATTAGTCAGAGTTCTCTAGAGGGACAGGACTAATAGGATAGTTGTATATATGAAAGGGAGTTTATTAAGGAGTGTTGACTCACAATATTACAAGGTGAAGTCCCACAATAGGCCATCTGCAAGCTGCGGAGCAAGGAAGCCAGTCCGAGTCCCAAAACTTCAAAAACAGGGAAGCCAACAGTGCAGCCTTCAGTCTGTGGCCGAAGGCTCAAGATCCCTTGGAAAACTACTGGCGTAAGTCCAAGAGTACAAGAGCTGAAGACCTTGTTCAAGAGTCCAGTGTTTGAGGACAGGAAGCATCCAGCACAGGAGAAAGGTGAAGGCCAGAAGACAGCCAGTCTCATGGGCCTGCTTTCTTCTAGCCACACTGGCCACTGATTATATGGTAACCATGCAGAGCAGATTCAGGATGGGTCTGCCTCTTCTAGGCCACTAACTCAAATGTTAATGTCCTTTGACAACACCCTCACAGATGCATCCCAGGAAAAACACTTTGCAACCTTCAATCCAATTAAGTTTATCCTCAGTATCAACCATCACACCATGTAAGAGGTTGTTGCTGATATTAAAATGAGAGAAGATAGCAAGCTAATAGGATTAGATATATGGTATATGTAAGAAGGGAACATTTTTAAAAACTGATCCTGAAGATTGTAGTTAGCCAGTTGGACCAATAATTTTATAGAGAGTTAGAAATAGACTCCTTCAACAGTTTAAACATGATATTTCTCCCTCACCCTTTCCTTTGGCCTCTATTCTCCACATCTGGTCATCTTTTTATAAAACCTGTCAAGCTAAAACCTGGAGATAAGCCGAAAGCAAGTTGATCTGATTAGTTACTAGGAAAATAAAATGATGTGTAAGTTAGAAAATTCTCCCTGATGCAAGAATCACACAATAACTGTCATCCTATAAAATTTGTAATATTGGTATTCAAGTAAACTTCTTATACAAGGAAAGAATATGCTGTTGACATTTTAGGGAATGTATATTGGTGTGTACCTGTAGATGATGACAAATATAATTATTATGATTTAGCAAACTAACTTACATTTTACCGTTGGTAACGAAGACTAAAATGCTTGAAAATTTAGTCATAAAATTGAGGCTAACAGGGGAATGTCATTTTATCTACAGTAGTCTCCCTAACAAGTAATTGCTTTGTGTTGACCAAACAACATTTTTCTCACAGTGCTCCCGCTGTAGTGTCTGTCAAAATCCCATCATAATTCTCTATAATAAACTCTATTTCCTAGAAGCCTATGCATTGGTCAGACAAATAAACAGTGCATGACATTTTTCTTGCAGAATGTTGTCTTGTTCTGAAGGCAATTTTCCTTGTATAATTTCTATTTGAAAATCCATTCATTTGTGACAGCAGTGTAAAGAGAACATTAATTTTAGTACTCTGGGGATTGTTTTCCTTTGTGGCCAGTGCAACATTGCCAATGACAGTGGGGAAATTGTGAACTTGACAGCATACTGGCAGTCTCTCAGGAATAGGGCTATCAGGGAGCCTCAGAAATGGGCTTCATGGGCCGGGCCCAGTGGCTCATGCCTGTAATCCTACCACTTTGGGAGGCCAAGGCGGGAGGATCACCTGAGGTCAGGAGTTTGAGACCAGCCTGACCAACATGGTGAAAGCCTGTCTCTACTAAAAATACAAAAATTTGCTGGGCTTGGTGGTGCGTGCTTGTAATCCCAGCTACCCAGGAGGCTGAGATAGGAGAATCGCTGGAACCCAGGAGGCGGTGGCTGCAGTGAGCTGAGATCACGCCACTGCACTCCAGACTGGGTGACAGAGTGAGACTCCGTATTTAAAAAAAAAAAAAGAAAGAAAGAAAGAAAAGAAAGAAAGAAGGAAGGAATGAAGGAAAGATGGAAGGGAAAGAAAGAAAGAAAAGAAAGAGAAAGAGAAAGAAAGAAAGAAAGAAAGAGAAAGAAAGAAAGAAAGAGAGAGAGAGAAAGAAAGAAAAAAGAAAAGAAAGAGAAAGAAAAAGAAGGAAAGAAAGAAAGAAAAGAAAGAAAGAAAAAGAAAAAGAAAGAAGGAAAGAAAGAAAGAAAAAGAAAGAAAGAAAGAAAGAAAGAAAGAAAGAAAGAAAGAAAGAAAGAAAGGAAGAAAGAAAGAACAAGACAAGACAGAAAGGGGCTTCATGCAACTTTGATGTGCCTAGTTTGAGATCCCATGTATCAAAAACTAAGCGTGTTGTAGAAGGCATACTCCCCTTCAACAGTGAGGATGGCCACTTTCGTAAAGTGAAGTGCCGTCTCTCTGGAGTGATTTTTTTTTTTTTTTTTTTAACTAGAGAGGTGTCCAGTTGGAATTTGAGAACTTATAAAGACTTAAAATGGCAGACACATGTGGAAGTTGCAAATGTCCTAATACTATAAATTGCTCTTCAGCTAGAGGCAATTACTTGAGATATATTTCTGTAGAAGTGCATTTTCCAGGAATAAATGATATTGTACTGTGTAATGCAAGATATCTCAAGCTGGCTATGAGTAATACTTACCAGACGTGATTTTAAAGTACTGACTGCTAGGTCCCAAATGGAAGTTTTCCTCTAAGGGATGAAGTTTTTTTTTTGTTTTTTTTTTTTTGAGACAGAGTCTCACTCTGTTCCCCAGGCTGGAGTGCAGTGACACGATGTCAGCTCACTGCAACCTCCACCTCCTGGAATCAAGCAATTCTCCTGCTTCGGCCTCCCTAGTAGCTGGGATTACAGGCGCCCGCCACCACGCCAGGCTAATTTTTGCATTTTTAGTAGAGACGGCGTTTCAAGATGTTGGCCATGCTGATCTCAAACTCCTGACCTCAAATGATCTGCCCACCTTGGCCTCTCAAAGTGCTGGGATTAGAGGCATGGGCCACCACGCCCGGCCAAAATCTACTTTTAAATGGAATTTTTGTTACTTATTATAAGATGACTTAGGGGAAATACCAGGGTTGTGTTTAAAAATATGGATTTTGATAGAAACATTGATATTTGTGACAATGAATGTGATTTCTGCACCTGACTTCTCAATGATATCAAGAAAATATTTAATCTTTCTTAATATTAATTTATTTGTTAAATACATAATTTTTTATTATATTATCATTTCAAGGATACTTGTTCTATGTAAGTTTTCAAAATACTTTATCCTCAAAAGTGAAGAATCAAAAAGATCCTTAGATCCTTAATTACTTGGAAACCTAGATAGTCCATAAAATGCACTTGAGAACTCTCCTGTGTACTGAAAATGAAGGAGTTGTGAAGGGAAAACCGAAGTCACAAACTTGCTCCCCTCTACTCACAGCAAAAAATGCTAAGTCTTTATTTGTTTTTGTATAACAAATTACATCTAACTTGAAGCCAGAGCTACCAAAGTTGTGAACAATTCATTTTTTTGAAGCATGTCCTACTTCCATGATCATTTTCCTAACCCAGGGATTAAGTGAACCAAGAGAAAATGGGATGCTCCCTGATACACTGTCCTTAGTGTAAAGAGTTTTTTTTGTTGCAGCATTTTCTCCAACACCATCTGCCCATTGTAATATGAGGATAGTCCCCCTGCTCTTAAGATATTGATGTTCTACTCCCTAGGGCCTGTGAATATGCTCTGTTACATGTCGGTAGGAAATTCTGACCTTAAAGTACATTATCATGGATTTCCCAGGTGGGTACAATGTAAGAGTAAGAGCTTTCGAATGTTCAGTAAGGAGACAGAAAAGTTAGTATCACAATCAGAGAGAGAGCGGAAGATGCTATACTGCTGTCTTTAAAGATGGAGGAAGGAGCCAGAGGGGAAGGAGTGCAGGCAGCGTTGAGAAGTTGGACAATGCAGGGGAACAGATTCTCTGCTGGAACCTCCAGAAGAAACAGGCCTGCAGACTGTTTTGTGCCCAGTGAGACATCGATTTCATACCTGGGAACTCCAGAACTGTAACATCATTAGCTTTTATTTTAAGCCATGGAATTTGTGATTATTTGTTACAGCAGCAATTGGAAATGATCAGTGAGGTAATTTAGATGGATTTAACCCATCCACCATGAGCCAATTTCATTAGTAATTTTGTCCCCTCCATAGCGTCTGCTTATGTTTCTAAGTCTCTGGCATTTAGCACTCACGTATCAACACATAATCAATCTATGTCTTCCTCCCTCCTTCTAGTTTGTGGATGTTCTTCTTCCTCCAGGGTCAAAGAGGTTCTTTCTTCCATTCAAATTGCCAGCCTTCACTCATGCTGTACTGGAAAATCAGATTAATTACGTTGACAGGGCTCCAACTTTGAAGCTCAGAAGTCTTTTGGGCTAATCTCTACGGTAACAGATCCAGGTTGTAAAGTGAGTTGTTCCAACAGAAACCCTTACCTCTCATGATGTCTAGAGGAGGCCCCAATGTTTAAAAACAATGTTTTCATCTCCGCTTGCTGAAGGGGTCATGAAGGGGCAATGGGAGAAAGATGGTAAATACATGGCAACAGAGTAAGACAAGACAAGAAGTCCTCTTGTATTACTCGCCATTGTATTGTTAAGAGAAATGCTTTTTTTTTTTTTTTTTTTTTGCTTTGTTTTTTAAGACGGAGTCTCACTCTGTTACCCGAGGCTGGAGTGCAGTGTAACAATCTCGGCTCACTGCAGCCTCTGCCTCCTGGGTTCCAGTGATTCTCCTGCCTCAGCCTCCTAAGTAGCTGGGTTTACAGGCCCGCCACCATGCCCTTCTAACTTTTGTATTTTTAGTAGAGACGGGGTTTCAACATGTTGGCCAGGCTGGTCTCAAACTCCTGACCTCAAGCGATCCGCCCACCTGGACCACTGAAAGTGCTGGGATTACAGGCGTGAACCATCGCGCCAGGCCTGTTTTTTTTTTTTTTTAATTAAATGTTTATTTGCTATATAATTTCTACCCAGACTGTAGTTTGTAGAAGGAAACTAAAGTGAAAAAAGCAAAAAATTATTCAATTGATTAAATTAAACCTCAGAAATATTTGTTTAGCAATAGTACTGTTTTTAACATGAAATTGATTTTATGTTGTGGTTAAAATATTTTAAATTATATGTCATAAGCCCATATTTTAATTTCAGCCTAAATACAATAGATCAGTGAGCCACTGCTTATTAAAGGCGTGTTGTGTTTTATCACTAAGTGCTTCATGCACGATGTTGCATTGTTTTATTTATCTTCACAACCACCCAATGAGATATGTTATATTTTTATTTTTAGATTATGAAATTAAGCTCCATAAAAATTAAATATACTGGTCACGCAGTTTCTCCATATAAAACTTTGACTAATGGTCAGCAGCTAGCTCACAGAGATTTGAATAGACTTAGAGTCCCAAAGCAATCTGAAAGGTAGTATTAAGAAATTTTCCCCTCTATAACCTTGCTATCTATACTATAAAATAAGCTATTCCAGTGACCTCATAAAGTAGTGAGTATTGAAAAAGATCGAGATAAATTAAAAGTGTCTGGAACATAACAGTTACTACTGTTACTTAAAACTATTATTATTCCTTGTATTTTCTGCCATTGTAGCACAAAAGACTTAAACATAGCAGAGATTAACTCAAGGTTACATGTTTTAAGAAAACATAGAAAGTGGTTTCTGAAAATACTAAAGATACCTGAGGTTTATGTGTATGTAAAGCTCACACTTATTAATTAAACTTAACATCAAAATATTGGTACAGTGTTTGTCCTATTTGGCCCCAAGATCAGGAAAAGGAATGTATGCCATGTTGTATAAACTGGTTGCATAATTTGTCTTTCTATAAAACAATTAGCTCATACCAAATTGATATGTCAAGAACAGATGACATTATAATATTGAAGTTACATTGGTTCTTGGATGATGTCCTACAAGGTAAAGTTATAAGCAAATGAGTAACAACAAATGAGCACAAAGTAAAGTACAAAGCTGAACCCAGAAGATCTTGGAGGGTTATAAATACTATATATGTATATATAGTATTATATAAAATATGTAGAGTATAATATGTATACATTATATATGTATATATTTACAGACACATATACACATACACACACACATATATGGTATATATATACCATATACATATACACATACGTATATACATGTACAAACATATATACATATACACACACACACACACATACATATATGGTATAAATAATTCCTTCTTCTTGTTTAAGTGTGGTCCTGTAATATGTGTTAGAACTGTTTATGTTATACCTCTCCTTTTGTTAATAAGGTAAACACAGAACCATTTCTAACTTCATTATACTTTGTAAAAATCCTGCAATTGCTTCCTCACCAGCAGCTTCTGTTGATGACATCCTCCAACTTTCGTTTCTCTAACCAAGTGCCTCATTTTTTACTTTGTCTGCTTTTCCTCATACCTCGTTTAAACTACCTTCACAATTTTAAGGTCAATGCATATATTTATTGCCCTATTTATGTATTTGAGTTGAACATGTATTTTAAGCAATGTTTGTGTGTGGTTGTGCTATTTTTCACCCAGAAATACTGATGACATCACACATTTTTATTCTGGTAACACACAAGAAATAATGATATTGCAAAGACATTTTTTGTGATTATAAAGCTATTGCCGAATGCATCTGCCAGTTGCATCAGATCTCCTGGAACATTATTTCATCCATTTCCAATTGAGTGAGGCAACACTGAATAACAGGTACACTTTCATGTTATGAAGAGCCCGGGCTCAAGTTCTTGGAAGTATTTTATGATCTCCAGTAAACACTTCATGTGAAAGGCTGTAATTAAAATTGCTATAGATTTTTATAGATTGTATATAGACTCTTCGTTGCCTTAGCTATAAAGACATATATGCAAAATAAATTCTTTATTTGTCTGCACTCCAGAGTGAGGACCATCTTTGATGTTTACATGAAGCCACTACCCTGCTTTATTCTTTATATTTGTGCTGAGAATATTGTTCAAAAACATGATGCTGCTGCTCATTGATCTGCCCTACCCAGAATCACTTGAAGGCCTCCACATTCCAAAGCAGTTCTCAAACAACTATCTGTGCAGGTACATGGGTTCTGGTGAAGCGCCCCACAAGACGTGATATGCAGGAATGAGGAAATACACATAGACTCAGACTTCTGCAGCAACCAGTATATGTATTTATACCTACATGTTTGAAAAGTCTCCTGTATTGAATTTCAATTATGAATGAAGAAAAGAAGAAAGCAACTGACTTAAGTCTTCAAATTAAAATTAGCCTTATGCTACATTACCCTCAAATTGGTCTGAAATTCATATTTAGATGAATTTAGTTGAAATATATATATGCTATAAAATGTTCAGATAACCCCCACTATATTTATGATAATGAAATTAGCTTGCATTTTCTTTTATTAATGTTTTTATAGATACTGTGTAGATACTGAAAATTTTCTTCAATTTTCTTCTTTCTAACCCAATTATCAAAAGGAAAATTACAACGAAATACACTGCCTTTTTATTTTTCCAGCTTTATTGAGTTACAGTTGACAAACAGAAATTGTATACAGTATATTTAAAATGTATAGGCTGATATTTGCCTATGTATATACATTGTGAAGCAATTACCACAATTAAGCTAAATAACATAATGATCACCTCATATAGTTTCAATTTTCTGTGTGTGCTGAGACGCAAGCTCAACTCTTAGCAAATTTCAAATATAAAACACAGTATTATTTAATTATAGACACTATGCTGTTATGTTAGATCTCCAGAACTTATTCATCTAATAACTGAATCTTTGTATTCTGACCAATATCCCTCTAATTTCCCAACCCCTAGCCCATGAGCCCTTAGGAACCATCATTCTACTCTTTCCTTGTGTAAGTTTGACTTTTATAGAGTCCACATGTTAAGTGAGATCAGTCAGTATTTGTCTTTCTCTGTTTAGCTTATTTCACTTAGCATAATGTCCTACCGCTTCATCCATGTTATCCTAAATTACTGGAATTTTTTAGGGCTAAATAATGTTTATGTTTATATATTATATATAATAAATAAAATTCATATGTATGTATATTCATATATACATCACATTTTTACATTGTTTAAATCCAGTCATCCATTGATGAACACTTAAGTTCTTTCTGTGTCTTGGCTATTGTGAATAATGGTGCCATGAACATGGAAGTGCAGATATCTCTTTGGCATACTGACTTCACTTATTTTGAGTATACATGGAAAAGTGGGATTGTTGGATTATAGGGTAGTTCTATTTTTAACTTTTTCAGGAACCCCTATACTGTTTTCCACTTACAGCTGTAACAATGTACATTTCTAACAACACTATAGAAGGGTTCCCTTTCCTGGACATTCTCACCAACACTTATTCTTTTTTGTCTTTTGGTAATAGCCATTCTACTAGGTATGAAGTGGTATCTCATTGTGGTTTAGACTTGCACTTCCCTGATGATTAGTGAAGTTAGTTACCCTTCCATAATCTGTTGGCTACTCTCTTGTCTTCTCTGTAGAAATGTCTATTGAGTTTATTTCCATATTTTCATCATGCATTTGTATTTTTTGCTATTGAGCTGACTGAGTTCCTTAAATATTTTGGAAATCAATGCCTTATCAGATATATGGTTTTCAAATATTTTTCTTATTTTATGGGTTGCCTTTTCAATTTGTTGATTGTTTCTTTTGTTGTGCACAATTATATTTATTCTGAGGCAATTCTATTTGTCTATTTTTGCTTTTGTTGCCTGTGCCTTTAATATCATATCCAAAATATCACTGCCTGGAGCAAAGTCAAGAAGCTTTTCCCCTATGTTTTCTTTTAGGAGGTTTATGGTTTCAGATCATATTTTTAAAGTCTTTAATCCATTTGAGTTGATTTTTGTTTATTATGTGAGATAAGGTTCCAATTTCATTCTTATGCATGTGGATATCCTCAATAGCCCACTCTTTATAATGGATAGATCATCCAGACAGAAAATCAATCAGAAAATAGCAGAACTTAACAACACTATAATTGAAATAGACCTAACAGACATATACAAAACTTTTCTTTCAACAGCAGAAGAATATACATTCTTCTCAGGGGCACATGGGACATTCTCTATGATATACCACATTAGGCCATAAAACAACTTTCAACAAATTCAAGATGGCGCTACCTCTTTTGAAACCTAGAAGCCAAGTAGTCTGATGTCTTATTGTTCTCCCGTTTTCTTCAAACTTTTCCAATAATGTTTTTGGAGCATCTACTGAATTCTGTTCTATATTATATAATATATATGTATATATATTATATATGCATTATACATAATATATGTAATGTATATAATATACATATGTATTATATACACATATATATTATATGTATATATGTACTAAGTGCTCTTAGTAGTTAGAAATAATATACATTATGTATATTATATATACATATATTATATGTATATATAATATACATAATGTATATTATTTGTATATGTAATATATAATGTATATTATTTCTAACTACTAAGAGCACTTTTCAACTTCCTGCAATCCCAATATGTATATTTTGAAGGCAAAAAACATATCTGGAGTGGACTTTAGGCTTTGGAGGGAGATTGGCATAGTTCTGAAAGAGCCTCAGTTCTGGGATTAACAATGGGATGTTAGAGATTATCTGAATGGGTATACAGTGGAGGTACCCAGGCTGAAGATCAGCTATAATAACAAGTCAGTCACAATAAAAAATACTGTAGTAATAAGGCAGTAGTACATTTAATACAACTGAAAAAAATCTTAATTATATTAGTAGTTATAGTAGCTTGATATTGATTATAGAGCTTTATAATTTTTCCCCTTGATTCTGAAAAGTGGAGCAAGGCCAGATTTTGCAAACAGAGTTCCAATGAGAGAAATGAAAAGTGGTCTGGTCATGACAGCATTCCTCTATGTATGGTTTTTTGTCAACTAGAAACATGCTTCTACCAAAGTAATTAGTAAATTTAGTATACTAATTTCAAATCATCAAGTCCACCATTAGAGAAAAACAATATGCAGCTAAGGAAGCCAGTGGGAAAAAAACATAGCTGAGAATGGCATACATTTTGGTCACTTCAGATGTGCTATCTTTATAGAAGAGTTTTTCTTTTCCTTCCCTCCCTCCCTCCCTCCCTCCCTCCCTACCTCCCTTCCTTCCTTCCTTCCCCTCCTCTTTCCTTTTCTTCCTTTTTTTTTCCACATTACAAATCCAAAATGTATATACTACTTGCTGACTGCAAAGTATATGTAAGCAATACCTCAAAACTGGAAATACAACTACAATGGTGAGAACGTCCTAAAGGTTTCAAAACATTTGACATCCGTTGCACACTTTTTGAACATGTTACCGATACCTGAGTGGGTATTTGTAGACATTTTCAACAGTTCTTACTTTTTTCAAGATGTCATGTAAAATGACAAAACAAGCTTCTTACCAATGAGGTCATTCACACTGAAGATATAACTTTAAAGAAAAAAGAGAAGTCAATTTAAGTGGGCAATGGGGGAGAATAATCACAGGAAACTAAAGAGCTAGCTAGCTGATGATAAGCTGAAGAGAGGTGCTTGAAATTGCTTTAGACAAAAGTGACACTCAGAGAGCATGTAGAAGCCCAACTTCAAGCAAAGTAGTAACTTTCTGAAAGGACTGCAGCCAACGTGCCATCCCGATATAAAGCCTTCAGAAATGAGGATTCTATTTATCAACAATGTCATGTTGCAGCCCACAAGGTGAAGAGGTGAAGAATTGGGGCTGCCAAAAGTGACAAGAGATAACATATCTAACTTTTAATCTAACTTATATACATGGATAGTTGCACTGTCAATAAAGCGATTTTTCTCAGTGTCCTTCCCAGAAGGCTGAGATTTTTGTTTACCACTGCATGGAGCCCACTTTCAATTGAAACAAGTCAATGTTTTAGAATTAATCATTATTATCACCTGTCTTGGTCATTAAATTATAATACTACTGGCATCAAAAATACCTGAAGTGCCTGAAGTCAATAAATATCAAGAAAATGTTTGTGTATGACTATAATATAGAACTGTAAGACCAGTAACTCGACACTATTAATAGACAATTTATAACAAACATGAGATTTAAGAATATTGGAAAAGAACCTTTTTAAAGTTGTTAACAAGATCTTTAATTAATGACTGTAAAAAGACTCCCTTCTGGAAAAGGAGGGTATATACAATCTTTCTTACTTACCAGCTAAGAGTTTTACTTGAATTTAATTAATTAGATGATAATAATAATAATAACAACAGCCCACATTTCTTGAGTATTTCACATGTATTAACTCTGTATATTAACTCATGCATTAATTTTATGTGTTAATGCACTTATTATTTATCAAGATAAAAGGAGGTTGCTATAGTTATTTATTCCCTTTATTTGCAAGTACACAAAGAGATTAAATAACTTTTCAAAGCCACACGAGTGACAAATGGCAGAAACCGCCTATAAATCCAGGAACTCTGATTTAAGTATTGGCAATGTAGCTAATCCATTACCCTAAATATACTCTATGTTGGACCAGTTGCAAAAATTCTTGGAAAACAACAAGCAAGTAATAAATGTAATACTTTATCTTTTCAGATACTTTTCTACAACTAATGAGCATTTGGAAATGGGTAGGCCATATGCACCCTATTTTATAATGCTTTGTAGGATGTTATTTTTAAAAACTGACTTGAAATTACATCCAATAAAGCATTATAAAATAGAGTGCATATTTTTTAATTGACTTAAAATAACAAAAAAGAAAAATTTTAGGTGGATGCTATAATTTATAAAATCATTTAAGAATATCTCATTTTGACCACAGAAAATGAGGTATTGAGACAATTTTCAGGGAAGAGAAAAAAGTATGAAAAGTTACCAGAAACTCAGTTACTTTTCCTATGATGATCCATTTTATCCCCATTTCTAAGATGTTTTCTTGGCTTCTCAGACCACACAGTATGCAGAAAATTACTTGTCCAGAGTCCCAAATTTACATTAATCTGGAACAGTCCCTTAAACTAGTATATCTTTTGCCCATTTCTCAATCCTAGGAGCAAAGATGTTGCTGTCCCCAAATGAATCTAGTCCTGTCCAGCCAAATTGTCCAAAGAATGGTCACATAGAAAAGATAAACAATTCCAGGTTGATTTTCAGAGAACAGAAAACAGCTCATTTTCTCTCTATAACAAAATCAAAATATTTCTAAGATAAAGGTAGGCATGAGACAACATTTGTGGTAAAAAAGTAAAAAAATAATTTTAAGATGTCTATCTTAAGTAGACATTTTCTTATAGAATCAAATTTTATTCAATAATTATAATCTCAGAGCACCCTGCAAAATCTCAACATATACAGAAATGGTAATATAATGAAGATGATGGTTGTCCATAGTGATGTGATACTACAGAATGATATTGCTAAACCTAAGAATTTTGTCTTTTTAAAAAATTCTCGTGATTTCTACTTTTTAATCTGGTAACATTGTTTCCTCTCTTAAATCAATACTCTGTGACTTTCATTTTGGTATGATGATGTTAATCCTTCTTTAGGAAGCTGAAAATGATTTTCACCTCTTTATGCAGAGCCATAGATGGCATAAACTCACCTGATTCATTAGATAATGGGTAAAAGGAACAAAGCGGTTCAAAGAAGACAGGCACAGTAGTACTGTTTTATTAACCTGCTCAATTCTATTTGAACTTTCTCTACATTATTTTTTTTGCCTCCTACCTACCCTCTCCATTTCTGTGGTTTGGGTGCTTACATAACATTTAAAGCATTTTGGTCTCAATTTGCTTTTCAAAAAACACATGGTTTTTAGGAATCCTACCTGGATGCCTGACTATCCAGTTTGGAAAATAGAAGCTTTTCGGGAGTGACATGGATGAACTTCTTAAGCGGAAGCACATAGATTTAGAAGGAGCTTAATATTAATCTTTTTCTTTCTCAAGTCAAAGTCTCATTCCCAACAATCTTGTTTCTGTTCCCAATAATTGGGAGCAAGAAACTGTACTTAAGAGTGGGATGCTTTGGAGAAGAGAGCACACCAAGAATGAAGAAAGGTATTAGTTCAACTGTCAGAGTGAATCAGAGGGTGGGTTTGAGGGAAAAGGGATTCTCTTGGAAATGACACATGAAATATGTTATTGATACTCTTAAAGATTCTATTGTCATCCAGGTGTGGTGGCATATGCCTGTAATCACAGCAACTTAGGAAGTCGAGGGAGGAAAATTTTTTCAGACCAGGAGTTCGAGACCAGCCCAGGCAACATAGTGAGCCCTAAGATCCCGTCTCTAGAAAAAAAAAAAAAAAAAAAAAATCTGGGCATGGTGATGTGTGCTTATAGTCATAGCTACACAAATGGCTGAGGTGGGATGATTGCTTGAGCCCAGTTCAAGGCTGTACAGTGAGCTATGATTGCACCACTGTCCTGCAGCCTGGGTGAAAGAGTGAGATCCCATCTTTTAAAAAAAGAAACAAATAAAAAAAGTAGATTTTTTAGTGAAAAAGCAAAGAATTTCAAGCTCTCTTTAAAAAAAAAGAAACTTTTTCATTTCTACAGGTTTTGGGGGAACAGGAAGTATTTGGCTACATGAGTAAGTTCTTTAGTGGTGATTTGTGAGATTTTGGTGTACGCATCACCCGAGCAGTATACACTGAAACCAATTTGTAGTCTTTTATCCCTCATCCCCCTCCCACCCTTTCCCCCGAGTCCCCAAAGTCCATTGTATCATTCCTATGCCTTTGCGTCTTCATAGTTTAGCTCCCACTCATGAGTGAGAACATATGATGTTTGGTTTTCCATTCCTGAGTTACTTCACTTAGAATAATAGCCTCCAGTTCCACCCAGGTTGCTGCAAATGCCATTAATTTATTTATTTTTCTGGCTAAGTAGTATTCCATCCCACAATTTATTTATCCACTTGTTGATTGGTGGGCATTTGAGGTGGTTCCTTGTTTTTGCAATTGTGAATTATGCTGTTATAAATATGAGTACACCAGCCCTAATTGTGGGGTAAAAGTTCAGGTTTCATGAGGTTCTTGTGTGTCAAAGTGAACCAAGTTTAGTAGGAAGTGGCTATCTGGGGAAAAAAATGAAAACAGAACTATAGATGTAAAGTGATGCTTGTTTGATACTCTAATAACCAATAAATCAGAGATAAAGTTACTTCCTTAAGGAGAGAAATGAATTCAATCATGACTAATTGAATAAAATCCTAAATGAAGCAATGTATACTTTACAGCAAGGGGCTCTTAAAATCATCAGAGACTAGCTGGTTGCTCTAATTTTCATCTTCTATTCTTTGCTTCAGGAATTTAAGTAAAAATATGAAGACCTAAATATCAGTTAACAAAATAAAACTGAATAGCAAATGAATTATGAAATTTTAGGTTACTCATATGTACAATACAAAGTTGAGGATATTGAAGAGTTATAGTAATTCAACAGACATAATTGACATAGTAAAAAAAATACGTTGTGGCAGAAAGCTAGAAGCTATTTTTTTCAGTAAACTGGTGTGTGTATGTGTACATGCTCATTTATGTGTAAAAAATACACACTGTTCAATTAAATAAGAAGAAGGTGATAAATTAATGAATAGAGTTTTGAAAATAAGTTTTTACCCAAATCATAATTGCCAAAGCATCCCCAACTTCTTAGTTTAGTTCTTCAGGTCAGCTATCATGCATTGACTCTTGTCTGGTGAGAATGATAGTAGGTGGTAAATAGTTCCAATGACATAGGTGGTACAATAAAAAACATTATCATCTCTAACCTCAAAGAGTTTAAAAATCACGGTGCATGTAAGTGGTGCTGGTAAAGAGATGAGATATAGAAAAGCACAAGTATATGTAGGCCGAGCACAGCGGTGTCTCATGCCTGTAATCTCAACACTTGGGGAAGCCAATGTGGGAAGATGGCTTGAGTTCAGGAGTTCGAGGCCAGCCTGGGCAACTTAGTGAGACCTTGTCTCTTCAAAGAAAGAAAAAAGAGAGAATAAAATGTAATTAGCTAAAATAGAAGATAGGATTGCATAATAAAAATCCAAATAAAATTATTATTTAAATGGACAGAATTTTATAGTGGGAAGTATTATAGATAACTTCTGATTTCACCTTCACCATTTCAATTCAGTTTTCAACAGGTTGATTTTATTACGAGCATGCAATTATTAATGTAATTCATTTCAGTTTATAAATCTTCTGAATGTAAGATGCATTAATAACTCAAAGGAAGGAAGATTATATCTCAAATTGGGAAACTTAGTGATGATCTCATAAAATAGGTAATATTAAACAATGACTTTGAAGTAAGGTTATTTCAGACATAACTTTAAAGCAACCTAAAAACAAACATTGAAAAGATAAAATTAATTTGCAAATAACTTAAATTAATGCCAGAAACAACAGAAACACTTTTAATCATACAAAAAAATTTAACACTCAGTAGTGTAAAACTGACGATGAAAAATAGGAAAATGTGATCCATAAGAAGCACAAATATGAGAAAATAGAAACAAACTCAGGTATGATAGAGATAAGGGGGTTACTAGACAATGCTATTGGAATAGCTAATACAAACATATGCCACAGGCCCAAGGAAAATGTAAATAAAAATATAAACATTGTGAGAAGAGAAATTAGAATTATAAAAATCCCTATATGGTACTTCTAGAGATACAATAGTTGAAAAAGAAATGAGCTTTTAAAAATTAATAGATTAGGTGCTTCAAAAGAAAATATTAGAGAACTTTAAGATCTGTCAGTAAAACTTATAGAAAATTAATCATAGAAAAGAATGAATTGAAGAAAAAAATAAGAAAATATCAAAGGTTGATAAAAAAAATTTGAATGCCATTGGAGCCCAAAACAAGAGTAGGGGTAAGGGGAGACAAATAAATATGTAAGAAAATATGTTAGTCAAAAAATATTTCCAATTTGAAAAACAATATTTATATAAACTAACAGGTCAAAGAAGCCTTGACATACACAAAGCAAAAAGAGAAAGGGAGAGGAGGAAGAAGATGGGAAGGGAAAGAGGAAGAGCAGAAGAGAGGAAAAAGGGAGAAAAGGAGAAGATGACCATGACTATACAAGACTCATCAAACACAACTTGCAAAAAAGATATGATAGACAATAAAAGCTTTAGAGGAGACACAGTTCAAAAGATATATTTAATAATGAAAAAAATTAAGATTGATAGCAGTGTTCTCATTTGAAACTATGCAAGTCTGAAGGCAATGGATTGAGATATTTATAGTACCAAAAGATAAAATCTGTCAACCATAAATTTTTTTTTTTTTTTTTAAGATGAAGTCTCGCTCTGTCACCAGGCTGGAGTGCAGTGGTGCGATCTTGGCTCACCGCAGCCTCCACCTCCCAGGTTTAAGTGATTCTCCTGCCTCAGCCTCCCAAGTAGCTGGAACTACAGGTGTGTGCCACCACACTCAGCTAATTTTTGTACTTTTAGTAGAGATGGGGTTTCACCATGTTGGCCAGGATGGTCTCGATCTCTTGACCTAATGATCCTCCTGCCTCGGCCTCCCAAAGTGCTGGGATTACAGACATGAGCTACTGCACCTGGCCAACCATAAATTTTTATGCTCAAATGTAAACGCCTGTCAAAAATAAAGACAGAATAAAGTCTTTCTTAGACAATCAAAAGCTAACAGAATTTATAATCATAAGACATGCACTACAAAAATAAATGTAAAGGAATTTCTTCAGGCAAAAGGAAAGGGACATTATATGAATATCTTTACCTACACAAAATATATAATGTATGACAAAGAAGTTTAATATGTAGATTATTATAAAAGGTATTTTTTCTTTTAAATTAATTAAAAAGTTAATTGTTGAATGTGTCAGAATTCTCCTGAGAAACAGAGCAATAGAATGTACAAATATAAATATATATATATATATATATATATATATATATATATATAAAATTGTATTTTTCTGATAAATTATTTATTTTTAGGAATTGGCACATGTGATTGTGTATTCTGGCAAATCCAAAATGTGCATGGTTAACAGGCAGGCTGGAGACCCAGGAAAGAACTGATGTTGCAGTTTAGTCTGAAGATGCTTTGGAGGCAGAATTTCCCTCTTCTTTCAAGTACCTCATTCTGTTTTCTTTCAAGTCTATCAAGTGATTGGATGAGGCCCACCCACATTATGAAGAATAACTTTCTTTCCTTAAAGTCTGTTGATTTCAATGTTAATCTCATCTCAAAAATTACCTTCACAGAAACACTCAAGCTGGTGTTTGACCAATACATCTTGGTACTGTGGCCTAGCCAAGCTGACATATAAAATTAACCATCATAACTCTTTAAAAAATAATAATACACTCAGATATTTCTAACAAATATACTAGCAAAAGTATGATAATAGCAAATGAAGGCATGAGTTCAGAAACAGAATATCATTTGGTACTTACAATGTACATGAAGTGGTATACTGTTATTAGAACACAGACTTCGATGATTTACTGAAGTTTATTGTAGACCCAAAAGCAACCACCAAAAATATGAAAACATGAAGGCTTATCTAAAAATAACAAAATCTAGAAAAAAACAAATCACAAATAAGGGCAGGTAAAGATGAAATACAGGAGCAGACAACAGATGGGAATAGTAGAAAACAAATAGCAATGTAGTATATTTTGAATCCAAACAGTATTGTTAATTGTATTAAATGTAAGTTACCTAAACAGAGTAATGAATAAACTACAGATTATAAAAGTGGATCAAAAATCAACACTATAATGTATGCGGTTTGCAAAACACACTTTAATTATAAAATACACTGTAATTATAAAATACACTTTAATTAGAAAAAACACTTTATTAAAATATTCAAAGACTAAAAGTTAAAGATATAAAAAAGGCTGTGAAAGCAATTTTCAAAAATGGGCTGGAATGGTTATATTAATATCAAGTAGACCTCAAAATATGGAATATAGCAACAAAAAATATGAGGCACTTCCTACCGATAAAAAGGGCATTTCTTAAAGAATATATAAAAATAATATACTTCACAGCTTTGAAAAATGTGAATAAAATACCCATGAAACTAGAAGTAAAATATATGCAAGTTTATAATTCTTGTGGATTTTAACTCTGCTCACTCAATAATTGATAGAACCAGTAGTTAGTAGAGACACAGAAGAGTTGAATAACACCATCAACCAACTAGACCTCATTTATATGTATGATATAGTTGAATGCACATTTTAAAAATGCAAATGGAATATTTACCAAGAAAAATTATAATCTGGATCATAAACCCAGTCTCATGTTTTAAAATATTGAAATTATATAAAGTATGTTTTCTAACCACAGTGGAATTAAATGAGAGTTTAATAATAAAAAAAATTGAGAAAAGGTCCAAGTATTTGGAAATTAAAACTTTCTAAGTAAACCAAATATTAGATAAGAAATCAGAAGAAATATTAGAAATTGTTTTGAACAGAATGAAAAAATATCTATATATCAAAATTTGTAGGGTGCAGTGAAAGTGCTTGTAAGCTTGTATGTAATTTGAGATTACCTACTGGGCCATTGGAACAAAGAGGATTAGGCATGTTCTCACCTATTTGTAGGAGTTAAAAAATAAAACAACTGAACTCATGGAGATGGAGAGTAGAATGATATTTGCCACTGGCTGGAAACCATAGTGGGGGGCTGGGGGGACAGGGGATGGTTCCTGAGTACAAAAAAAAAATAGAAACAATGAACAAGAGTCAGTATTTGATAGGACAACAGGGTGACTATAGTCAATAATAATTTAATCATACTTTTAAAAATAGCCAAAAGAGTATAACTGAATTGTTTGTAACACAAAGGATAAATGCTTGAGGTTATGGGTACTTCATTTACCATAATGTAATTATGACACATTGCACACCTGTATCAAAATATCCCAAATATCCCATAAAAATATACACCTACTAAGTACAGTACCCACAATAATTAAAAATTAGAAACAAATAAACAGGCATACAACAAAGACCTCCAAAAAAAACTATTAGGTTGGTGTGAAAGTAATTGTGGTTTTTGCCATTGAAAGTAATGACAACAACTGCACACAATCTGGATCTTGGCATTTTTAAGCCTATTCCCATTTCCTACTCTTCTCCACATTCTCCTCTACCATGCCATGCCCATTAGTAGTTGTATGAGTTCATTTTCATGCTGCTGATAAAGACATACCTGAAAGCAGGAACAAAAAGAGGTTTAATTGGACTTAAATAGTTCCACTTGGCTGAAGAGGCCTCAGATTCATGGCGTTAGGCAAAAGGCACTTCTTTTTTTTTTTTTTTAATTATTATTATACTTTAAGTTTTAGGGTACATGTGCACAATGTGCAGGTTAGTTACATATGTATACATGTGCCATGCTGGTGCACTGCACCCACTAACTCGTCATCTAGCATTAGGTATATCTCCCAATGCTATCCCTCCCCGCTCCCCCAACCCCACAACAGGCCCCAGAGTGTGATGTTCCCCTTCCTGTGTCCATGTGTTCTCATTGTTCAATTCCCATCTATGAGTGAGAATATGCAGTGTTTGGTTTTTTGTTCTTGCGATAGTTTACAGTTAGAACGGCAATCATTAAAAAGTCAGGAAACAACAGGTGCTGGAGAGGATGTGGAGAAATAGGAACACTTTTACACTGTTGGTGGGACTGTAAACTAGTTCAACCATTGTGGAAGTCAGTGTGGCGATTCCTCAGGGATCTAGAACTAGAAATACCATTTGACCCAGCCATCCCATTACTGGGTATATACCCAAAGGACTATAAATCATGCTGCTATAAAGACATATGCACATGTATGTTTATTGCGGCATTATTCACAATAGCAAAGACTTGGAACCAACCCAAATGTCCAACAATGATAGACTGGATTAAGAAAATGTGGCACATATACACCATGGAATACTATGCAGCCATAAAAAATGATGAGTTCATGTCCTTTGTAGGGACATGGAAAAGGCACTTCTTACACAGCGATGGCAAGAGAAAGTGAGGGAGAAGCAAAAGCGGAAACCCCTGATAAACCCATCAGATCTCGCGAGATTTATTCACTATCACGAGAATAGCATGGGAAAGACTAGCCTCCATGATTCTGTTACCCCCTCCCTCCCACACGCCTCCAGGTCCCTTCCACAACATGTGGGAATTCTGGGAGATATAGTTTGAGATTTGGATGGGAACACAGCCAAACTGTATCAGTAGTCATCTGGAAATTTTGGATGCCAAATGCCATTCAGTTCTGTCTTGCCAGAGCCCCTTGAGATTGGCTTTATAAGTATCTCAAATCTGAGAAAATGTGCGGTGGGAGAAGTTAAAATTCTTGCCAGGATCAATCTATTTGAAATGGAATGATATCTACTGAATGATGTGTGGTAATTTACACAGTATTAATTAGAACGAATTATTCTTCCGCAAAGAAGCAGACTTAAGAGTAATGGAGAAAAGAGCAAGATTGGAGGTAATAGTCACCAATCATGTGTTCAGCACTGGATTAGGAATTTCTACATTTATGTCTCCTTTAATTCTCACGTTAAGCATATGTGATAGAAGGCATTCGTGTGTAGATGACAGGAAGTTTGGATTTTGAGAGGACACTCCAGCAGTTTACATGATCAGCAAAATAGCTATGGCGGTCCATGACACCCTTGGCCAGCTGTGTAGTAAGGTAAAAAAGCTTCTGAATACACATGAGAGAGACCCTTATCGTTTCCCAATGAATCTCAGAGAAAACATACTGTTAAGAGAAACGGAAAACACATTTGTTGTGTGTAGTTACTTGAAAGCCACCTGAATGTTTCTTGATTACCAGATATAGCAGAATTTATGCTTAGCTTATTCTTCTGCAGAAGGAGACACGGAGGAAGATGAGTAGATCAGTATTTTAACATATATATATATATATTTTTTTTTTTTTTAAAGAAGCTTCATGCCATGCAGAAGCAGAAAGTTACTAAATAAAGTATCAGGCTTATGTTTCAGGGCTGGTGCCAACAAAAACGGTGGTATCAGAAAATCAACTTCACCTTTTCCACACCATCTCTTTGTGAACATTTTACTGAATAAAGTTTTTTTTTAGAGACCCTTTCCCTCAGCCTTCCTTTTTTTTTTTTTTTTTTTTTTTGAGACAGAGTCTCGCTCTGTCGCCAGGCTGGAGTGCAATGGCACCATCTCGGCTCACTGCAACCTCCGCCTCCCGGGTTCAAGTGATTCTCTTGCCTCAGCCTCTTGAGTAGTTGGGATTACAGGTGCGTGCCACCACACCCAGCTAGTTTTTGTATTTTTAGTAGAGACAAGGTTTCACCATGTTGGCCAGGGTGATCTTGATCTCTTGACCTTGTGATCGGCCTGCCTTAGGCTCCCAAAGTCCTGGGATTACAGGTGTGAGCCACCAAGCCCATCTTCAGTTGTACTTTGTCAAGTACTTTTCCAAAGTAATTATTGCAGTAAAGTCACTAGTATTAGTCACTCATATTGGGTTTGTATTTTCATCAAAATATTTTATTACTTGATTTAAGATTAATATTAAGTAAGAGAATGAAAAGTTTTGCCTCACTTCAAGAAATATAAAATTAGAGCAAGCAAGTGAATGATATTTTTTTTCATAATGGCCCTAAAATATCTGCTTTTTGGTGTCAATGATGCTACTTTTGTGATGTCTATGCATAACTAAAATATTTTCTGTTTCAATTCTCTACTTAACCCAATGTTCTGCATCACCCTTGAAGATTGAAAATCTCAGATGTTAAATAGAGCAATATATTCATTTATATATTTGTTTGTTTATTAACCACCACCCCCACTAATTGTTATTTAAAGTGAATTAACATAATATTAAGGTTAGCTTGGCTCTAAGATAATAAACATATATCCATATTTTTGCTCTTTATGTTGCTCACTTTGAACTCAGTAAGGAAAATAAAGTAGGAAAAATTCATTTTAAATAAAATAGCAAACCAAGTACATTGTTTTGTATCTATTATTTCATCTATCGTCACTCTCTCTAATAGCATACATAGATCAAAAAGCCAACAGTTTTCACACATAGAAAACAGCTTCTTACTCGACCAAAAAGACAGCTGAGCTACTTATTCCTACAACTGGCCATTGACCTTAAAGGGTTTCTCAAAGCTTGTCTTGAAAAACAACTATGTTATTTAAAAAGGACAAGATATCTGAATTTGAGCAACTTTTCTACTATGTATATTTGCTATAGAACATCATGAAATCTAAAAAAAAAAAGAAATTGAGCAACTATTCTACTATGTATATTTGCTATAGAACATCATGAAATCTAAAAAAAAAGAAATTGAGAGCTGGGCGCGATGGCTCATGTCTGTAATCCCAGCACTTTGGGAGGCTGAGGCGGGGGGATCACGAGGTTAGGGGATTGAGACCATCCTGGCTAACAAGGTGAAACCCCGTCTCTACAAAAGAAAAAAAAATATTGACTCACTACTTTATGCTAAATGTAGAGTTTTATAATCATATGATTTCCAAAATCAAATCACTCTGGCCATGTCAAGAAAATCTTCAAGGTATGTTTAAATCGAAGCTCCACCAAAATGTGGATGGAATTAAATAAAAATAAGAGGTAAACTAAAACTTTAGATCCTCCTTTTAAAGTACCTTTAGATCCTCCTTTTAAAGTACCATTGTATCTTTAGTATCTTTTAGCCATCAATCTTTC
This sequence comes from Homo sapiens, assembly GCF_000001405.40. NCBI lineage: Eukaryota > Metazoa > Chordata > Mammalia > Primates > Hominidae > Homo > Homo sapiens. The sequence continues at coordinate 29,437,401 of NC_000004.12, read as the reverse complement.
ATGAATTCATGGTTACTGAAAACAGAGTGTGCATGAAGGAAGACCAAGAAGAATTGTGCAAAATTCTCAAAGGCATTTGGCAGATTGTGAATGAATAGAAAGAGCTTCCCCACCTATACTATATTATTACTAGTTCTAATTTAATTTAGAACTAGTGAAATATTTGAGTGAAATATTTCAATTAGTGAAATAATTGAGTTTACATAATCTCTAAAAATATTTACCTAAGGATGGAGCAAAGTAATGTTCCATTATTATTGTAAATAAATTTTTTTCATATAATGATTATTTTTATCATATTTCACGTTTTATTTTTAAACTATTATTTACAGTTAAAATATCCTACCATGAAATTACAAAAATTATATTAATTTAAAAATTACACATATGCAATTTATTTTTACTAATGAGAGTGCAGCAACAAAGGATATAAAATTTTATAGTAAGAAGTAAGGTGATACTTCAGGGAAAGACAATTATGACCAGAGAGACTCAAGGAATAAATCTGCTAATTTCAGCTAAATGGGAGTTAAGCTAATGACCTTGACAGAAGAAAATTATTTTATAGCTATTATAATACCTGTGGACCTAAAGCCTAATATATGGCTTAAAAGATAGCAGATAAGATACTCTACTAGAGCAATTCCATTTCAACCGGAGCAATCCTTATGTGATTCTGGACATGGCTGGAACATATTGTAAAATACTGGTTTGGCAAATAGCCACTTAAAGACATACTTACCCTTGAGGGAGCAGAGCACAGTGTTTTAGAATCAATGATACTATTTGAAAGAAAAGTTTGAGGAAATTGGGCTTATTCATTTTGATAAAAGGGCATTAACCTTTTTAGACCTTATTGAAGTTACAGAATTCTGAAAGCAATAGATAAAATTGATTCTAATAAACTCTTCTCTCCAATCTAAAAGTCAATAAGAGGATAAAATGATCCCAAAATTGGGAAAAGGGGGGGTTAGAAATGAAATTTAGGTATAGGCATTTTATTTACAGCATGAGACAAATTGTAACTGAGGCTGTGGGGTGTGTGTGTGTCTGTGTGCGTGCTGAAAAATGAAGAAGCGACAGAATTTTGGAGGAATAATATGTAATAACACATGGTGGACTGAACCTACATAAAACCACACCAATTCGTAGATACCATTTTAAATATGTATATGAACGTCTGGATTTGGTCAAACTAATAAAGCAAAAGGAGTTTCATTGTTATAGTAACCTCCTGGACACTCCCTAGAGCAAATTTTTTCCCCAAAAGTTATCTCTGTACAATGATGCTGGATTCACCTTAAAACACCCCTTTAATCATTTCATTCCCTTTCGGTGTCACTTTACACTTATGTAATTAAATTTAAAAATGTTATCTTGTCATTCAAACATCCTAGAATTTTATCTCAAAAAGTCTTTCAGAATCACCTTTTTAGCTTCCCTTTAGTAATGTGTAGCAAAGCTTGTATATGAAAATGCTGGTCTCTAGAGAGACTCAAGGAAAAAAAAAAAGAATAAAAAACCAAATTTGGAAATTGCTGCAGAGTAAATCATCAAGATGAAAGTACTATGGGCTGGGCGCGGTGGCTCATGCCTGTAATCCCAGCACTTTGGGAGGCTGAGGCAGGCGGATCAAGAGGTCAGGAGTTCGAGACCAGCCTGACCAACATAGTGAAACCCTGTCTCTACTAGAAATACAAAAATTAGCCGGGAGTGGTGGCGGGCGCCTATAGTCCCAGCTACTCAGGAGGCTGAGGTAGGAGAACGGCGTGAACCCAGGAGGCGGAGGTCGCAGTGCGCCAAGTTGCACCACTGCACTCCAGTCTGGGTGACAGAGCGAGACTCTGTCTCAAAAGAAAAAAAAAAAAGTACTATGGATAGTGTCCCAGATTTATTTGACAAGACCTTTTTTTTTAATTTATTTTTTCAGCAGGCCTGAATAGGAACATATCCATAGACTAGTATTCTATAGAACACATTTTTGTAAATGATAAGTTTGGAAACAAGCCCAGATCAATGCTATGTTAATAACCTATTTCAGTGTCATAGAGCCAAAATTAAATTGTAGTGGGGAAAGAAAGCTCTAAACCTTTCCCCATTCTTCTAAAAGCACTTCCCTTTTTACACAGTGTAGGTAAACTTGTAGACCCTCTAACAACTATCAGCTTTCAAATTCTTATTTTTTATATTTTGAGCACTTAAAAATAGAAAACACACACTACTGACTATGTGCTAATGCCACATTTTGATTTAAAATTGAATGTCAACTTTGAGCAAATAAAATGTAAGTTCTTTATAATTTAAATTTTTCAAGATAAGCACTGAATAATTATTTTAATAAGAATTTCAATTGTATATGAAATATCAACAGAAAACATATTTTATATTATGATAAAATATAAAATTGTACTTCTGAATGCTTTGGCAACTTCTACCCAAAGATTGCCAGAATGTTTCAATTGGAAGATTTTTTATTCAATGTGAATGCCTATAGTAGAATGTGTTACATTCTTACCAAATATTCTGCCAGTCTTCAAGTTGTATGTGTCTTAACTGCATTCTTTACTGAATTAATAATTACGTAAATATATAGATTCTCTAAAATCATACTTTTTATACCAAAGTAAATGTTGATTTTCGAAAACCAGGAGCCATTAACTTTCTTTTAAGAAAGAAGGATTTGACAGCTTGAGCTTTTATTGATTTAGAAATCGTTTCTTTTGGAATTCATCCTCTTGATAGTTTTTAGATATTGTTATTGCTCCAGAAATAATAAATGTTGGTAAATCTGTTTGCTAAATCTGTTTACGACTTTCATCAATATTTCACTGACAGTAGATAAAAATCAAATTTACACATAGGTCTTCAGATGTCCTTAGTGTAATAAAAATACGGTGTTCGTCAATATAACTGAGAAGTATCTTGGGATATATAATTTCTTTTCATTCTTTATATATTTGTTCATTCCTATATAAGAACAGAATAAGTATCTTTTATAGTTTGTAGGTACTTTCCATTGTTTATGAACTATTTTAAGGTTTATGAATATTATATAAAATAAAAAATATGTAAACAGAGACACATATATATGCTTTTTGTTCATTCTACCAATATGATATATATATGATAATAGATTATATGTACATATCTATGGATGTAAATATATACACAAAAACATATTCAGAAAAAATATACATTGGTATTAATATTACACAGTCATATAAATATATTTGTGGGTATATATATATATATATGCACACACACACTATATATAAAATGAGATAACTTTTTTGAAATTCTGTGATGATGAAACTAAAAAATCATAAACTACCATGGAATATTTTACTTCCTAAAGCAAAATAAAACTGCAAATCTTTTCCCTGTGGATCACCGTAATCTGCATGGATGCTTTCCAATTTCGTCATGAAAAAGTGGCACAGATCTTAATGCAGTTTATATAGGACAGTATAGAGTACCTGTAGGAATTAGGTTTCCTTTTGCCTCTGTGAGCCAGGATCCAATAGCAGTAAAAACTTTCCTTGAATTGGGCAGTTACTTCAAGACAGCCCCATCTTCACTCTGGGTTTTTTAAAGTTTGATAAGCAGAGAAAGACATCTATTGCGTTATCATAATAGGGCATGGTAAGTGTAAAGTCCAAGCAGAAACATACTTAATATTAATTAGAAGCAATCAACGCGGAAGTCTAGAGTCAACAGGCATAAGATCCACCGATTAGAGGCCACTGTCATATAAAGCAATCTTTTAAAAATAATTATCAGCTCAGCATGGTGGCTCACAACTATAATGCTAGCACTGTGGGGTGCCGAGGTGGTAGGATTGCTTGAGCCCAGGAGTTTGAGACCAGACTGGGCAACATAGTGAGACTTTGTCTCTAAAAAGGTAATTTAAAAATTAGCTGGACATGGTGATGCACACCTATAATCCCAGCTACCCAGAAGGCTTAAGTTGAGCCAGGGAGGGCGAGGCTGCAGTGATCCATGACCATGCGTCTGCACTCCAATCTGGCAACAGAGCAATATCCTGTCTCAAACACAAAATAAAATAATAAAATAAAATAAAAATAATGAATCTCTAATGAGCTCACGAAGTAAATCTATCCACAAAATGATTTTTGGTCTCAACATATTATAGGAAGTTACCCTTCTTGTTTCCGTAGGACTTGGCAAGATTTCAGTACGCTATTAATCTTCTATATTCTTTCTCACCCTGTAGTTAGGAGAGCCAGTTTCTCTGTATTTCTGAATTTATCTGCCTTCCTATACTCATATCTTGACCAATTCAAACTTCACTGATTTTTACTTTGTCTTTCAATAAAACAGAAACTTATTAAATATTTCATATTCTAATACCACATTTTATTAGCTTGAAATAAATTAAATTTAGGTGCAGAAAAAAGCTATATTTTTATGGTAAAAAAGGTATTATGAGAGTGCAGAGGCTTCAGTTTTATTATCATCATAACCTTTTAAAATATGTTATTAATTTAATATTTTGATCTGATGCCCAAATGAAACTACAAGCTTCTTTATAATGGAACTGTCCTGTTTTGTTTTGTTTTGTTTTGCTTTGTTTTGTTTTGTTATATGATGAATCCCTATGGCTGGGTCAGTGCTTGGTACAATAACTATGAATATTAGGTCAAATAAATAGATTATTGGGAATTCCTTTGCTTAACCCATCTGGAGTCTGGAAAATATTTCATATAAACTTAGGAATAAAAAAATATTAATAGAACTTTCAGATGTAATCAATTTTTAAGGTCTACTTTGTAGATAATTTTTTACATAACTTAATTTCATCTTCACAATGTGAATGGTACATAAAATAAGACCATTGTTGCAGAGGAGAAAACCAAGGCTTTAATTCTGCCCAATTTAAAAGTAGAATAATAATCAAAACATGTTTCAAATCTCACATTGTGTTAGTCTGTTTTATGTTGCTATAAAGGAATACCTGACGCTGGGTAATTTATAAAGAATAGAGATTTATTTGGCTCATGGTTGTACACACTGTACAAAAAAGCACGGCATTGGCACCTTCTTCTGGTGAGGCCTCAGAAAACTTATAATCGTGGTGGAAGGTGAAGCAGGTGGGAGCAGGTGTGTCACATGGTGAGATAGGGAGCAAGAGAGAGAAGGGGAAGTTAACACACTCTTTTGAACAACTAGATCTCACATGAACTCATTACCACAAATTACTGTGGGATGGACACCAAGCCTTTCATGAGGGATCTACTCTCATGACCCAACACCTCCCACTAGGTCTCACCTCCAACACTGAAGGTCACTTTTCAACATGAGATTTGAAGTGTATGCACTTCCAAACCATATCACATACACTTTTCACTTTATCATGGTGATCTATTGTAAATCCAGATGTGAAATCAAAATTATTTAACAATTTCTGGTACAGAATGGGCAACCATCAGACAGAATGGACACTGGCCTATGTAGTGGAGCTGAGGATGTCTGCTGCATAAGACATTCATCCTTCAATTGGTAAATCATGGGAAACTCTACGAAAAGGCCAAAGCTATGGCAAAAAGACACTGTGGAGCTCTCAGGGTAGTGGCTATTTATAAATCTGCATGGGAGTATTCCAATATTTTATAAACTGGCAATTAATACAACATGGTTGCATATCACTCATGTAAATGACTGCATACATGTCACAAATCACTATGCTATTTCTACTTAACATTTCTGTTGAATAAGATAGCACTATCATAAGAAAAAGGATTATCTTACATTTTATTTTATTGAAATAATGACAATAATACTCATGGCATTTATTAAGTGCTTTGATTATACTAGGCATTTAAAAAGTATTTTATATATGCTAAATAATGTCTTGGTACCATCTTATTTTTAACATTTTCTAAAATTTTATTTTATAGTAGATTTATTTTTTTTAATTCTAAAAATAGAATATCTAAGCTCATAATTTATTCATTCCAGGGTGTGGAACTAACATATAACTGTTCAAGTTTTGTTCAGCTGGTTTTCATAAAAAATCTTTTCACATCGGCAAAGTAAGCTTTGGTATTTAAGGAAATAACGATACCATTTTACCAGGAAAATCTTTAAACTACTGGGGGATGCAACCTTCTCCACTTGTCTTTATGAGGGCAACTTACGTATTTGAATAGAGTAAAATCAGGTCAAGTGATATCTTTGTCATTGTTCTATCAATGAAACATCTTTAGTAGTTGAAAAATAAAAGAAAAAAATGCTTTCAAATCAGATTGGCATTCTGGGAAATTGGAAACATGAGAAGAAAATATCAGTTTTTTTTTTGGAAGATAATTTATTTATTAAAATATCAAATAAATATCAAACATACATCCAAAGTTGACCTTGTTTCATCAAACAAATAGTTTAATTTCAGCTACAATAATTATGCCACTAATTGGAACAAGTATGTTTGTAATACCTAATGAGGAAGAAAAAGGAAGAGTATTGATTGCTTCTACCTGTGATGTTTCTCTTATTTATTATGCAGACAATTTTGAATATCTACTTGCTGCAGACAACTTAAGAAGATACAGATCAGAGAACAGGCAGATCAAATTGTTCTCTCAAGAAATTAGAAGACTGTGTGTGTGTGTTTGCGTGTGTGTGTGTGCGCGCATGCGCGTATGTGGTCGTGGTGATTTCTATTCACCATTTCTTTGGTTCACCATGTATTTTCCCAGCTCAAATCCTGTATTTTTTTTCCTAGTTAAGGATGTATTTCCCTGCTCCTCTGGTGAACACTTTTCTGTCTTTCAAAACCCACATAAAGGATCACCCCTGTGTGAAAGTTTCCTGGGAGCTTTTTGTTTGTGAAAATATCGGTTCTATGCCAAAACTGATTTAGTTTTCAAACTGTTTTTAATATCTAAACAAAAGGTGCAGTCACCTGTGTTTTTCTATACTGATTGTCCCCACACCTAAAAAGTAGCTTTAATGTGCAAAACTCTACTGATTTAATATATTTACAATATCTATGATAATTTTTATTTGCCAACAGCATATAAATTTGTGTTTTCTTTATTGTTTCATATAATACAAATCCATGACCCATAGTAATATGCCAGTTGAGATTTATAAACATCAAGTAGAAACAATTTTCTTCTGCCTCTTTTATAATTACAAAACACATTAATATTTAAATGGCAGGAAATAAGTTCAAAACAGCAAAAATAAAATTAAGTATTTTCAACTGCCTATTTTGAGCATTATTCATTGACTTTCTTAACAACTTTCATAGAACATTATTTTCTTGTTTATATGTCTTCTTGAACTAGTCTATACCTTACTGATGTGTCCCCACCCAAATCTCATCTTGAGTTGGAGCTCCCATAATTCCCATGTGTCATGGGAGGAACCTAGTGAGGGGTAATTGAATCCCCTACTGTTCTCATGATAGTGAATGAGTCTCACAAGATATGATGGTTTTATAAAGAGGTGTTCCTGGCTGGACACAGTGGCTCATGCCTGTAATCCCAGGACTTTCGGAGACTGAGGTGGGTGGATCACCTGAAGTTGGGAGTTCAAGATCAGCCTGACCAACATGGAGAAAAATTACTAAATTTTTCTCTACTAAAAATACAAAATTTGCCAGGCATGGTGGCATATGCCTGTAATCCCTGCTACTCAGGAAGTTGAGGCAGGAGAATCTCTTGAACCCCGGAGGTAGAGGTTGCAGTGAGCAGAGATCACCATTGCACTCCAGCCTGGGCAAAAAGAGCAAAACTCTATCTAAAAAAAAAAAAAAAAAATACGAGTTCCCCTGCACACGCTCTCTTGTCTGTTGCCATGTAGGACGTGACTTTACCCTTCTTTCACCTTCCTCTCTGACTGTGAGGCCTGCCCAGCCACGTGGAACTGTGAGTCCATTAAACCTCTTTTTCTTTATAAATTACCCAGTCTCAGGTATGTCTTTATTAGCAGCGTGAGAACAGACTAATACACTTACTGAATGAAAGGAATGTGATTTATTTACTTTCACTTCCTAGTAGCAAAAATATTAAGCACAAAAGTATTTTTTGAACTGAACCACTTTAATTAAATTTATAAGTAAAACCACTAGCTATAGACAATTCACCAAGGAAATAATTTAATTATCCCAAAAAAACATAACATTGCACTGAGCCTTAACTCAGATAATTAAACAATGAATTCTCTTAAAATTTGGCATTATATTCCATTTATATTTAGTTATGAAATTATGAAATTAGTTATGAAATTATGAGATTAGCTTTTAAACTATGGAATACTTATTTACATTTAGTTATGGAATGATGGGACTTTAAAATTTGTGATATAATAAAGTAATAAAATAAAATTCAAGACTATTCTAATATAAACAAGGTCTGCAAAAATATGTTTTATTTATTATTCATTTGAATGCAGAGAAATTTTTTAAGTTTTACAGAGAACAAAAAATCATATTAGAGTGAGTATTGATAAACGCTAGATGCACTCATCAATTATCTTGACACTCATCATGTGGCAGGGATAGTTTGCCCTCAAGTTCAAATCAATCTGTTTTTGTTGTAAGGTACAACACAAAGTAGTTAAGTGTTGCTTTCAAAACTCTAGAAACGTATTAGTTTACAATAATATACCTAGGTCTGCAATATAAAAACAGGCATTATTCCCTAGGAATAACATGTATCTACTAGATAACAGAAACTCAAGCACAAAAAGCTATGGAGGAAATATTGGTGGAATTACTCAGTAGGAACTTACAACTTTGATTTGATATATGAGTTTAGAAAGTACATTCAAGTAATGTCTAAAATAATAGCAGAAGGCACTGTGGAACATTTGTATTTATCAGTAGGCTGTTGACAGCCCCAAGTTTAATGTCAAACAATTTTATACAAGTCAGTTCTCGTTTTTCACAAAGTAAAGTGATAGCAGCATGATTTGGGGGTATGGAGGAGAAGTTATAACATTTAGCATCCTTTTAAATAGCTTTCCATTGGTCTGCACAAGGCCAGTTTTTATTATGACAGTACTTGTTACTGGCAAATGATATTTAATCAATTCATTTTGTCAATGAATAGATTCTTTGTTTCTACCTGGCCTGAATGGTATATTCTCTTTGTAACAAATGATGTAGGAAAGAAAAAAGATTACTTTAAATTTTAAACTGAGTGATTCCTTTTTTTGTGCATTGCTATGAAGGAATAGTTCATTAATTTTAGCGTGGGTTGGATCCCATTATTTCAAAGTATCAAAAAAAGATACATGGGTTTGGGGCACTTTATTTTTTCTTTAATCCAGTTTCCCTCCAATAAAATCTTTAATATCCATAAGTTTAAGCATGCCAAAAATATGTGTGTAAAATTAGTATCTATTTTATAGTTTTCTATTTAATGCTTTAGTATTCTTAAACATTTAAAGGGTTTTAAAATAAATCAGCAAGAGAAAAAATGTACCAATAGAAAATTAAATTCAACTTAAAAACAAGTAATTGAGAGTAATATTTGAAATATTCAAAATCAAGCAGGGCATGAGGAATGCATGCCTGTAGTACCAATTGCTGGGGAGGCTGAGACAAGAGACTCACTTGAGCCCAGTAGTTAAAGGCATCCTGGGCAAGATCCTGCCTCTAAATACATATATATTTATATAATACAAATATGTATATTTATATATAACATAAATATAATAATATACCTTGGCTCTAAATATATATTATATATTATATGCATAGCCCATTCTAATTAGCTCCCTGGATTATTTTAAATATACATATTTTATATTTACATATATGTGTATATAGTATACATATATTTATACATATATTATCCATTAATACATATTATGTAGACCAGGCACAGTGGCTCACTCCTGTAATCCCAGCATTTTGGGAGGCTGAGGCAGGTGGATCATTTGAAGTCAGGAGTTCGAGACCAGTGTGACCAACATAGTGAAACCCCATCTCTACTAAAAATACAAAAATAAGCCGGGCATGGTGACAGGTGCCTGTAATCGCAGGTACATGGGAGGCTGAGGCAGGAGAATTGCTTGAACCCAGGAGGTGGAGTTTGTAGTGAGCCGAGATTGTGCCACTGCACTCCAGCCTGGGGGACAAGAGCAAAACTCTGTCTCAAAATATATATATATTATTTATATACACATATATACATATAAATATACACATATACATATACATATATATACACACACATATTTAGAGGCAAGGTATATTGTGTATATATATATATATATATATATATATGATACATGTATATTTAAAATCTTCCAAGAAGCTGTCTAGTTAGAATGAGCAACTGAGGAATGAAAACAGATCTAAGGCAAAGCACTTTACTAGAATAAAAAATACTAATTACACTAAGAAACCACATTACTCATGTGATCCATAAACAGGATTTGAAGCATAATGTCCTGAATTAGCATGTCTACAGGAAAACTGATAGTGATGCATCCCTACTGAAAATGCAAATATATTTAGTTTGTGTTGAAAAGAAGTCCATATGTATGAAAATATTTTAAAAATATTTCACCAAGCGTTCTACCCTCATGAATTTATTCTAAAAAAATCATCATTGTTGTAGTTATTGTATTTATTTTTTAGCTAATTATTGATTAAAAATTTAGAAAACCACCTAAATGTGCAATGATAGGGAATATTAAATACACTATTAATCAACCATGCAAAGGTATGTAGCTAGCTTAAACATGGCCAGCTAAAATGATAAGGTGAAACATCAATTTTTATGGTAAAAATTGAGAAAATGGACCATAATTATGACTTTTCAGGTTAAATGAATATATAAAACAATAAGATTCACAGAAAATAGCTATAACTTATCAAATATATGGAGTAGTTCAATAAAGTTTCTAAATTTAGAATGAAAATAAAACTCACATATATAGTTTTATAAATGTTATACAAATTCTTCATTGAGGAATTTTAAAAATATTATAAAGACCAAAAAATAAATAAGGAGATATATATTAAGTGCATAAACAGATTTCATTTGTTAAAATTCCAATTCTTTCCTAAGTAATTAAAAAACAAATTTGGAGAACTTGATTCTCTAATTTATGTTGAAGACACAATACAATATAAAATAACCAAAAATATTCTGATAGGGAATAGCATGGGTAGACACAAGGGACTTCAATGGCATACTTGAATTTAATATTTTAGAGAAAGATAAGTAAAAAGGAAAAAAGAAAACAAGGAAGGAAAGAATCAAGAAAGAAAAGGAGAGAAAGAGGGAGAGAGGAAGAGGGAGGAGGAAGGATTGGAGGAAGGATGGAGGGAGGGAGGGAAGGAAGGAAGGAAGGGCGAGAAGGGGGGGGGGAGAAATATGTACATTTCTGAACTTTGGCATTTCCTAGATACAGTGCTACGTAATTCCTTGATATTTTCTTTTTGTTATATGATTTCCATAAATATATTTCCTTCATGTTTTCCATGCAGTGCTGTAAATCTTCTGAAATTTTTATGGCAGAACATTTTGTAATTTCATACATAGAAAGATCTATTAAGTTACATAGTATGTGTTTTGAGATGACTCAGCTTCTGGAAATCTGATGGTGGTCCATGGTACTTTAAGGAGTTTTCTAACTATAAAAATTGTTTACTTCACCTTTAGATTTTTTTTTATTTTAAAATCTGCGTTTCTGTCTCGTAAGTTGTCTGTAAATAGTAAATGATTTTTTTCAAGAGTGTTTGTAAATAAAAAGCAACAAATAACGTTATTTTTTCTGTGATTTTTGTATTTATATGCTATAAAGGATAGAGAAACAATTACATGTTCTTGTTTACTGTTCAAAAAGAGAGAAAAATATGCAATGGTCACTTTAAAGTAGATTTTTGTAGCTTTGTTAGAGTAAATTTTCTGAATGTACAGTAAAATGAACATGTTTAAGCTTTACGATTGGGTGAGGGTTGACATATGCATACACATACGTAACCAATGTCGCAGTCAAGTTTCTCTCTTAAACAAGTTATAACAGTTTCCATTTATTATTTTTTATGTGGGAAGCATTATACACACATTTCTAAAACACTCAAGTCCTCCGCAAAATCGTTATTAGTTTCACCATTTTACACGACAAGACATCTTGGCTGAGAAAAATAGATGGCTTACTCCTGGTTTTAAAATAATAATAATAATAAAGTAATACAATTTAAAAGAGAGAGAGAGTAAGAAGAAAAATGTATTTTAAAAACAAGCTTTCAGTGTTGGAGCTGTTTTGCCTACCTACTTCTGTTTTACCCTAAATCCCTCGCTAAAACCAATTACATCAAAAATCTCACCCAAGTTAATATGCAGTTTGTCCAGATATACAAGTCATGATGCAAATCTATTATTTAAAAACATTAATTAACTGTTTTCTTATTTGCTTTAAGTTAAATTAAGGAAAGAGGTATTTTAATTAGATATTATGTAGTTCTTATTTTCTGGGTCTAGCCTCTGATGTGGTAGCATTGTGTGACTGTTACGCACCGTTCGCATTTTAAAATATTGTTGTTAGAAATTAAGTCCAAATGTAATTTAGTTCTTTTTTAAAAAAGACAAAATTATTTATAAATTGATAAGAATCAGCCATAATTGCTGTATGGTGCTTGTGGCTTTTTATCTATTTTGTTGTGGCTTTCTATAGACTCATTTGCATAAAAGTTGTTAAATACAAAGGTTTAAAGTGAAACATAATTTTAAGGGTGCAATTATTGACGTGTCCCAGCTTTACGTTGTAATCAATTGCACAATGAAATAAATAGTCACCATGAAGTGTCTAAGAACTTTGGTGTAGCTTTTTCTTTATCTCTCCGGGCTTCTAAGGATGTTCTATGAGTTCAGTCAATGCTGAAAGAGACAAGGCAATCTTGCTTCTCTCACTCCACTCCTAAGTTCTGCTCTTCTTTCCTAGTATTTTGACCTTTGAGTCGAGTACTCTCAAGTAACAAGTTAATGAAACTACAAGGCTAAGCAGCCTTCTTGACTTTTTGTTAGTCCTCTGCCTTTGGTACATCATTATGTCTGCTAGGACAGCTGAGTGTTTTATGTTTTAAATAACAGCACTCTGCATTGCTGACTCATAAGCAATTCATTGCTCACCGTGAGCATCACGTAACAGATAAGTGAATCACAGCAGAGATCTCTAAAGAGCTATGCTGGGAAAACAGTCTGCCAAAGCAGTGGCATGCAAAATGCATATTCCTCTAAGACACTCAACTCTTGGCTAATACCATATATACAATTAATTTCATTTTTTAAAAGTATTTTCAACATTCAGGACTTCTTTGTGTCCAATCATCCTACTAAAGGCTGGCAAGAATATTAATGTATAACTGTCCAGCTAGATACCGGAGAGACAGAGGAGGTTTCATTGACACAAACCAAATGACAAGCTGCCCAGGAATCTCTTAATTTAGGCTTACTTCTCAATTTAGTTTTTAATTATGCTTATATTGTACCAAAGCTTTCTTGAACTGAATTAGGGTATATAAGACTCTTTAGGCAAGTGTATTTTATATCCAAAACAAGATTAATAGAAACATAAAACAATCATACAAATGACAACTTATTTTAATTCTTATAAGTGTAATATAAGTATACTACTATAGTACATGTATTTTTGTAGCTTTTCTTATAATACCATGATACAGAGAACTTATTATGTAATTAAATTTTATTATTTTCATAATGTTCAGTCATTGAGAACTTAATATTTACCACTAACTGTAGCAGATACTTTATCTCCACAAACGTATAAAATTGGTTCAGTTATTGATATTTTATAACTGGAAATTTTCATTTCAACAGGTAAAGTAACTTTTATTTAGTCAGAATTTAAGCTGAATCCTTCCTCAAAATAAAGACTATGATCTTTCTGCTAAGCTAGTACATTTTTCAAATATGATAATATTTAAATTTAATTATTATGCTTTACTTCTCTTAAGATCTACCTTATTTGCTTTGCATTAATATGAAAATGAAATAATACAGTAATACTAAAAAACTGCACTAGATTATAATAAGAACTTTGTATTTCTACTCTGTATTTTATTTCCAGGATACTACCATATTAGCTGCAGTAATATCACATTTCAGTTTGACCAATTTTGACTTTTCTAATTAATTTTGGTTTTGAAGAATCTAGTATTGAACTGTATACATCTTTACAATAACAGTGTATTTAAAATGCCCAAATTCTTCCTTGGAAGTGTATAAGATATTTATTGACATAGCTTCATATGTCAATGTTATTATTAATCACAACATTAGCTATACCTAGGAGATATTTTGTAATTTATCTATAGATTACCTAACAAATTGATAATTTTATTTAATTATAAAGTTATTTAATTAACATCTGAGTTTCATATTGACAAACGGTCATTAACACTGTTATCACCTACGTTTTACAAATATTTCCTATTTTAGCTAGGCTAGTGTTATACCTGAAAAGTACCCATTTTAATTCACTCTAAGAAAGAAATTATTTTACAAAGCATACTAGACTTCAGAAATATCCTTCAAATTAAAAGAATGAGTAAATGTTTGTGATCAGCAAAAAAAAAGCTCAGTAAAACAACAATATATTTAATAAAAATAACTAGAATACATGACTTGAAATGATACCAACACATAGAAATGATAAATACTCAAGGTGATGGATACCCAAATACCCTGACTTGATCATTACACATTCTATGCATTCTATTCTTTAGCAATTGTTGTCTCAGAGCTCCCTATTAGACTGGCCAAAGCTCACTCAGAGCTGCACTACTATCTGGGGATCGATTCTCCTTTCTCTCAGACCTGTATTGTCTGCACATGTTTCCCATCTACTCTTGCTCCTCTCCGTTTTATCTTTCATAGATATTGTGAACAAGATTTTCTTGTACCTTTAATTTTGTCTCGATGTCTGCTTCCAGGAGGATGCAAGTGACTCAAAGGGGTTCATAAGAGTAAGTGATAGAAGGGTCTAAGTGTGATTTTCTGACACTTTACAGAGCTAATTTTAATACCTTTCTTGTATAATGGACTCAAGAAAGTAATCCAAGGAGACCATCTATAAGCAATAGAACTTAAACTAAACATAAAAACAGCAAGCTAAGAGGGGATGCCATCAGAGATAAAGCATTTGCCACTGGACCATCTCCTGTTTCTTTCTCATCATCTCCTTCCAAAGGTGCTTCTTCAGGACCTAACCATTATCAGAACTACTGAAACTACTGTCACAAAAATCACAATCAGTTTGGAGGATGTTCCATACTAATTCCTGGGAGAAACAATGGTGTTTTGAGGGAGGAGACTGTTTTTCTTTTTTTTTTTTTTATTGTTTGATATTAGCATGCTTACTAGGATGTAAGCTCCACAGGACAATCATTTCTGTTTGTTTTTTTTCATTCCTGTATTATATGTGCCTACAATAATGCGTCATGTATAGAAAGTGCTCAGTGGATATTAGTTAAATGAATAGCTTTTGGTATGTGATTCTAGGAAGTGCAATTGAATTTGATTACTTAATACTCTAAATGAGGTACATTTTGAGTCTTAATCCACACACCTTTGTCCAGGAGACATGAGGGAATAGCACAATAAAATATACATTGGTAGACAAAGGGAAGAAATCTGGAACAGGTGAGGTTGAGACTAAGTTCTTTCCTTGGGTATGAGACTGATAAAGTGAGAGACAGCCAGAAATCAACATGAGGTTGTACATTAAAACACAGTGCATTTGTTTTTAATTTGATTTTGGAGCTGTTTTCAAGAAATTTCCTATACAAAAACTTTGAAAGATTTTTATCATGACATACACGATATTCCAGGATTTGATTCCTACCTTTCTTTTTTTTTTTTTTTTTGAGACGGAGTCTTGCTCTGTCGCCCAGGCCGGACTGCGGACTGCAGTGGCGCAATCTCGGCTCACTGCAAGCTCCGCTTCCCGGGTTCACGCCATTCTCCTGCCTCAGCCTCCCGAGTAGCTGGGACTACAGGCGCCCGCCACCGCGCCCGGCTAATTTTTTGTATTTTTAGTAGAGACGGGGTTTCACCTTGTTAGCCAGGATGGTCTCGATCTCCTGACCTCATGATCCACCCGCCTCGGCCTCCCAAAGTGCTGGGATTACAGGCGTGAGCCACCGCGCCCGGCCGATTCCTACCTTTCTATACAGTTATATCCCCCACCTTCTTCTTTGAACTTCACATTTAAATAATACAAACTATAATTATCTTCCCACAACTAGCTTATTTATGTCTATAGGCTTTTTAATTGCGCTTTTTGTTTTAAAGGCATTGTAAATATTATGTCAATCCAGTTAATAGAAATAATGAAATAAATCCAACTTACATACACGCAAACTTATATACATAATCCAATTACTATTTTATGTTAGCTCTTTGGAAATTTTGATATATTTTCTCATATAAACTGTGTTATTTATGATTTAATTGTGTTAAATAGCAAAATTGTCAAGGTGTTAGTCTTCACATTCTCCAGCTTTACTCCATGTCAATTATATTCAGTTTGTATCAGTCCCAGAACCTATTCTATAAAAATATGGGAGTATACAAACAAATCCTATGTCACAAATGGGGGATAAGAGATGTATGTATCAGAAAGTGGTGGGAAAATGGAAATCTAGTCCTTATATTAAGGCAAATGGACTAAACATTAGGTATTCTTGGAATTACTAAACCTTTCTCCCATATTTTACCTTATTCTTCAGACTGTAAAATTAGTATTTTAATTCCATATTAGATTTAAACTCTCAGATCACTTTTCTAGAGATTCTACTTATCTGCATAATTATTGTCAGTCTTCTTCAGCTGTGGTCTTGATATTGCCTTTAATCACGTTTTAGTGATGCATCAAAGCACATCTAGTGCCCTGAAGCCAAAATACACACATTGGGTATACTGTCAGTAGACAATAGGTTCTACGTCATACCACTTCAAGCACAGGAAATTGAGGCCCTGCTATGTAATAGAATTCTGAAGTCCAATAAATCCTATCTGCACTTAAAGATCTTATAGAATAATTGGCATAAAGATATAGATCGATTCAATCCTATTTATTCTCCAATTTTATATCCTTTATTTCAAATTTGTCTCCTTGTTAAGATTTATTCGCAATCCCCAAATCAATGGTCAAGGTGCGTTTATGGTAATTTGTAGGCAAGCACATAACTGAGGTTGAACAACCCTCTTAATACTGTAAACAGCAATCTCATATTGGAAACAACAGCTATTATACTGTCAACGCAACTGTACTTTTTGCAGTCTATTTCATGACACTTTTATTTCATGTTTGTGCCTTTGATTGGTGATCTCATTATTTAAAATGACCTCAAACATAATGTTGAGGTGCTGTCTAGTATTCTTAGCATGAGAAGGCTGTGATATACCTTACAGAGAAAATATGTGTATTAAATACCCTTTGTTCAGGCATGAGTTACTGTGCCGTTGCTGTGAACTCAATGTTAATGAGTCAATAATATGGTACATACAGAAAAAGGAAAAATTTGCCAATCCGTACATGAGGCTGCACCAGAAAGCCCTATGTAAAAGATGGAAAAGTGGCAAAATTTGTGGATTCATGAAATGAAAACTGATTTTAAAAAAAACAAAAAAGCATAGCGAACATTGTTGTGAGGCTGAAGACCAAAGTATATGGTCATTTTGCCCAGGGTCAAGAAAATGTTAAACCCCTCTTGGTTAGTGCTGACTGGCTCATATGTCTCAAAAGCCAATGCAGTGTGAAAAGTGTTGAATTTGCAGGCAAGGTAGATTCTGTTATGCAGGAAATAGGAAAGGTGGAAGAGCAGGTTTTCAACATGGATGAGCCTGGCTTGTTTGACAATGCTATGTTTTTTTAAAAGAAACTATGTAATACAAATGGAGAGTTGGTTGATGAAATGTGTGACCACAGGCTTGCAGGAATCTCACTGTATTTCTCCTTGGAGCAGTGGGTTCAGTACTTGTTTCAGTGTTCATGGCTATTTTATGAAACACAACTACTGTGAATAAAGTGAATTGGCTGTATACATTCCTTATACACACACACATATATACCCACACATTTATATACATATAGTAAGTATAGAATATAGGAATAAGGCAGGTGGAAATACATAGAGGAGAGTATATATTATTTGGAGCAAATGAAAGGGAAATTTAGCTTCTTTTATTAATTATTTTCAAACTATTAAACTAGCACTTAGTATGACCTACTGGCCTCATACAATTTACATGGTAATGTAGGGAGAAACACAATCACCTAATAAGCAAATAAAAACAAGGTGTTAACCAATAGCTATGTCTTTCAATGGAAGAACTAAAACAGTGTGATAATGACTAGAGCTATGTTATATATAACAGATATTACCAAAGGACTCTTGTAGGAGGTCATATTCCAGCCAAGATATAAAAATTTAGAAGCCAGCCATGTGAAAACTTACCATAAAAAAAAATTTTCCTATATGAGATTTGCATTTAATTTTGTGTAAATGCATATTGCCAATTTGGAAATGAATGTTTGAAGATAGAGTCAGTACATATTGAAATATGAACTGGTTTCTAAATATTTCAGCAAATACAAATATAAAGACACATTTATTATATCAACTAAATTGTGTCAATAAGATTAATTAAACAATCACATGATACAGAAAAGGAAATATATTTATTAAAATGTCTTTCCTGATACTGAAAAACTAGATATTAATCCTTTTAGAAACTTGTACATTTTCGGTTTGTAGTTGGGTAGAATCATTATAGAAACAGCTTTTCTAACACTGCTAGTGGTTCTGCTTCTAATTCAAGCCAGAAACAGGAAATAAAAAGACGTACAAAGAGGAAAGTAATGAATAAAGTTAACCAAACTTCGAAGCTTTCACATTTGATTTAGGTCAATCATGAATTTTAGATGGAAACTTGAATCACAATTCATGTAAATTAGGTCATCCATCCCTGGTGACATATGTATTTCAGAAATTAGCATTGACTTTCAAGTGATTGAAAATATTTCTTTGAAACTGTGGAAGAGTTTCAAATAATTAAATATCTAAGTTTTAAGAATGGGCCGGGCGCTGTGGCTCACCCCGGTAATCCCAGTACTTTGGGAGAACGAGGCGGGCAGATCACGAGGTCAGGAGATCCAGACCATCCTGGCTAACATGGTGAAATCCCGTCTCTACTAAAATACAAAAATTTAGCCGGGCGTGGCGGGGGGCACCTGTAGTCCCAGCTACTCAGGAGGCTGAGGCAGGAGAATGGTGTGAACCTGGGAGGCGGAGCTTGCAGTGAGCGGAGATCGCGCCACCTTACTCCAGCCTGGGTGACAAAGTGAGACTCCGTCTCAAAAAAAAAAAAAAAAAAAAAAAAAATTAAAAAGGAAAAAAAAATTATAAAATTGTAATCTATAATTTAAAAAAATCTGAATATATTCAGAAGTGTAATATCTTCATTGATTACATTAATTACTAGCATTCTAACATTTACTTTTATTACATATATCATATCATATCATCATATAATATCATAGTTATTAGTACCTTATTTTAGAGCAGGCTAAGGCATAAAGTAACCCAAAATTCTTCTTTGTCCATTCTTTATTTAAACATGGTCAAACTATGCTGATAATACATTATAAAGACACTTAAACGAGTGTACTCGTTTGGTAATAATCATGTTTCTATCCATGAGAGCCCCTCCTAGCTTTTCTCCCACCCTCACTAACTCTGGCCCAGGAGAGGAAAGATCATTTTCTTACTTGGTTAGATTTAGGAGATAAAACTGAGGCTAGCACCCCTTCCTTGCCTCACTGGTGAGGTCAAGTTCAGCTCTACACCATGAGCTATGTTTAGTAATGAGGTCTACAGTTGTCCAGTTCTGTCTCTGATTGGGTGTGAGAGCCTCTCCACTTCAAAGATGAAGCACCAAGAAGCCTATTTTACTTTATAAATACAACGATATCTCCCAAAACTAACATCTTGATCTTCATTTTTCCACTTCCTATGCCTTATTTTTCAAATAGTTCTGAAATCAGGATGAAAAGAACAGATATTATCTACTAACTTTTAAAATCCCCCAAAATATAAAATAATTTTAGAAAGAGAGAAATGTGATAGAGAGGAGAAGGCGTAGCATTTGGAGTCAGAGAGCCTCGAATTCAAATCTCAGCTGTGCTGCCTCTTGGGTAGCAATGCGGAAGTTACTTATCTTTTTAAAATCTCAGTTTTCCAAGTACAAAATGAAAATACTACTGGTTAACTTCAGAGGCTTTCGTAAGATTGAAAAATACTGAAGATACATTTTGCAAGACAAGACAGGTTCTGAAGGAATGCTCATTATCAATATTAATATATTAATATTATATTGATACTTTAAAAATACAGACTTAATTTAAAATGATGATATAGCTAAATATTTTTTAGTTGAGATGATTGTAATTGGTTTTCTCCACTGTTACAATCATAATTAATTAATTCTTATTAATGTCTACAGAAAAGCATCACTATTACATTAAGAAACATATAAATTAATAAAATCCACTTCAGTTTGTGAAATCGTTACAAAATCCAATTCATGTTAGATAGATTAAAATACTATGCATCAACTCAATCACTAAAAAACAAATAGCATCTTTCTAAATTTCTTGATACAAATTTTCACATTAAATTTTTTTTACCTCTCATCCTTTCTTCCATCCCCTATTCTTCTACCAGCACAACCAAATTACTAATATGTACAGTTATTTCTAATGATACCATTAGAAATGAGACAAACTGACCATAGGTCTTGAACAACAACAACAACAACAAAAAATGTACGAGGCTACAAAATACCTTCTCAAAGTAAATTCAGGATTTCAGAATTATTTTTCCCAACGGTTTCCCACCTTTCTACAAAACCGTGCATTTTACTACTCAGGAAGTAGTAAATAGTAAAAGAGGCTTTTCCTTCCTCTCTTGACTAGCAAATCAAAGCGTTTGAGATAAGGAGACTCAGGTGTTCATACCGAAACAAAATGAGACAGTACATTAAAAAAAAAAAAAGGCTCAAAAATCATTGCTCTAATCTAAAACTATACCAGTAAAACAGGTGGCTTAATAATGAAGTTTGTGGTGTGTGTGTCTGCAAACATCATAAAAATCCTATGTTAGATTTATATTTCACGAGTGCCTCCCAAACATTTTAACACTTTTGGTATCATAAATTTAATTCAAAAGAGTGCTCATTCTCCGACTGGTCTTTAGCCTCTTTCAACATTTCCCCAAATGTCCTGCTACCCCCAGAGGTGATTGATTTATTTTAAGTAGTAACTGTCTTAAAAAAGAAAACAAAACAAAAACAAAGAAAAACTGTCTCCAGCTGCTTTTAGAAGTTCCTCATTTTCTTATGTGCCAAGGTAGGAAAAGAACCACTTTACATTTCTGAGTTGTAAGGAAACTTGAATGGGCATGCGCAAATGACAAGCTTCATCCCTCATGCTTTTGGTTTTGCCTTTTCACTTAAGCACTCTTCTAGTTTTTATTTAGTTCTTTATCTCTCTAGGATCTTTCCTTAACACTTACAATCTAAATTTCTTCAAGCTTCCCTTTCGAATTCCAGGTAGTTTCTCTATTCTTACCTTTTAAAAATAATCCTCAGACAATAAGCAACTGTAACATAAACCATCTACTTTAAAAATTGCAAGATCACTAGGTTTAAATGAAGATGAGATTGTGTGAATATTATTGTAATATCTTTTCCCTGCCATCACATGTGTGGCTTTTTCCAATATGAAATGCATGTCCTTTTTCCAACAATTCTCCAACGCCAACTGGGTGCCCAACAATTCAGTTCTGATGCTTTGTGAAGTTAGTCCAGGCCTCACAGTTTAAGGGTTCATCCATAAAATCAGTCCCCACTTCACAGACCAGCCAAAAATGGGATATGATGCTACCCACACTTCTGATTGACTGACTCACATAACTCAGGAACATGTTTTGCTTACTCTTTCAGTTTATTATAAAGGATACAATGGAGAAACAGACAAATGGATGATACGCATAAGGCAAGGTATGTGGTAGGGCAGAGCTTCCTGGCCCTCTCCAGGTACACCACCGCCACTGTCCTTGCACCTTGATGTGTTCACAGACCCTGTCATTTAGGGTTTTATATATGGCCTTATTATATAGGCATACTTGATTCAATCATTGGCCACGGGTGATCTCAGTCAGTCTCCAGCCTCTGTCACCTCCTAAAAATCAAGAAGTGGGTCTGAGAGGTCCATTTTCTAATTACATTGTAGGTTCCTCAGTGACCAGGCCCCATGCTAAAGCTATCTAGGGTTTGCCAAGAATCACTTTATTAGCATAAACTCAAGCTGCAGTTGAAATCATCTAATTATTAATAATAAATGATGCTCCTATCATTCTAATCTCTCAGGAAACCTTAAGGGTTTTAGGGGCTCTGTGTCAGGAACCAAATAGGGGAAAAGGACCTATTTGGTTAATATAATAATATATATGATAATAAAAATAAAAATATACATATTATACCAAGGTGATAAAGACTAGCATTTATGCACCTTTTCCCTCCAAGTTCTCCTTCCTTAACTATTAGTGAGACCAATTTTAGCTGACGCTCTAATATTGAAGATGGATTAGATAACTGAAGAGTTACTTAGCTCCCCATTATCTTTTTCTTTTTAAGTTACGGTAATGATAGTTTGGCCTGTCTCCCAGATATTGAGAAAGAATAACGTTTTAAATTTGTTGACTTTGCTCTTTTCTTAGTAGCTGTCTATGTAAGGTCAATAAACAATTATAATTACAGTCAGCTTTCCATATCTGTGGGCTCTGCATCCTTAAATGCAACCAACTGGGGATTGAAAATATTGGGAGAAAAAAAACTGTATCTGTACTGAGGATGCACAAAGCTTTTTTTCTTGTTATTATTCCCTAAAAAATACAGCATAACAAATATTTACAGCATTTACAAAGCATGAGGTATTATAAATAATCTAAAGAAGATTTAACATATACAAGAGGATGTGCACAGGTTATATGCAAATACTACACCACTTTATTTCAGGAATTAAAGCATATATAGATTTTGGTATGGGGGAGGGCGGTCCCTGAAACCAGTCCAACAATGAATATCGAGAAACAACTGGACTAGGAAAAATAAAGTTGGGAAATTATCTGTATATTACCTGTGTATCAAGTTTGACAAACTATATTAGATTACTATATTACTTTTGTTTTCTGAATGTATGAGCGTTTTTATTTTTTTATTTTTATTTTTTGCAACCATACTCAAAGCAATTTTAGCAAAAAGCTATCTTTGGCTTTTGTTATATTCCACAAAGCAGTAAAACATAGACTTTAATATAGTAGATATTTCAAAAAATGTACATTGTATGCATTTACTATCATCTATGTGTGTGGCATTCCATATAATTTTGAAGGGAAGTTTTTGTGAATTTGTACTTGAGTAATGAATTAACTAATAAAAATAATTAAGAAAGGAAAGAAAAAAGGGTATGTGAATAAACATAAGCAATTTTCTAGTGCTTATTTTAAAAATAGATTATTTAAATATATTGGTTCTTCTATGCAGAAAAGGTGGACTAGGGAGGAGGTTAACAGCCACAGTATAAAATTGTGATTTTATTCCTAGCCTCACTAATATCTAGCTCTAAATCATATGGCAAGATGCATTTTGATCTTCCTTATGAGAAAGAAATATGGGTGATAAAAGATTATTTTTTTCAGTGCAAATGATAAACCTTCACAAGGATTTGCTACACATTATTAATCTCTCTCCCTAGGATGCAAACAAATGAATAAACAATAGAAGATTAATATGTAATAACACTGCAAGTAATTTTGTGTGATTGTGATTATGTAATAATGAAAATAAATTATATGAACATAAAATTTTTCATAAAAAATTGTTGTTTTTGTTTCATAAATACGTATTTATTTTCCTGATTTCTTACTGTGGTAGCCAGCCTCCAAGCTGGCCACTGATGATCTCTGTTTCTATGTATTGATGACTTTCAATAATGACCTCCCATATTGTCTCAAACCTGACTGTGTGGTCAATATTTTGAAAGTGATGGTGTGTGGCTTGCACAGAACAGTCATTAAAGGTATTGCAACGTTCACCCTGCTCTCTTGGATTGCTCATTCTGGAGGAAGCCCATAGCCATGCCATGAGAACACTTAGGTATTCCCATAGAAACGCACGTACATGGAGAGCTGCAGAAGTTTCCCACCAGCACTCAGCAATAATTTGCTGGTGATGTGAGAGAGCCACCTTGAAAAAAGATATTCTGGTCTCCGGAAGGACATTGAATGACTGAAGCTCCAGCTTATCTCTCTACGCAACCTCATTAAGACCCTGAGTCAGAAGCACCAGCCAACCTTCTCCTAAGTTTATAACCAACAGACACTGTAAAAACAATAAATAATAATTACTGTTTTAAGTCACTAAGTCTTGAGGTAATGTCTTATGTAGCAATAAAAAGTAATACATTCATTAATTTAAAATTTTCTTATTTTGACAATACAAATCTTAAGATAAATTTACTTTTGTAATTTTTTAAATCTTTACTTTCTATAAGAGTTTGACACCATAAAGATACCAAACTTGATAATTTATTTCCATGATTTACATTTTCAAAGACAGTAAACATGATCACTGCATAAATAAATATGACCTTTGTACATACATATTTGGACACATTCAACAGCACACAATACTACTATCTCTACTATGCATTCTATTCAACTGAATATTAAGACTCTCTATAATCACCAAATACCTCCATTTGCACCTGACTATTTAAATTAGTACAAAAACTCACTTATAATCACCTGTTTCTCCTATGTCTAAAGTTGACTTGAAAAATATTTGGTTTGGCTTAATTAGAATAGTATGGTCATATAAACTGTCTGATATTTTTATTTAATTATGTAACAAAAATATAATTGCACATAAATTTTTCTTTCTATTAATTATTCTCATAGTATTAATGATGTATGTACTAGTAAATATTTATTTGTCTATCAACACTTTAACATTTATTGATTGCTTTTTATGTAGTAGGACTATGATAAATACAGTCAATAAAATGTTGAGAAAAATACATTCTGTCCTTTTCTTAATAAAACTTATATTTTACCATAGTAATATAATGAAAAAACAATTACATAAATAAATACATAACCTCATAGAGACAAAAATATAATTCTCTTTTCAGCAAAGCAGAAGAATCAAAGGATTGTTTTCTACAGACGTTAACTAAGAATGAACAAGGCAAATGAGTAAAGGAAGCAGGTGAGTATTACAGTGTCCTTAGGACTAGAAGAGCAGGCAACAAGATATTAAAGGTAAAATGGTAGAGACTTGGTTATTAGTTTCAGATTGGTCTAATATTTAAAAGACATGAATGATACTATCAATAATAAATTGACTAAATTAAGTATAATAAAGTATTTTATCAAAAACAATAAAACAGAATGGTGTCAGACAATGCATAAAGAGACAAATTTTTCCTTCATTTGGAAAAATGTTACCAAAATATAATTAAAATAACTCTTGGAAAATTATAAAGTGGTATAATATGATAAATTTGTATATTATTTAGAATTCTTAGGTGGAAACAAAAGAATCAATTTTCACTTGTTTAAGCAGAAGAAGAATTTTTAAGGGCTATTAGGTAGATTGTATAATCTCCAGGAAGGTCAAAGTTATTATACCAGACCAAGAACAATGTAACCAGAACCATAACCAAATCACCAATCAGTAAGCCAACACACAAATTCATCCCACCTCATCTAGGCACAGGCACCAAAGCTCATGTCATAGAACCCTGAGGGCTAGATTTCAGTGGTAAAACATTTTCCATTGATACCTCTGGGACATTGATAACTCTCAACCAGGCCTCACTTTGAGTACCAGAAACAGAGTCCAAAAAATAGCTACTTCACATCAATGCTCTCTTTCTCATTAGGCTCATAAAGGTATCTCTGATTGTCAGAACCTAGGTCACATGCTTGTATTATAGGTACAAAGAGAGCTAAAACGTTGAATTTTATTTCCAACCATGTGGGATCCATATGGGAATTTCTTCAGATAAAAGGAGAGTATGTAAAAGATGCTACAACATATTAAAAATGCCCACTACAAATAGGTTAGAGGCAGAAAACAGATTTATATGAAGAAGGAAATATTTAAATTGGTTCTTGAAAAACTGAGGATATTGAAATACATAGATACAGAAGGAGAAATAACTCTGGGTAGATACCAGTTTCACCACACATTATATATGAATTCAACTTTATTTTAGTTTGTCCTTTTATTTATTTATTTATGTCTTGATTCCTAACAGTACTCCAGACATTGCTGTAGGGGAAATAAATAAAACAGTAAACATCAACCATAAGGGAGCTGAGAAATTATAAAATTAGCAAACAAATATGTGATAAAAACAGAAGATAAGTTCTATGAAAAAAATTGAGCTCTAAAATGGAAAGAGAGAGAGAAGTGGG
This sequence comes from Homo sapiens, assembly GCF_000001405.40. NCBI lineage: Eukaryota > Metazoa > Chordata > Mammalia > Primates > Hominidae > Homo > Homo sapiens. Next base: position 29,410,847 of record NC_000004.12, on the reverse strand, counting down.
AATGTCCACATTGTCATTAATGGTGGACAAAATTTTTGAAAGAACTCTCCTTTTGCAGAATAAATAGACCCTGGACAGCATTCACAGTTTGACATAACAGTCTCACAAGATGTAAGGAAAGTCGACATATAATTTCACACAATGAAAAAAAAGATTCATATGTTGGGATTGGAACAGTGGATCCTGGGAAATGGATATCTGAAATGATCAATGATCATGTCCATATAGCAGTTGCCAGCAGCGGTATTACAATCCAGATCCTGAAACTTGGTCTGTTTTGTATGTACGCCATGTTCATTAAACCCAGGAGTCTCAATTGAGCCAGGATCCTCAAGGAGGACTAATGTGATTCCTACCTCCGTGGGGCCCTTAGCTGCTGCAAGAAGTAGATGCAAATATTCTCTGGAAGAAGGTTTTCCCATTTAGGTCTGCAAGTCTCCCAAAGGAAGGATAAAGTGGTCAATCCACGTTCAAAGTACATTAAAAATCCTTTCACATTCAAAGTACATTTAAAGCAGATGAGAAAAACAAATTAATGTAAGGGACAATCATCAAGAAATTACCCCAACAAATTTAAACCTGAAAATATTAGAATAATTAGACAAGGGATGTCAAATAACTATGAATGAAATATATGAAAAATATTTAGGACACATGGAAAAATGTTTAAGCTTCAAAAGACTATCATACATGAGCAGGTAAATTTAAAAAAAAACTTTTTAAAAATAAAAAATGTATTATGATTTTTTTAATTAATCAAAAGGAAATACAACATATTAGATACAACCAACAAAATTAATTAAATGGAAGTTACTCCCAAATAATTAACCTATAATGAAGCACAGTAAAACATGAAGATGAAAATATAAGAATGTTATTGAAAGGTATTGAGGATAGATTGAATTAGATTGCCATCCAATTGGAGTTTCAGATGAAAAGACAATATTTTAAAAAGCAATAGCTATACATTTGGCAAAATTTATGACAAACGTGAATCTATAAAATAAAAAAGCAAAATGTGTCAAAAAGGATAGCAATAAATAAACACATGGCTGGATTAATTATAGCAAAACTGTAGAATACTAGAGACAAAGATAAGAGCTTAAAAGAAGCTAAAAAAGTTTTCTTTAAATGTCACATACAAAGAAATGGCTTTTAACTTGACAGCAGAGTTTTTGGTAGTAACAGTGGAAGACACATGCAGTGGAATAATATCCTCAAGGTTTGAGAGAAAATAATTCACAGCCCAGAGTTATGTATACAACAAATCACAAAAGAAGGTGAAGTAAACAAAAAATATATTGATGAAAAAATAGTTTAGTGGTAATATAGCTTACCGCCAAGATAACTAGACTTAAAAAAATTACAAAATGTGAACTGAGGAAGAAAGACATTGAACACAAACAAATAGTATAAGGTACAAAAGGAATGGTAAGGAAAATAAAAAGTATTAATTAAATGCGAATGGCCACCGACAGCAGCAATAACAATTATAATTATCTAACTTATGAATTTAAAAAAAAAGAACTAAAAATATTGGAAAAAATAACACATATGTTGAAAAGAAAGAATCATAATCTAAGTGTTTTGGGAAACCTCACAGTGTTCATAGGAATAGTTAAAATGTTATTTGAATTGTTAATGTAAATGTATATGGTGAACTTTTGAAAGTAACTTCCTGTAAAGATTGGCAAACATTTTCGGTAAATGTTTAGACTTTGACAGTCAGATCTCTTTCTTAGCTACTCAACTATGCCATTGTTACTTGAAAGCAGACAGACACAATATGTAAGCAAACAGATATGGTTATGCTTTAATAAAACTTGACTTACAAAAATATATATTAAGCCACATTTGCCTCCCTAGGAAATAGATTTTATATCTCTCCTCTAGAAAATAAAATAGACAAACCAATAAAGAGAGAATAAACAAGAAAGCATGAAATAAGAAAATTAAAATTATAATAGTAATAAGAGCTCCATCAATGCAACAGAAGGCACGAGCATTAAAAAACACAAGCACAGAAATGTAAGACTAATGGACATTATAAAGTAAGTTGGTGAAAGTAAGCCAATGTATTAATAAATGAAATTAAAACTTCTTAGTTAAAATACAGATAACAAAAAATAGGACGCAGAAAAACAACTATTTCCAGGAAGCATTTCTAAAGGAACATACTAGGAAATGTTGAAATTAGATTAATGGCATGAGGTTTCAGGGATGGGGGTGATTAGCTTGGTGCTTGCTGTTTTATATAAGGTTTTGGGAATTTTGAGTTAATGCTGGAATGAGTTAAGACTTGTGAGATTCTTACGAAGGCATGATTGTACTTTGAAATGTGAGAAGGACATGAGATTTGGGTAGCCAGAAGCAGAATGATATAGTTTGGATGTTTTTTCCTTTCCAAATCTCATGTTGAAATGTGATTCCCAATGTTGGAGGTGGGGCCTGGTGTGAGGTAATTTGATCATGGGGGTAGATCCTTCACGAATGCTTTAACACTATTCCCTTGGGAATAAATGAGTTCTCCTTCAGTTAGTTCATGCAAGATTTGGTTATTTAAAAGAGTCTGGGACTTCTCTCTTCTGTTTCTCTTGCTCCTGCTCTTACCTTGTGACCTGCTGGCTCCCTGTTGCCTTCTGCCATGACTGTAAGCTTCCTGAGGTCTCACCAGAAGTAGCTGCCAGAGTCATGCTTTCTGTAAAGCCTGTAGAACCATGAGCCAATTAAATCTTTTTCTTTCTCTCTCTCTTTTTTTTTTTTTTTTGTAAATTGCCCAGCTTCAGATATTTCTTTATAGCAATGCAAGAATGGCCTAATACACTAAGGCTGAGTAGGCACCACTTCATAGGCTTGTAGCTGGTCACTCTTTCCTTGGAGTCTGCCCAGAAGCACCAGCAACACCACCACTACCTTTGAGGAGCATCTTAATGATGCCCAGATCTAAGGTGTCCTTCATTGACATCTTGCCATCATCAAGCTGCTTAACTTATGCCATGGTGAGACCCTTGGTGTCAAGAAGCTTAATGCTTGGGATTGACATACAGAGGATACTGAAAGAGAGTTTCTCCTGCCACTTGGTCACCATCTCCTTAATGATAATGGTGAGGATCTTGATAATCTTCTCCATGGGGGCTTGCTCACCTGTGACTTCCAGGACAGTCCCTAATTGTACTTCTCCATGAAGTACAAACTGTTGTTATGCTCCAACACCATGACTCTAATATCCTGGAAGCTGCCAATGGGCACCTCATCTGTGGCTTTGGAAGGACTCATATGGTTAGATGTTGATGTAGAGATCCTTCTTTTGGGCCCAGATATTCTTCTCTGAGAGTGGCAGCAGGCTCAGCCCTGCCAGCTTTTCAGCTTGTCAGCTTACAATGTCAGTATCACTGCTGAAGCCAGCTGTGCATGACCTGCTCCTGTGTAGGTGTCATAGCACACATTGGCATTGTCCCTGGATACCAATTAACACATCTTGTTTTTTCATCCAGGTACCCCTTGGCACAAGTGATGTCCAGCGGCAAGGGATGGCTCTTTTTGGAGATACATGATGCCACCTGTGAATAGTTGTGTAGCCAGCAGTTTCAAGGCCTGGAGATGAGGCCCTTCTTGAGAGCCTGGAATGGCAAGACTTTCTGTCCAGAGTAGGGAACTCTGTAACCTATCACAGACTCCTCTGCTGAGAGTAGGTCTCATATATCTATGAATCTCTCAATCTGTTCTTCACTGCCTCATCTATGGTTATCCAAAAAATCATGGTTGTTATGTCTGGTGCTACCTGCACCTCCAGTGAATCCATGGATACCTCCAGCAGGTTTTTCTTTGGTCATGACAGATGCTAATTTATTGCCCTGTTGCCATCAGTCACACATTTTTGACCACAGCATGATGCATAACTGCATGAGCTATTCCTCACATAGAGGGCTAGTCCCACTATAGCTGCAGTAGATATCATCTTCATTGACCCTGGCAATGATTTCAAGCAGCTCAGTCACTGGCACAAAGGCATGCAGGCTCCCAAAACCAATTATGCTCACACTCTTTGATTGTAATGATGACATACATAATAGCTTTCAAACCAAGGGCTTATCTCACATCATGTTTCCATTGTGGTTGGCAATTTAGTAGTTGTAAAAAGGGAGAAGTAAAATAAATGGCAAAATGAAACAAACAAATATATTATTTTCCTCTTCTAGAAAGAGGCAAATACATATATTCTTTCAATCTCTTAGTAATAGTCTGTAATGGTTAATTTTTATATGCCAACTTGATTGGGCTAAGAGATATCCAAATTGCTTATAAAACTATTTCTGAATGCATCTGTGAAGGCGTTTTCATAAGAAATTACCATTTAAATAAGTATACTGTGTACAGCGTGTTATTGAGTATGCTCTCAATAATATGGATGGGCATCATCCAATTCACTGAGGGCACAGATAGAATGAAAAAGGCAGAGGGGGGATGAATTAGCCCTCTCTGCCTGAGCTGGCCAGTCTGCTTCTCCTGCCCTTGGCCACTGGAGCTTCTGGTTCTTGGGTCTTTGGACTGGGATTTAGGCCATTGGCACCCCTGGTCCTCAGGGCTTTACGTTTGGATTGGAATTGTACCACAAGCTTTCCTGGGCCTCCAGCTTGCATACATCAGATTGTGGGATTTTTCAGCCTATATAATCAAATATTCTAATTCTTCATAATGAATCTCTTTCTATATATCTATATGTATGTACGTATCTTTCTAGCTATCTAATCTAACCTATTGAAGACACATTCAAATAAGGTCTTTCAGTTTCTGAACTAATTATCTTCGATAAAGGCAAGGTATTGAAACAAAATAAAACAACAAAAGAATTCTCTTATTAGAATTAGAAATACTTTCTATTGTTTTTTCAAGACATTGTGTTTGTTCTAGCACGGGACCAAACATACTTTGAATTTGACGTCTGTATGAAAAGACCTGACAAAGATATAAAGAAGACAAAACAACCACAAAAAGACATATTTCAGTGATATAACATTTTTTATTAAAGTTTTACCAAAGTAATGAATTTCCCACAATCTCAAAAGACACTGAAAGGTTAGTTTTATTTTTTAACTGCATTTTCTTCACGACAAGAGTATTTATAATTTATAGCACTGATTTAATTTTGAAAATGGAAACTGACTTATGTGGAGTTTTATGCAACAAAGGGAGGTGGATTTTTAAGCTGAAAAATACATATTACAAAGATGAGAAAAATAAAACGTTCTACACTTTTAAAGTTTTTCAGAAAAGCAGAATCAATTATATTCTCTTCTAATCTAAGTAATATTTTTGTTGTGGAATCCCAAAAAATAATCTCCACAACTCAGTAAATGAAGGAGAGCAGCTCTCACATTCTTATATAAATGGAAACATTTAGGATGATAAAGGATACATAAATTGGATTACTTAAATCTGTGGCTTATTAACAAGTTCCTAGAGAAGTTCATGGCTTAGTCATCTGAAGAGCTCTTTTTATGTGAACCAAAATACTTCGTTTTTGAGAGACAGAATTTTTCTTTATATTTATATAACCAAATAAGGAAAACTATTATTTCATGTAAGTGAACGTTCTAGGAATAGATTTGTTATTCTATACAGGGCTGGTTCTAGCTGCATAAACGATTTCATGGAGATTAAGTGTTTCTCTGTGTGGATGTCTCTCTCTCTCTCTCTCTCTCTCTCTCTCTTCTCTCTTCTCTCTCTCCTCTCTTCTCTCTTCTCTTCTCTTCCTCTCTCTCTCTTTCTCTCTCTCTCTCTCTCTCTCTCTCTCTTCCTGTCTCTGCCCTGACCCCCCCACTTCTGGATTCTTTAAATTGGCTTGATTTTCAAGCATTCTCTCACTCTTTGGTGTGACAATGACTGGCAATGTCCACCTCCAACTAGCTTAATAAATCTGTAATTCAAAGAGTTCTAGTGAATATCTTGGGTTGTGTCTTTGGACCAACCAGGATCACTTGTCCAGTCCTGAGTTAACTGGATAGGACATGAAACACAAATTGTGATGGGTGGCATCTTGCATCATCCCTTAGAACCACAAGTGTGGCGTCAGTCCATCTTAAAACACACAAAGCTAGAATCTGGGGAGCTGTTCCCCAAACAAAAAATTTGTATGATGTTGCCAAGTATAAAGGAATGAATACTTGGAGAGAAAACAAAAAACAAAAAACATAAACAACTCTCTTGCTAACTGAACTTCCACTGTCTCTAGAGTAAGTATTACATATTGGAAAATATTTCTTAGTTTTTACACAAAATAAGTGCACTGATTGTAATCTAGCCTTTCTTTAGCAATGTATGTGTATGAATGTGTGTGTGTGTGTGTGTGTGTGTGTCATCCTAGACCTTTCTGGAGACATTCGTTAATTGAAAAAGTTATTAAATGATGGAACTTTAAGGGTTAATAAAACTGTCCACTGGAAAAAACGAGTGGGAATAAATGAAATCCTATCTCTATTTATCCTCACCTTGGCCTGCTTATGTTTGAGATCATTGTCATGATCACGCCACCATTATTAGAGTGATTCGAGTTCTAGATAGCCTGTCTAAACCAGTAGCCCAGCGAAGTACTTTGTAAGGAATTTGAAACATAAAAAGCTCAAGAAGGGAGCAACGTAATACAAAGCAATCTGAAAGCAACGCTTAGCAATTAATATATGGTAATTCCTCTCTATAATTTTTTTTGGTATTTTCTTTGAAAATTATATTTTTCAAAATAGTTTATTTCAAAAAATGCCCTCACAATACTTCACACACATTCAAATGGTGTTCTCATTTGTCTGCTTTCCTTAAGGGTAGTAGTAGATGTGTGGATAATGTTGCAAATAGAGAACAGAAACAGGAAACAGTAAAGATATATGTTTTTATCTACCAAAAAAGCATTGATATTCTTAGCATCCTCTGACTTTCTGTCCAAAATTAATCTCCCTTTCACACCTCAAAATGTCAGCACTGTCTGTTTTAAGAGCTGATGCTACACTTTAAAAAATATTTATTTTATCGTTGTTTTTTAGCTCTTTCAGGCACTATAGGAAAGAGAATGTATTTAGGTCTTTCAGAAGAAAACATTATTTTGATACATGCTTCCTGTCTTTTTATGTCTGGCATTTGATATGTAATATAAAATAAAAATTGTCTAAGTTTAAATTTATTTTATTGATTAATTTGTATTCTTTTTTTAAAAAACACAGAAAGCATCTGTTTTTACTCAGATTGGCTACATTGCCCCTAAGTCTTCAAATGCCTCCTATAGACTTAAATAAGATCAGACAATGGGGAAAATAGATATCCACAATGAAACCTAAAGACTAGCTAGAGTGAGACTGACCTATGAAATATTCAGCAAAGTAAAACTCTGTTCCAAGTCTATCTGCTTAGAAATCATCTCTTCAAACTGTCAGAAGTCTTCAGAAGAACTTTACTGTATATAACTACTGGTAAAATAAAAACTTCTGAAGAATTAAATTTAACAGAGTTTAATGGAGCAAAGAACAATTCACAAATCAAAATAGCACCCAGAACTGGGATAAGTTCAGAGCAACCCCAGATCCCATGGCTGCCAAATGGTCAGATAATATTTACGGACAGTAAAAGAAAAGTGACGTAAGGAAAATGGAAGCGAGGTACTGAAACAGCTGAATTCATTACTGCTCAGTGTTTGAGTTATTTCAACATATTTTAAACAGTTGCCGACCTGTGATTGTCCAAAACTCTGTGATTGGTACAAGAGTAGTGTACAGTCTGTTTCCACATCCAGTTAGGTAACAGTTCATTATGTATGCAGAAACACTTAGGCAAAATTAAAGTATGTAAGAAGGCAGCTTTGGGCTAAACTTAATTACACACTATGAAAAGTCAATATAAAAATGATATACTCAAGACTTTCAGTGTTTATTACATAATATGTATAAAAAACAGAACACAAAACATTAGTGATGTCATATGTAATACGACTTACTTCAACAATAGTTTGTTGGGAACAGTGTCATGTATTTCTATACAAGTTAGAGCTAAGTACCAACCTAGGGAATGTTAGCTAAGATTTGAAGTACTCAAATAAGGAATTCATATTCTAAGCGTGTTTCATTTGTATTTGAAAGATTAATCAGGAATTTATACTCCAAAGGTTATAGAAAAAGGCCTATATAACTTCATCGAACTCTGCATAGAGGAATCAGTACTTAGTATGAGTAACGTTAAACATAATTTTTTGTGGGCAAAGTAAATTCAGCAAAGTAGTTGCTTAGAATATCTGCATGAATCCTGATATTCTTACAAAAAGTATGTAAGAATTCAGCAGATCCTGCAGTTTGGAATGTATGGAATTAATCTCTAGGTCAAGATTCCTGGTTGGTCTTGTGTCTACCACTCTCTAGGCATTAGTGTAGGATTCTGTTGTCTGATCCCAACAGATATTTGCCTAACCTGCCATCATATTGTGGTTCTGCCTGACTCAAACTGACCCATTCCTTATAAGAGACTTGTCAAGATGTCTGATGACAGAGGAGGGCAGTTTAGGAAAACAGGTTATCTGATGGATTTGTGCTTCTTTTCTAGGCTCTGTACTTCTTTGTTAGACTTTGTGTGTCTTTGCTTCTTTCATATATGTATTGGTATCAATTTGAGCTTACTTCCACTTAAACCTATCACCTGGTTAAGAGCAGACATAATCCCATTTATATCTAATTGTAGGAAGTGACAATATTTAACCATAGAACCAGACACTTGTTTGAAGCACCACTTTTTTTTAGATATTCACAATAATATTATGTGTAGGTTTGAGTATTTGAAAGTTACCTATATTGAAAGTATCAGGCAAGTACTTTGTTTATAGCATCTCACGTAATCTTTATGACAAATAAAATTCAGTAACAAGTATTATCTTGTGAAAGACAAGATGCACTAGAAAATGGAGATAATTAAATCCAGGCAACTATGATAAGAAGAATATTTATTATTGAGGGGAAAATCGTATGGTTTTATAGAGACAGGTAAGCAAAGGAGGAATCCTGAATTCTTATGGACTTCATTAGGAAGAAAGGAGAAGCATCTTCTTTGAGTCTTTGAGGAAAGGTGGAAGTGGGTTTTATCTCAGAGTAGGCACGTTGACCACAACAGCTTCATAGTCCCCCAAGAATAACAAAAATTTAAAAAGATTTCTCACTGAACATAGGCTACTGACCTTCCTTTTCTTAGGGTATTTATTTTAGAAAACTTTTAGTTGTGGATTCTTTTTCTGTGTCTTTGACATGTAAGTCTTCTTACAGCTTCTTACCAATTTACAATGCAGGCATGTCTTTCTCAAGGACTTGGAAGCCAACCCTTTGAACTGTAATTAGCAAGAAAGGTAGAGTCCCCATCTGTATCAATTAGGAAACAAAAGTGTCCTGATCACACTGATCATCCTTCCCTCTAATGTTCTCTAATACTTTTTCACAAGCTCACCCTGGCACTTAAAATCTCTCCTCTTTTGTTTCACTGAAGTCAAGTTCAATCTCTCTCCTCTATTGTAATAGTCTTTAATAAAGTCTTCCTTTACTGATTAACTTGCTATGGTATTATTTTTCTTTGACTAGGGCAGAGATGCTCCTTTAGAAAATAAATGGTGAATGGGATATTTTAACTGTCCAATTTGTTGCTTTCATGGAACCACATGATTCAGGTAAAATTCAGCTTTATCTGCCAAACTTTACAGAGAAGTATGAAATAAAAAAGAATCCAGGCTTATGAAAGGAGAGATTTACTTGAAAGAATTATATTAATAAAGGGAAAGATACTATTGTAATAGGGAGAAAATATATGCAGTACAATCTGAAAGTTAGACAGAAAAGAACTTTTGTTTTATAGAGAAGAGTAATAAGGCTAGAAAGAACTGGATATAAGAAAGGAGAATGAACAGGATGAATTGGTGAGTAAACCCTGAGGTCAGCCTATTCTAGCAAGGGGCCATTAAGGAGGGATTGTATTCTCACATAGGCTTAGGATGGGCCAAAGTTCAGAGCCTGGTGGAAGGAAAGAATCTTATCCAAAGATTGATATTAACAAAGCATTTCAATTTGATTTATCAATGAGAATAAAACAGTTCAGCTAATAAATATAAGCCTCTGTGTCTGGCCTTGTTATAGGTAAACAGGTGGAACATCTAAGTCACATGGAAAATGTTAGTGGTTTTTTTTTATTATTATTATTATACTTTAAGTTTTAGGGTACATGTGCACAATGTGCAGGTTAGTTACATATGTATGCATGTACCATGCTGGTGTGCTGCACCCATTAACTTGTCATTTAGCATTAGGTATATCTCCTAACGCAATCCCTTCCCCCTCCCCCCACCCCACAACAGTCCCCAGAGTGTGATGTTCCCCTTCCTGTGTCCATGTGTTCTCATTGTTCAATTCCCATCTATGAGGGAGAACATGCAGTGTTTGGTTTTTTGTCCTTGTGATAGTTTACTGAGAATGATGATTTCCAATTTCATCCATGTCCCTACAAAGGACATGAACTCATCATTTTTTATGGCTGCATAGTATTCCATGGTGTGTATATGCCACATTTTCTTAATCCAGTCTATCATTGTTGGACATTTGGTTGGTTCCAAGTCTTTGCTATTGTGAATAGTGCCGCAATAAATATACGTGTGCATGTGTCTTTATAGCAGCATGATTTATAATCCTTTGGGTATATACCCAGTAATGGGATGGCTGGGTCAAATGGTATTTCTAGTTCTAGATCCCTGAGGAATCGCCACACTGACTTCCACAATGGTTGAACTAGTTTACAGTCCCACCAACAGTGTAAAAGTGTTCCTGTTTCTCCACATCCTCTCCAGCACCTGTTGTTTCCTGACTTTTTAATGAGCACCATTCCAACTGGTGTGAGATGGTATGTCACCGTGGTTTTGATTTGCATGTCTCTGACGTCCAGTGATGATGAAAACTTTTTCATGTGTCTTTTGGCTGCATAAATGTCTTCTTTTGAGAAGTGTATCTTCATATCCTTCGCCCACTTGTTGATGGGGTTGTTTTTTTCTTGTAAATTTGTTTGAGTTCATTATAGAGTCTGGATATTAGCCCTTTGTCAATGAGTAGATTGCAAGCCTCATGGAAATCTACCTATATATTTTGGAAGAGAGTATACTTTCATTACTTTAAAATCCCTAGCATATCTTTATCCCTCAGCACTTATCAAAGTTTGCTACCTGTAATACTTTAATGTGCTTATTTTCTAAACTATTCTTTGAGTTGCTAAAGGAGAGAGACCATATCTTTTAAGACGAATGTTTGTCAATGCAAAGCACTTACTACATTCAAAACTTCAGTCTGGGTGTGGTGACTCATGCCTGTAATCCCAGCACTTTGGGAGGCTGAGGTGGGCAGATCACGAGGTCAGGAGATCTAGACCATCCTGGCTAACATGGTGAAATCCCGTCTCTACTAAAAATACAAAAATTAGCCGGGCGTGGTGGCAGATGCCTGTAGTTCCAGTTACTAGGGAGGCTGAGACAGGAGAATGGCGTGAACCTGGGAGGCGGAGCTTGGTGAGCTGAGTTCACGCCACTGCACTCCAGCCTGGGAGACAGTGCAAGACTCTGTTTCAAAAAAAAAAAAAAAAAACAATTCAACAGACTTCAGCAGTTAATTTTAATTTTTGTCTGAAGTCAGAAATCTTCGTTTTTGCCGCCTAGTAACGATGCAAAATCTTCAAGATTCTAATATGCCTAAACAAATTTTTCTACTTCTTTCTTTGATAATTACCTTCTCTTTGCTTCATTGAAAACAATGAAGCTATCTGATATCATCTTCTCCAATTTTACATATTTTTTAAATCTTTTAGAAACATCTAATTTACAATTATACTCTATTCTCTTATAAATTTTTACCTTTCTATTATCCTAAAAAGGTAAATAAAAAATAATGAATGCTCTGTTTATCTGTCTCCCACCCATATATAATCAAACCAATCTCACTTTTCATCAATAATTTCTGGAATGTAAGTGAATGAGGAAATAAGGGAGGGAGTATAGAAAGAGAAGAGAAGAACACTTAGTACCAGAAAACAGCAACATTTAAACCCTAAAAGAGAAGGAAAAGCCAAATAAAATTGTTTGTAAAGTGGATATAATTGCAACAGAAATATTGAGAAATTCAGGTTTAAAAAAATAAGAGCAACAGAGAGAAAGTAAAGATCACAACAATAATGTTTGTCAATCACTAAGCACTCCAAGTCAGGGCATCAGGCAGGCATTACGCTGAATATTTAACATACATTAATTCACACAGGTATCACCTGGACATTAACAATATAATTCACAAACACTGCCACATTTTTTTAGCTAGGGTTGTGGGAAATAGAAAAGTACAACACGCTGTTTTTGCTCCGCAGAGACCATAAAAATTTTAGAGATACACATAACAGTTCTGAAATACAGAAACAACTATGAACTTCACTCATTCATTGCTGCATTTCATTGAGGCAGATAGCAATTTCTATAGGATATTAGAGAATGAAGTATCCAGCCATTAGTGATTCCAAGAGAAATGAGACAAGAGATCTTAAAAGTTAGTGTGATTTCAAATGGTTAATTTTAGAGGAAATTCTAAGAAAATGTGAAACTTGAACATGACAAAAGCTGGAATGAGCAGGGTCTACCATATTTGAATTGGGTGTCAGTTCCTGCTAGCTGATGGATCTGGTTGAAAAGTGATAAATATGAATAGCTTGGGTGTGGCCAGACTGAAAATGCTAAAAATACACACAACATTTGCTCTTTTTGGAGGTGAGACAAAACTTAAGACTTGTGAACCTGTGTTTAGTCACACTAGAATTAACTTATCTTAATTAGGAACTGTGCCAAAATATGAGTCATAGATTTTCAATAAAATATGATTAGGAAATAACAAATGGAAAGAATACAGAACATATATATTTTTTTCAATTTATCACCAGAAAAAGGAACATTGAAAATATTTTTTTTTATTTAAGATATCAGAGTTTGATGCCTTTGTTACTTACCAGATGAGCACACTACATTTTTCATAAAATATAATGTAATCATAAATGATTTGAAGTTTTGGAACAAAATAGTAACTGCACACACCAATATGGAATTGCATTACATGTTATATAAAAAAGTATTGTCTTTGATATTCCCAACTTATATGAAATTTTTAAAAACTAGCAACAAAAATTGTTTTCAAACTTCTTTAGTCATATTTACCTACACTTATTTTAAAGGAACATAAAATTATTGGATGATTACTAATAATTTTAACAGTGAAATAATTAATTTTAAAGAACCAAACATAAGCAAGGTATCTAAAAATTTAATGTCAAAAATATGCTTACATTTAAATTATGTATAATTCTTTCAAGTAATTAAAAATTAGTTCTATATACTAATTAACTAAAATTGGACATGGAAAGCTGGAAAACATTAAGAGAATATATTATTGTTTTCTCAAAAATATTGCTTTTAATTAAATGAATTGTGAAACTGACAATGTCAATTTTAGTGCAGTTCACATATATTTTCTATAAATTGAAAGTACTATTTGTTTAAGAGGAAACATCACCTTTTTTGGGTGACAGGGAGAAGATATGGAGTAGGAGTGTAGACAAGACTATTTTATGTAAATATTAAGTGCCATTTTGTGTGATAAATTTATAGGTTTAATAATAATATATAGAATTTCGTTACATAAAGCGAGTTACAGGGAAGTTATTTAAATTGACCAATACAATATATCCAGTAGATGTAAAAACTGTGTAATACCATAATCTCTATGCTACACTGCTTCCTTAATGTAGCATTTTAAAAATAGCCATATTAGCAAATTGCACATTGAAAATTATATAAAATAGATCGTTTTTACAATTTCAGATGGACCATTTCTATATGCTTTAATGCAGAGTGGTTGGAGTCACAAATCAAGACTCTAGAAATCGTACTGAACTATCTCAGTGACTTCAAGATGTCATGAGTTTTTTTTTTATTATTTTTCATCAATAAAGACAAATACCTTGTATTTCAGTCTTCTTTTTTATCTGGTGTTTCATATTTCCTAGCAGATATAACCTTCAAACACCATGCTATATTCCCTAGACTTGCTTAAATTTACATTAATTCTTTGTCAACCAGCAGTATGGAACTTCGCTGAAATCCTACAACAGAATTTAAAAAATCTGTTACCTTCGAGATTTTTCTTAACCTCAGAGAAAATGTTGATTGTCTTTGTTATTTACAAGAAAAGAGAAAGAGTCGAAAGAGTTAAAGGGATGCTATGAGATAAGACTTGGCTTCAAATTAAGCCAAGGGATTTTGTGGGTGGATCCATCTGGGAGCCTGGATAATTAGAAATTGGGAGTAAAGATTTTTCTCTGGAAGTTTATAACAGACAAAACCCTGAAATGGCAGTAGTTATTTATCATTGACTGAGTACGCAGGAGAATTTGCACAATGCCTGCAACTACGGTCCACAGAAAACTTTTTTTTCAACTTCATAGAGCTAAATGTTTACAAACACTTTATAAATAAAAAGGTGAGGTCTATTTTCAATATGATTTCTCCACTCAGCATTTTTTTTCACATAAGGCCATTCAATCTGACATATGTCAGAGGCAATTAGCAGTCTCTGCTAACAGAATACCTGCCCTACTTAGCAGGCATTTCTTGTTCCTCATTAACCAAATTATGTTCAGGTCATACATCATACCTTTGACAATAATGCCACTTTCATGCTTAATTGGTTAAATAAATGTGTAATTATGGAATTAGGCTAAGGTACTACTGTAAATTCTTATAACCACGGCATTTGCCTGATATAGACTAGGATGTTATTTGATCTACTATAAGATATAAAACACTAAAACTTAATGTAGCATTTATTCAATGTCAATGAAGAGCCTTCCAGATGTTAATAACATTTTATATAAAAGTTAGAAAACTCTGCCAATTTTGTTCTGAATATTCTATTAAATGAAGACATAGTATTTTTGTAAGAAATATTATCACTAACATTGAGCACAGAAAAGTAAACTGGTAAATTTTTACTAAGTGGGGAGACTGTAAATTTGACATATGGCAATTAGTAGAATGTATATCTTGCTGTGGGATATTTACAGTAATGACTATATTCTCAGAAGATTTTAGATCATAGCAAATGTTGGCTCATTGAAAATTAAGAAAATCACGTTAGAGGAAGAGGAAGGATATTAATAGTTGTCTCAAAATTCTCTATAACTTTTTTTTCTTTCCAATTAGCACTTTTCTGATGAGTGCTAACAAAATGAGGCTTTGACATAAATTTTCAAAAAAGTACCTAAACCTCTCTAAGAGAGAAATAAATGACATATGGCAAAATTTTTCACATGGTAAACATTTAAACGTATTAGTTTTTAATGTAAAGTACTTTTTAAATATTAAGTAGCAATTCTGCTACATAATGGATATATCACTAATGACAAGATTTGGCTACATATATCTAAATACATACATACAAAACACTGTCTTAAACAAGGTTGAAGAGTATTTCCTTTCACTTGAAAGAAGCCAGGAGGTAAGTTGTCTAGAACTGGTGTAAAGTTTTATGATTACCAAAGAGATAGACATTATCTTTTCTTTTTCATCATTCTAGTTAGGGGTAGGAAAACGTAAGAAACTAGACAGAAAATATTTTAATATGCCCAAGACATATATTCTCCATCATAACCACTCAACTTTTCTTCTCACACAAAAAGTCAACTCTCCTTTACTGCACAAAAGTAGCATTAGGCAACAGGGAAAAAAAAATATATGACTGCAAACCCATACAAATAAAACTTTATACAAAAACAGGTGATTGACTGGATTTAGCTCTTGAGCTGTAGTTTACCGAGCCCTGTATTAGAGTGTAGCTTTTATCTTCAAGGTCAACTTATGATCTAAGATGGATGTTGAAGCTCTAGAGAGCATGTAGATGGTGAAAGTCAAAAAAAAAAAAAAAAAGCGCTAAAAAATAGGACACATGGGTTTTCTTCTCAGTTAAATTAGCTCCTTTTAAGTTGATTTTCTAGAGAATCAGACCCACATTTTTAATTACATCTTTGCATAATAAAGAATTTGGCTCGTCTTTATCCTGGTTCCTGAGAAGTAACCACTAAACCTTTGAAATAGAGAATTTGGCTGGTCTTTGCCCCTGGTTTCTGGAAACTCATCTCTAAATCTTTGGAATTTTTGAAGTGACAAGAAGTGTGGGCCCCTGGGAACAAACCTGATAGTTTATGTTAACAAGATGTCTGAGAAAGGGCCTCTCATTGTTGATGCTAATAAGATGACACAGATGAGGGTTGTCCATGAGACAAAGGCCAATCATGTGATTAGTAGGTTGAGGCTTTGATCCATGATATCAGCCCAAACTCCAGAGAGGAAAGAGGGCTGGAAATGGAATTCATCCACATGGACAATATTTAGATCAATAAGGCCTAAACAATGAAACCCCAATAAAAACTCTGGACACCGAGCATGGTTGAGCTTCTCTGGCAGTAGTCTGCATAATGTCACTCATTTTGTTGTATCTTTTGTAATAAAATTTTAACCATAAGTTTGGTGCTGACCTGAGTTCTATGAGTCATTCTAGCAATTATCTGAACCTGAGTGGATATTGAAAACCTCCAAATTTGTTCACAAGCTGGGCCCCTACATTAGTGTTTAGTATCTGAAGGTGAGACAAATATTGTGGAGAACTATGCTCTTAACCTCTGAGGTTTGGTCCAACTCTAGGCAGTTTTTGTCAGAAGTAATTGCAATCTTATTTACCAAAACTTAGTCGTTGGGTTAAATCTAGATTCAAGTAAAACTTTTAAACTCAGGCTTGCCATGCAATCACTAGATAAATGTTGCCTAAATGTCAATAATTATTAACTAAATATTCTGGACTCAAACTTGAAATTCTGGGCCACCTTCTTACAAAAGACTAACAGAACCAATCCCATCATGATTTACTTTTTGGTTTGCTTTAGTTACCACAGGAAGAGCAAGACTACACGGTTATCCTAAAACTCCCTGGTATTTAACTCTCTTCATAAGTCCGATGAAAAAATAGGAAATGGCTTATATTCCTATAACTATGCTTAAAAACCTACTTCTTTCTATACTTGCTTTCAATGTTGCTTTCTATTAAAAACAAGCTTTTGCTCTATCATAAAAAAGATTATCTTCTTAGTTTCTGGATCTCATTCCTTGTAAATTGCCAGAGAGTTTGTTTTGCAAATCTATGTATTCTCTTTATCACAGTAATAATCTTCTGGCAAACATCCCTTTTTATCTCTTATTAGACAAAATAAAACTAAATGAAAGCCTGAATTTTAAGCTTACATCTTGCTTCAATTACTGCCCAATTCCTCTGGTCCCCTACTTAGTATAACTTTCACCATATTCATTTGGATGTGATGCTTGTGTTTCATTCTTCCCACTTTTTATGTAGATTCCATTCCTACCAGTCTGTTCTTGTAATATTTTGTAAAGTAATAAGGTTATATTGTACCAAAAGCATACCCATTATATATGCTTTTTTTTTTTTTTAAGACAGGGTCTTTTTCTGTCACCCAGGCTGGAGTGCAGTGGCACAATTATGGCTTGCTGCAGCCTTGTACTCCTGGGTTCAAGCAATTCAGCCTCCTGAGTTGCTGGGACTACAGGTATGTGCCACAATGCTTGGGTAATTTTTTAAATGTTTTGTAAAGAAGGCAACTTGCTGTGTTGCCCAGGCTGGTCTTGTCTTGAACTCCTGGACTCAAGCAATTCTGCCTCGACCTGAAAAAGTATAAGCCACCATGCCCAGCCTACACATGTCTTCTTTTCCTCTAATTTCCCTGATTTTTCTTCTTAGTTCCCATTGCCATTGTCCCTTTTTTTTTTTTCACCTTATTCTGGGGATGCAAGAGAAACTCCAACAATTGGCTCTTAACATTTTCAATTATCTCTACACACATATTTTTATTAGAGAGTTTTTACCAAGTCTCTTGCTTTTAATACCAGTCCAGATGATCAACCAATTTCAGCTGTAACTCTAACATTTCTTCTGAATATTAACCTCATTTTATGGGATCTATCTGCCTTCTTTATTTTTAAATCTAAGAGATATCTCAATCTAGTTTTGCAGAATGTACAAAAACAGAGTTTGTAATAGCCCTGCAACCAAACCTTTTCCATTCCTGTGTTCATCTCAGGATTATCAGAATCATTTCCATGTCCTGTTGAAATAATATATAAAATGGTGAACATTTTCATTTCTCCCCATCTTGACTACCGCTACTTTAATCCAAGCTACTTTTGTCTCTTGCATGTGTAATAAAATAAACTCCTCTCTTTCATTTATTCAATCCTATTATCTCTTCTCTACAATTTTTCTTTTTAAAAGATAAATCATATCATACTGCTTGTTTGATTAAAATCCACTAATAGTTCTTCCAATTGCAGTTAGTATAAATCAATGTTCTTTTTTATGTCAGAGACAGGCCTGTATATCAGGTTCTTGCTTACATTTTCCTATCTTTTCATTTTCTTTTTACTCACCGTATTCAAGTCACAGTAGCTTTTCTATTATCTGAATATGTCAAACCATTTCAGTCTCAGAGCCTTTGCAGTTGACAGAGCTTCTGTGTAAAATATTCTCCAGGTTGTTCATGCCTGGATCCTTATCACCAACCCTGTCTCAGTTCAAATGTTAGAACCTCTCAGAGGCCTACCCTGCCCATTAATTTATTTAAAGTAGCAGGACCTGCCCGAATTACTTTGTAACACATCATTTTGTTGTATTTTCTCCTTAGTAGTTGTCACTAAATTTATTTGTTTTACTTTGTCTTCCTCTGCTAGAATGTATAAATATATATTAATATGTAGTCTATCAGAGTATATATATATAAAAAATATAAATATAAATATAAAATATATATAAAAATATAAATATATATATGCAGATTATATATATGTGCAGAATATATATGCAGATTATAAATATATGTGCAGAATATATATATATATATACACACACATATATATATGCAGATTCTGATTCCAGTAGGTCTATGGTTGGACCTGAAAATTTATATTTCTAACAATCTTCCAGGTAGAGTACATTAGTTAAGGAATTTGATGTCTCCCTTTAATTTTTTGTATATCTTCTCTTAAAAGGTCATTATAGTTTATCAGTCAGGATTTAGTTGCTGAACTGAATATAACTAGGTTAAGAAGTGGGTTAAAATTGCCTTGAAGACTCATTTTTCCTAATCATATAAACCTATTTAAGCTTCCAGGAATGACTTCTAGAAGCTTACCTCACACAAGCACGCCAAAGGAGTGTCCTGTACTACAAGATCATTATGTTACCTGTGGAAAATGGAAGTCACCACTACAGTGACTGGCTCCAGAGTCACTGAATTGGTATGATCTAAAAAATGGGAAAGTCACAATACAGCTTCTAGAAATAATGCTGTGTTCAATTTCTGGTAACGGGTGGCTCATGCCTTGCTTCTCTGCTGATTGCATTCTTTTCCAAATCAAGCCCTAAACAGTTAAATGAAAATAATATTCAAACTCCTACTTGCAAGCAAGTCATAAAATTTAGCTTTTAGTTTTATAAGTTACACAACACTAAAAGGCATAGCAGGAGATCAAAATGAGTAAGAGAGTTAATCCAACTTATTTGCCCCAAATAGCCCTGAGGCAGTGCTATTTGTGCTCAGCAGCCTAATATAGTTTTCGCTGAACTATGTCTCATGATTTTAATTTGTTATGCCTCCATTTTTTCCCTTCAGTTTACATATGACTCAAGTGAGACTAAAGATGGGTCTTAGAAGGGAAAAATAATAATTAAATGTAAAACAGAATGCCCACTCTGAGCACACCCCTTCCCACTAACAATCTAAGTTTGGTATTTCAGTCTTAGGGTGAATTACATCGTAGGAGGATTCCTTATTCTCTATGCAAATATCCATCTAGCTACCAAAATCCACAAGTTTGTCAACACAAATTTAAATAATGCTGCTGTAATGAATTAGGCAAATTGCGCAGTGTAGGAGTGGTCTCCACAAGACTGCCCTCATGTTACACAGCATCTGAAAGTTTTGGGTTTGCCCAAGGCCACCCTAATTTGTATCAACTGATTACAAAATCAGGCTTGTTCCTGTAGCTACCCTCAAGTTCAACATTTCACTAGAACAACTCAAGGAACTCAGAAAAACCTATATATATATAATAGCAGGTTTTGTTATTTTTTAATAACAAAAAGACACAATTTCATGCCAGCCAAAGAAAGAGATAGATAGGGTGAAGTCCGGGAAGTAAACTAAAAAGGGATCTATGTCCTCAGGGACACTTACCTGCTTCTCATCTTTTTGTGACTATGGCTGCCCAATGGGTTCTTCCTGTGCACTACACAAACAAAACCAACTCACAAAGACCATGGCATTGCAGTAAAGGAAGAGTTTATTTGAAATGAGGCTGGCCATGCCATGCAAGAGACAGAGTTATTACTCAAATCAATCTCCCCAAAGACTTGGAGGTTAGGGGTTTTTCCAAGATAGTTTGGTCGGCAGGGATTAGAATAGGGAGCGTGCTCATTGGTTGGGTTGGAGAAGAAATCATAGGGAATCAAAGCTGTCCTCTTGTGCTGTTCTCGAGTGGGGGCTACAAGACTGATTGGTGGGTCCAGATGGGCCCATCCAGTTGTTAGAAATGCACAAACCTGAAAAGACACCTCAAAAGGCCCATCATAGTTTCTCCAATAGTGATGTTACTGCAGGAGTAATTGGGAATGTTGCAAATCTTATGACTTCTGGAATAATGCCTGGTAATTATTTAGAATTCAAGCCACTTTCACCCCTCTAACTTGGTAGTATTTAATTAGTTTTACAATAACAGTTTAGTTTGGGGGAAGGGGTATTATTATTTAAACTACAAACCAAATTTCTCCCAAAGTTAGTTTGGCCCAAGCCCAGGAATGAGCAAAGACAGCCAGTCTGTGTAGCTAGAAGCAAGATGGAGTCAGTCATGTCAGGTTTCTCTTACTGTTATACTTTTGCAAAGGTGGTTTCATGACAATTTGCATGGAGTATTGCCAAACCAGGAAGCTCTTTTGAACTTTTATCTTCTTAGTTTTTATTGGGACTTCATTAGATAGGCACAGTTGATTGAATTATTGGCTATATGGGTGACCAAAATTAATTCCAACCTTTCAATCACATGCTTGGTTCTACTGACATAACTTTTTTTTTTTTTTTTTTTTCCGAGACGGAGTCTCCCTTTGTCGCCCAGGCTGCAGTGCAGTGGCACGATCTCGGCTCACTGCAAGCTCCGCCTCCCGGATTCACGCCATTCTCCTGCCTCAGCCTCCCGAGTAGCTGGGACTACAGGCGCCCGCCACTATGCCCGGCTAATTTTTTGTATTTTCAGTAGAGACAGGGTTTCACTGCGTTAGCCAGGATGGTCTCGATCTCCTGATCTCGTGATCCGCCCGCCTTGGCCTCCCAAAGTGCTGGGATTACAGGCATGACACAAATTTTATAGTTGAACTTTGCTAAGAGAGTAGTTCTCAAGTGTTCTCATGACAAAAAAAAAAGGTAACTGTATGAGGTGATGGACATATTACTGTACATATCCATTAAATCATTGCTTTGTGTACCTCAGATATATATAATTTTTATTTGTCAATGTAACTTCAAAAAAGCTGGAAAAGAAAATTATTAGGTGTGGTTGACAATGATTCTTTGCTTGGCCAAACTTTAGTCAGGCTCCTGAAACTTCTTCATCGTCATCTTGTACGTCCTTGTAAGATCCAGTTTTAACAACAAACTTTGCTAAATCAGTTCAGCAAGAACCTCTCACTTTTGATATTTGATCACTCTTGATAGTTGATTGGGTTCCTCATCTTCCACTATCCCATTATGATGTCTAATCACCCTGGTCTATCTTCAGCAAAAATTCTGTTAGGTGTGTTTAGCCAGAAGATTTTTTACTTCTGAAGTTTTCTCTTAGTAATTTTCCATCCACCAACACTCACCATGCTCTGTACATGTAATTTGCCACTTGCCTATCATGTATTTGGGGTTGAGCCTAATCTTTCTCACCCACTGCAAAATTGCATTGCCATGGTCCCTATCTAACCAGCTAGCCCTTTAAAAAAGGTCTTTTTTTTACCATGCTTTGACAAGCATCATTGAATACATTTTTTTCTATAACATGGTCTAAGAGTTCACCGTGAATAACAAAGACACATTTATAACTCGGGAAATTTGAAGGGTTTAGAAGTTACCTTCCAAGAATCAGGAATCAGGACAAAAAAATAAAAAATAAAAAGACCTCTCTTTGGGTAAAGTTAATTCTTTTCTTCACATTTACCTTTGCTGTGAAGCTCTTCCCGGCTTTCTTTTTTAAGCCATAGGGTGGAATTTATCATGCATTTCTCTGTGCTACTAAAGCATATTAAAGTATTCTCTTATTTTAGACAAATTCACACAGAACCAATACTTTAACAGCTTCGAGCTCATCTTTGTCTTCCCTACCAGAAGACAGACTTTTAGCAAGGAAGAGCCAGTTCATCTTGGTGTTCTCAGAATCTAAAATGGTAATTGGAACATAAAGAAATCATAATCTCTCTCTCTCTCTCTCTCTCTCTATGTATCTATCTATGTATGTATCTATGTATCTGTCTATCTATCTCTCCCCCCGGCCCCCCACACATCCCCCACTCTCTCCCTTTCTCTGGAGCACACATACATACAGGTTGGCACACACAAGTATATACCAAAAAAAAGCATGTAGGTTGGTACAAGTAATTTTATCACTCCTACATAAAATAAAACCCTAACGATAACGCCTTGTTAATAGACAACTATAGATAATGTCTTTATATATAAGAGGGACAATACGTTATTTGGCTGCTAACTATACCAAGAAAAAAAAGCATTCAAAGAACCACATATTTTTGGCCTAAAAATTGGTATTTTCCATCTTACTGAAGACGCTGTAAGTGACGAGGTACAGGTATAGAAAATGGGAGAAAGTATATGTATCCCGTGACCCACTGATGCCTGGAATATATAACCAACTCATACTGTGAGGGATGCCCTGATGCTTTCAAAACTGATATAACGTTCCTCCTCGAAACACCCTAAGCACAGTGCCTCCCTTTCAAAGCATAACTTGAGCAGGATAATCGACTTACTGGCAATGAGTTTTGATCTAAAAATTGAGGGAGCTCTTCTATAATTGTCTTTAATACAGTTGTAAAAAGGAAGGTAAAATCCTTCTTTCAAGAAAACTTGCAAAAGTATTAATGTAGTAAATAGCATATTTGATGCCTCTATTAAAGCTCTATGTTTAAATGGAAATTGACTATATAACCATGTTTTCACAGTCTGAGCTTTTTAACATTTGAGTACTAACACTGATGATAAGATTCTGCCTATTAAGTTTTATGGAAATAGAACAATTTCAGTTCAAACACTAGACTTTCTATAAATGGGAATTTAATTACAATAAGATTATGCCAACAGTTTTTATAGTTTTTGTGTCTATAGGAAAAACAGTCTCTACCTAATGTTACAAGAAAATTCAAATCTGAGTACCGATATCCATAGGCAAGCTAAAAATAGTCTGATGCTTTAATCATTATAGAATAATTAAGACTTACTGTAAAATTTAAAGATGGAACTCATTCATTATGATACATTTTAAATTCTGTGTCATGTTTTTTCTGCTTTCAGTCTCATATTATCTAAATATAAATAATTTTAAGTGAAATAGGTAAGAGTAACTCAAAGGATGGAATTCTGTAACCCCAAAATTCATATGTTGAAGCCCTAATTCTCAATATAACTGTTTTTAGAGATGTATCTTTTGGGAGGTAATTAAATAAGGTCAAGAGGGTAGAGTACTAAACCTATAGAATTGGAGGCCTTATCAGAAGAACACAAGGTCTCTCTCTGTTCACATACATGTACCAAGAAAATGTGTGTGAGGACGCAGCAATGAGGCAACCACCTACAAGTCAGAAAGAGAACCCTCACCAGACATGGAACTGGTGAGCACCCCAGGACTTCCCAGGCTCCAAAACTATGAGAAATATGACTGTTGTTTAAGTCACCCAGCCTATCATATTTTGTTATGGAAGCATGAGCTAAGACAGTCATAAATATTTTCAAATGTATGTAACACAGAAAAAGAAATATAAGCATATTACAGACACGTTTGTTACATTAGTAAACATATTTTTTAATGATTCATTCATTCATTTATTGTTTCATTATTAATTTGGGTTTAGTTCTGGCCTGGGGTTATGAGAATTAATCAAAGGTAAGAGCACATAATGTTGGTCTTTGATTCGCAGTAACAAGGGGTCTTTAGGAAAATTGTAACGTGACTAATAACTGAAATGAGCCTTTTCATTGCCAAGCAGTCATGTTTTAAAGAAGCAGAAAATGTGAAGAAGTTCTATGGGAGAACATATTATCTCATTTAATTATTACAAATAGCCTCATAAAGGTAGAATAGTCTATTCCAGTACAGGCTTGGGACTGCTTCTATTTATAAATGTGTGGCCTGGAGTGAGTTACTCAACCTTCATTTACCTCGGGTTTCTCATCTGTGAAATGATAATGTTAACCTACTGTCTGTATATCCCTACTTTACAGAAATTAAAAGAAATTCAGTGTGCCAGCTACTTTGTGGCAGAGCACAGATTCATCATCAAACTCTTTTGAATTCAAGCCTATAAATTTCCATTAAAATAATTACTAGACCTTCTAGTTAGATGATACATATATTTTTCTTTCTAAAGCCTCAACTTTAAAAAATCAGGCCTAGAAAGGACAACTCATACACCCATAACCATTCATATGTATTTGAGCAGGCTAATTTGGAAGCTTTATTTCATTTATTTATTTATTTTTGAGACAGAATCTTGCTCTGTTGCACAGACTGGAAGGCAGCGGTGTGATCTCGGCTCACTGCACCCTCCGCCTTCCAGGCTCAAGTTAAGTTATTCTCTTGCCTTAGCCACCCGAGTAGCTGAGACTGCAGGCATGAGCCTCCACGCCAGGCTAATTTTTGTAGTTTTAGTAGAATCAGGGTTTCGCCATGTTGGCCAGGTTCGTCTCAAACTCTTGTCCTCAAGTGATCCGCCCGCCTCGGCCTCCTAAAGTGCTGGGATTACAGGCGCGAGACACCACGCCCAGTCTGGAAGTTTTATTTTTGAAATCATGACAAGTAGAAAATAATATCACTTGTATGCCTTTTGAGCAATGAGGAAGGATGTCTAGAATGTATATAGAGGCAACACAGAGGAAGATCTGGAGGACAGATTGGAAACACACTGATGTGGCAGAGTGAGAAGAAAGGAGAGAAAGGAAAAGATTAAAATCTCTGCTGCTTAAACTTGTGATGGAAATTTAAATGAGCTAGTAGGGGTTAATTGTTTAGAAAAATGTATGGCACATATCAGTGATAAGAATATTAATTTAAATGCTGAAAGTTTGAAAATAGAGGTCAAATTAGTTTTTACTATTTTTGTGGAAGAAAATGTTCAACTTATGAAAAGAGCATTATGGGTTGAATTGTAACCCCTAAAAATATATATAATATTCCTAAGCCCTAGTACCTCTGACTGTGACCTGAAAGTAGGATCTTTGCAGATTTAACTAAGTTAAATTAAGTCCTTAGCATGGGCCCTAATGGTACATGACTGGTGCCCTTATAACAGGGAAATTTGAACACAGAGATATAGGAGGAACAACACATGAAGACAGAGACAGAGATTGGAGTGTTAAATCTACATTCAAGGAATGCCAAGGATTGCTGGTTGCCACCAAAAGATACGGGAGAGAAATGGAACTGATTCTCCCCCAGAACCTTCATAAGAATTACATTTATTCATCCAACCTAAGTATTGCGTCAATGATGTTGGTTTTCTTGTGATTAAAAATCTACGTGGGGCCAAGAAGGCAACCAAAACAAATGGTTCATTACAACCTGTAAGTAGATGCAAAAACATTCATACCATGATATCTTTTCATAAAGCAAAGGATATTGAAGAGTCATAAAATTTCCTGTCAGGGTACTGAAAATCATCTAGTCCAGTTTCCTAATTATACATGTCAGAAGCTGAAGCCCTGTGACATAGAGCAAGTGCCATGGTCTCAAAGCTAGTCAGTGTCAAAACTGGGACTATCACCAGGCTTTACTGATGTCAAACTGAGACTCTGGTCCCTAACACAGACAATACCATCACCACCATTGTTGATAGCAGTGAGGCAGCCACTCCAATGCCTTCTTTGTCTTGCCAGACTAAAATTGCCAAATGTAGGTCTTTAGTCTGATACTAGACAGGCTGCAGTCATCACCCCAGAGAAGGTGATGTGAAAACTTTGATTCTAATTCAGTGAGTCTATAAAGCCATGTTTGCAAACCACTCCAGAAAAAGCTTCAGAATTATCCTGAGTACGAAAGCTCATGCCAGTCAAAGATCTTATTATGAGGAGAATCTTCCTCATGGCTGAACTATACATTTTAGGTACTGAAAGAGAGTAGACTCTAATAACCCATCAGCTGATAGAATTTCATCCAATGCAGAAGACAGAATGTTAGTAATGTTTCTTGGAAGTTTCCTTCTGACAAATTATGATGACAGAAATAAAGGTAGAAAACAATAACACTGGCCCTGCTAAGCTATTGAGGAAAGAATAATATCCAGCTTTCTTTAAAATGGTATTCTGGGGACCAGGCACAGTGGCTCACGCCTGTAATCCCAGCACTTTGGGAGGCCGAGGCGGGTGGATCACCTGAGGTCAAGAGTTCAAGACCAGCCTGGCCAACATGGTGAAACCCTGTCTCTACTAGAAATACAAAAATTAGCTGGGCAAGGTAGCACCTCCCTGTAATCCCAGCTACTCAGGAGGCTGAGGCAGGAGAATTGCTTGAACCCCGGGGGGCAGAGGTTGCAGTGAGCTGAGATCGCACCACTGTACTCCAGCCTGGGCAACAAAGTGAGACTTGTCTCAAAAAAAAAATGGTATCCTGGGTTCTTTTTACCACTGACTTATTTATTATATGTTTTACAGAAACGAGATGATATATGCTATCATATATAAGAGAGGCCTCTACAAATGTCAAGATAAATATTTTAAACATAAAATACATGAAGACCAATCCAAAATCAAAGGAACTAAAATTAAAACCCTATTAAATATAGGAATACTTAGTTCAAAATATTATGTGTATGTAAAACTCAATGGTGAACAGACTATGTCATGTCACATGAGATCACATCATTTCTATGGAAGTAAAGGCAGTTTGAGTAATTTTGCATTAATAGAAAGCCCTTGAATATATACTCATATTTTTAAGGAGATTGATCTTTTCTAGTAGATAGGATTATAATGTGGCATTATGGGATATTTAAAAATATGATTGTAAATTTTTATTTTTTTAACAAGACTTCTACCAAAAGATTTATACTTCTGGCATGTTGCCTCGAGAAAAGTTTTCTGAGTAGCACCCAAACATTGTCTGGAAGTTATATTATTTGGAAATACTACCACAATTAATATCAAGAATATGGTGACTTCTGTTAAAATATAAAGTTTTGCGCATAAAGCAAAACTTGGCAAGTATGAATCATTTTGCTGGTATTGCAAAAAGTTGTAATAAATCATTTTGCACTGGTATAGTATGCTCATTTTCACCCTAAGTAACAAACAGCCTCCACCTGCAAAACTTCTTCCAATGAATTACACCTGAGTGCTCATTAGTACAGTAAAGTCCCCAAAGGAAAATCAGACAAGCAGACTTTCAGCCTTGTGAATCAGAATATACCTGAGGGGAGTAAGATGAACGAGGTGCCTTCACTTTTGGTCTTATTAAACGATAGACATGGAACCAAGTAAGAAGGAAAAACGCATAAACTTTTCTCCCCACAAGTTAAGAAATAAAATGGATCATGATTTTAGCACTGGAAAAGCAAAAACAAAAACAAAACCCAAAAACAGTAATAAAGCTGTTTGGCTAGAAGTACTTTTCAAAAAAGTGGATAGGGATTTGAAAGTCACAGATTTAATAAATGGCTTAAGGAACTTTTGTGCTGATTGCAGTTTTTATGTCCTGAATATGTTGGCCTGGTTAAAAAAAAAAAAAAAAAAAAAGTAGTGCTTCTTTTTACTTTTTTATTTGATATTAGGAATCTACATATCTTGACCACATTATAGAGAAAATGCACTGCCTTGCTTTATTCAGGAATAACAAAATTATCCAGAATAAATTATGTACCCAGCAATGACTGAGGAACACGATTTTGTTGTGTTTAGTAAGCTTATATCAGGTTATCTGGAGAACAAAAATTACTCCTTGAAGAATTTATAAACATTGGAGAAATGATGATAGAAAATTAAGAGCAGATGAGATCACAATTGTATTCACTCTCAAATACGATTAGCTACACAGAATAAAAATTATATGTAATATATATATAAATCAAGTAAATATATTATTCGATTGGACTTTTACAGTTACACAATTGCAAATAAGCATACATGCACATGCATGCACACACACATATACACATAAAAGTGGAAGGCACAGAAGTTAAAAAAGTCAGGCTTATTTATTACAAAACAGTTTTCATTCACAATAAAGTGAAAAGTGATATAAAATTCCTAATTATATTTTGGATTTTTAATGCAAACTATGTTATCATTTTACCATTTCACACATGGTCTTGAATGTGATTCTTTTTCTTTATATTTGAATACATAGTTGATAGACTAAGCTCAGTCAGAATCTTAAATTTAGGATTTGAGTTTTCACAGGTTTATCATGCCTAGTAATTTCTATCTTTAAGTTACAATATATGTAGGGGTACCATTTTTAGAAACAGAAGAAACACTGATAAAAAGAGGCATAGAGAATTAGGAGACATTTTGTCTGTTTATATAAGAAATTTGAAGTAGGGCACATCCAATACTTGTTTTAAAAAATTTCAGAGCTCAGTAAAGTTATGGCTCTCTGTGGGCCCACGTGTGATTTTCTTGGAACCTCTCTGAGTCAAGATGGCTGCAGCAGTTGCATCCAATATTTCCTTTTAGAAAAGAATGTCCAAAGTCGAACTAAAAAGAAGTGCCCGCACCTTATGTCCATTTCTTAAGAAGAATGTGAACTGTCCCATATGTTCTTCAGAAGACTTCTTATCACAATTCAAGGATGCACCTGAGTCACATGACTATGCCCAAACTATTATTTTTCATAGAGGACACTATAACTGGCTTCTATCAAACAGGAGTCACACTCAGCTACATGTCCCACTTCTTCTGAAAAACATGGCTTTCTGTCCTGAGAAAAGTCAGTGAGCCTGTAATACTTAGATCTATGAGTGCTGGCATTGTTATGTTCGTTTTTCAATGAAATTTTTATGGGGTAACAAAGGCAAAATATAATAAAAATTCAAGTAATTTCACAAATAAACATGAGGCAAGAAAGTAACCCTGTGAAATCAAAATGTTGTCAGGCAGATAACATCACCTGATCATCATGTGAGGTTTTGTAGACTGATGCATGTAGGTTTGAGTTTCATTTACTGCAGACAGTGAGTGGAAGGTAAAGTTAAAAAGTGCATGTTGCAGAAAATTTAATTGGAAAGAAATCTACTATAATGGCAGTCACTTTATACTGAAGTTTTCTGTTATATTATTATAATACACTCAAAATGAAAATAGTGTTGAGGTCAGATGTTCAACCCTTGGTGTTTTTATTATCTGAAGGAAATTTCTATGAGCAAATATAGTATTAAAGTCCAGAGGAATATATAAATGCTACATCTATTCCTGCAGCCTTCAAGTTTGTTCTCCACCCATAGTCTTTTATTCACCAAAAATATATTAATTGATCACTAGGGGTGAGACTACAGATGTGGCCCTTGCCTTTCTAGTTCTTATGGTCTGTCAAGAGAGACAGACAAGTATACCATCAGAATAAAATAAATTATGAGGACAGCTACCATAGGAAATATAGAACACATATGTGTGTGAACACATGATGGAGGCTGCTTATCTAGTCTGTGAGATGTCAGGGAAGGTTTCACAGAGGAAACCTGAAGTTTCATTGAAATCTGAAGACTGAGTTGCCAGTTGAATGGTGAAGCATGAAGAACATTCCAGCACAGAGAATAGCATAAGCCATGTTCTGGATGCATAAAAGAACATTGCTGTTTCTAATAAAAATGTAATATGATGAGAGAGTAAGGTTTTGAAGTGGAGATGTGAAATTATGTCTCAAGGTATCATTTGCACTCAGATACCCAAGGTGTTTGTAGAGCTCCTTAAGTAATTTGTACTTCATCATAAGGACAATGGGACATCATGTTGTGGTTTTAATTAAGGGAATGGAATAAGCAAATTTGTATTATAGAAATATTCCTCTGACTGTATGGAGTCAGGTTTGGGGTGTACAATACTGGAAGCCAAGTTGGGAGGCCACTTAAGGTAAGACTTAATAGTGGTCTGAAGAAAACTTTGGCATGGTGTTTTGGAAGTGAATATATTGGAGAAAATGTTTGGTGCCATCATCTAAAAATTTAGAGGCTATAGAGACACAGTGGGTGAGAAAAAATGAATTCAAATCTGACTCTGAGGTTCCTGGCTTGGGTTACTGTTTGGATATTGGTGTTAATTACTGAGATATGGAATTCAGAAGAAGAATGTTGCTATGCATAACTCATTCCCTTTTTAGCATGTTAATTTTTGTGGTGCTTTAGTGATTTCAAAAAGCAGATTTTCTTAACTTGCTGGATGTAAGCATCCAGAGCCCAAGAGAGAGAGCAGGTCTAAAGATTCATTTGTAAATCATCTGGTATGGATATAATCTGAAATTAAAGGATTATGATATTGTCCAGGGAAAACATGTGGTGTAAGTAAGGAGAGAAGAGGAGAGATGAGAAAGGGCACAAAATAAAACTCTAGGGAACACCAAGCATTCATCTACTGAAACAGAAAAAAAGACCTTGCCCATTATCTTAGTCTCCTATTGCTACTATAAAAATGCTATCACAAACCTAGTGGCATAAAACAACAATAATTTATTCTCTTACAGTTCTGAAGGCAAAAGTCAGTGTTTTGTACCAAAATAAATGTTTCAGATGGGTCGAGCTCCCTCTGAAGGCTCTGGGGGGGATTCCATTCCGTGTCTCCTGGAGTTTCTGGTAGCTAGCATCCCTTGACCTGTGGCTGCATCACTCTAATCTCTGCTTTCCTGATCACATGGCCTTTTATTCTTCTGTATAGTCAAACCTCCCTTTGCTTTCCCTTTGTGAAGGATAAATGTGATTGTATTTAGTGCCCATCCAGATAATCCAGTATAATGTTCCAATTTAAAATCCTTAACTTCATCACATCTTCAAATTCTTTGTTGTTATACAAATTAGCATTCACGTGTCCAGGATTTAGGATGTGGATTAATTTGGGGAGCTATTATTCAGCCTACCGTACCTACTAAGAGGAAAAGAACACTTTATCTGCCCACGTGAAGCTCATAAAATGTATTAAGACAAGAATAAAATAAATTCACAACAAATAGTGTTAAAGGCCATTCAAGTTACGCCAAATAAGTTAGTTCTATAGAAGTTCAAAGATGTAGGAGCCGTATTTGACCTGAGATTTCTGGAAACAGCCCTCCATGAAAAAAGGCAAAAGAGAATATTATAAGAAATTATATTATACAAAATAAAGGGAATTAGTGTTTTTAAAGGTGATATTTGTAGCACCAAATGAGAATTTCACATAAAAGTGTGAAAATGTGTTTCAACTAAACATTTCCTGTGGCCTTGAAGACAGATTTTCTCCCTCAAATTATCTTTGTCTGCCTTTCCAGGATATGAAGCAAACAGAAAATTTTAGTTCGTAGAAAATACAACAAATAACTTTCTGCAAATCTATCTTTCTGTCTTTACAGAGTTTTTAAAATTTATTTTAAAAAAATGTAAAATAAATTTAAAATTGTGGTTTTAAATGTGGTTTTTAAAAATTATTTTACTTTAAGTTCTGGGATACACGTGCTTAACGTACAGGTTTATTACACAGGTATACATGTGCCGTGGTGGTTTGCTGCACCTATCAACCCATCATCTAGGTTTTAAGCCCCACAGGCATTAGGTATTTGTCCTAACGCTCTCCCGCCCCTTTCCCCACCACCCCCTGACAGGCCTTGGTGTGTGATGTTCCCCTCCCTGTGTCTATGTGTTCTCATTGTTCATCTCCCACTTATGAGTGAGAACATGCAGTGTTTGGTTTTCTATTCCTGTGTTAGTTTGCTGAGAATGATGGTTTCCAGCACCATCTATGTCCCTGCAAAGGACATGAACTCATTCTTTTTCATGGCTGCATAGTATTCCATGGTGTATATGTGCCACATTTTCTTTATCCAGTCTATCATTGATGGGCATTTGGGTTGGTTCCAAGCTTTTTCTATTGTAAATAGTGCTGCAATAAACATAATGACTAACAACAGCTATTTATTTATTACAGGTACTAGAAAGAAAAGTATATTGACTATTAACAGAGACTCAGCATTGTTTTAAACAGCTCTATTTGGGATTCAACTAACCAACAGACATTTATGGAATACCTATATTGTTCAAAGATTTAGTCAAAACACTAGGAAAAAATTTCAGGGACTTTAATCCCTATTTTCACAGAGCCTACAGTATTTTTGAAGACAAGTCACTCCTAACATGTTGTGCAATATTACATTTTTCCCTATTTAAATCTCAATATACCCATAAGATAGAAAACATTTTCAATTCATTTTGGAAATTGAAAACTATAGCTTCAAAAATTTTAAGTGGAGGAGCAGTAACTTGAACCCATGTTACAAGACATCTTGTCTGAAACTTTCTGCAATACAGTCTGCTTTTGCTGAGCAGGGCAGAACATAAGTAGCATTATAGTGAAGAACAAGAGGCAATTACTACAGTGGGCCTTGGTATTTACGAAAAGCTTCCTAAAAACAGTGGAGAAATCATAAACAAGGCAGCAGAAAAATGGATGTCAATTACATAGGACAACAAAAAAAAATGAGGGAGAAAGGAAGAGTTTAAATTGGAGAAATTAGGTAAAAAAGACTTAAAAGCAGCGGCATGCAACCTCCAGAAAACAATAAAAAAAAACTCTCTAAATACAAAATACACAGCTTCCTATTCAATTATTAATGAAATATAAAATCTTGATATGGTTATTAAATTTATTATTTTTCTATTTTTTACTTTTCCATTAAATAATAACCAATTAGCATTTCACTCAAATGGTATATAACAACACCGGTATAGAATCATACTATCCTTAAAATTAAGAATCAAGGCTAAATTAAAAAAAAGTTGAAATGTCTGATCAAGAATAGCTTCATTAATTTTTGAAATAAAATATTTCCAATTTGTGTGAAGTCTGGCAATAGTAAAAGAAAAAAAAAATATTGTTAACTGGACTTTCATTTAGATTCTAGGAAGATAAACTCTGAGAAGAAAGATCCTCTGAACTTGAAAGTTCAGTCCTTGAATAGATTCTCTGCCATAGCTTTTTTCATTCCTCCTATTAGTCCAGAAGAATATATAGTCCCGAAATAAGGAGATTATTAGGGTCTCATCTAAAGGATATGCCTTTCCAGCTAACATTTTATCATAGCTGACCTTGTATTTTATAGTGTTTTTTTAAAATTCTTTTCCTGCTACTCTGATTTTGCAATGAGTACTCAATAAATATTGACAAATTGAGTGATAGTCACCAAATACAATGCATCAAAATGTGTTTTAAGATGCTGGCCAATTATGATTTTAATTGAGTTCTGAAAAATCTTAGAAATGTAATGGTCTTGCAAAGAATATATTTCAGATCTGAGAAACAAAAGATAAAGAATTAATCTGAAGAAGAGGGGCTTAGATGAAGGGATGGCAGCAAGCACCTTTCTATTCTTCTGGGTCTGCTGAGTACTGAAAGGATAATAATTCAGAAAAATAGGAACAAGGTTGCATGGGGTGGGGGAAGAGGAGGGAGAAACTGAGAATATGAGAATTCATAAAGAATGAATTTTTCCTGGAAGCCAAACAGCAGAACTCATACTGCTATTATATCTCTCTTACTTACTAAATTTAGGGCTCTTTTCCTGCAGCCTCCTGGGCTTTCCCTACCTGCACTGAATGTTTTCACCATTAAAACTCTCAATCTGTTCAAGCTGTGGGGTGAAAGAGAGAGTGTGATTAGTCTACTGCTTAAAGGGAAATTAAATCTGCAGTGGCTTCCAGAAAAATAATAATAAAAAAAACAAGTCAAACCAAAGCCTCTTCTATCACACATGAGGATAATACAAGTAACATAAGTCAGTATAAGATTGCTCTGAGCACAAACATCATTCTACTAAAAGCTTCTTTTAGAAACAACCATAAAAGAGCATTTACTAGTCAATCTTATATTCTTCCGGAGTTAGGAATTGAGTTTGTAGTACTTATTATATTCAAAGAATCTAAACATAAAACGAGTTCTGAATAATCACTTAGTTTAGTTCCTTTTTTAATAGATAATGGCAATGCATCCTGGGAAGATTCAGAATAAGAATTCTGACCTTCCAGTTTGCAGTCCTGTACTCTTTACTACAATGGCAATCAAAATTTTTTGATGTTTTATTTAGACTCTATCTTAATCAGTTTGTGCTGCTATAGCAAAGTACTATTGGCTGGCTGGCTTATGAACAACAGTAATTAATTTCTCAAAGTTCTGGAGCCTAGAAGTCTGAGATCAAGTTGCCAGCAAGGTCGAGTTTTGGTGAAGGCCCTGTTCTGTGTTGCAGACTGCCAATTTGTCTCTGTATCTTCAACATGACTTAAAGAGGCTGGAGAGCTCTCTGGGGTCTCTTTTTATGGGCATTAGTCCCATTCATGAGGGTTCCATCCTCATGGCCTAATTACCATCCAAAGGTCCCACCTTCTAATCCCATTATATGGGGGATTAGGATTTTAACATATGAATTAGGGGGAATGTAAACATTCAGTCCATAACAGACTACTTATCTGTCAAGGAAATTTCATAAAGGCCTTAACATTTTACAGGTATTTTCAGTCTTTAGTGACATTTGTGTTAAATATTTTACTCCTATGGATTATATCATAATAGTGTTCATTCTTATATACTACTGTGTTAGGATAATTTGTTGAGATATTAACTTCTGTTTTGTTGTCCTGATACTTTTACCATCTCCATTCTAAGAGGTAAACAAAACTTTGTGTTTCTTTGCCGAATGAATATTTATGTCTGAAGAAAAAGAAGAATATGAGAGATAAACAAAGTTTAAAGATTATTTTATATAGTTGTATCATTGTGCTAGGTTTCCAGTACACAAACCTGGGCAACGTTATCCACTTAATGACCTATGTAAATTACATCTTCTGGGGCTACACAGCCCGCACAACTCTTTGTGGTCACTCTACTACTTCTTGAAATAAAAACTTCTTTTGTCAAATCAAATGTGTATAAGAATGATATTGGACATTGTAAAGAGAGAAGCAGACTGACTGTAGGTATACACACATCCATTCTATAAAGAAAATAATCATCCTTCACATAAAATTAGGTAGCATTACTAATCTCCAATAGATATTTTAGTAGTCTGTGTTGTCAGATCTACAATTTTTTCAAATGAGAACTGAGATCTATAATTTAAAAACTTGGTTGAAATAGGAAAACATTTTATTGGCCAAAATAAAATACAAATAGAATAAAATCTATAGAAGAAATTCAAAACTTATACTTTGAGTTTGCAAACTCTGACTTAATCATTTTAGTGGAGCTGTTCTAGGAAGAGGCAGTAATTATGGTGAGAAAATGAAGCATAAAAGATGAAATGTTAGAAGAAAGGGATTAGAGTCCCATGACGAAGAGAGAGAAAGAGAAAAAGATTAGGCTTCTGGGGAGACCCATGAGGGGAGCCCTAATTCACTACTTCAGAGCCCCTGGAATGGAGCAGGACATCTGAGATTGATCCCTATATAATGAATTTAGAAAGATTGCATGGTACATTGTAGGGCTATCTTGTTAAAGACCCAAAAGAAGCCACAGAACATAAATAAGAGCATACATAAGCCAAAGAACAGCATATTTTCAAGGGAAGATACAGACTTAATAAACTATCATTGAGAATTGATGAGTGTTGACAAAAATCAAAAGTGTACTCTATAAATGTTTTAGTGTCCCAAATTACTTACAGTACCCTGAATAGGCTGAGCAAATTCCTCAATTATGACTGAGAATGATCTGTTTGTTACAATCATGAGTGAGATGGTTAATTTGTTAAGAAATATAAAGTGATATTTAATGATTCACATTGTATTAATCTGTCAAGGCTGCCATAACAAAATATCAAAGACTGAGTGATTTAAATAACCAAAAATGTACTTTTTCACAGTTCTGCAGTCTGGAAGTCTAATATGAAGGTGCAAACAGGGTTTGTTTTTGGTAAGTCCTCTTTCCTTGACTTGCAGATGGCTGCCTTCTCACTGTGTGCTCATATACCCTCCTGTCTGTGTGCACACACTCCTGGTATCTCTTCCTCTACTCATAAGACCACAAGTCCTATTAGATTAAGGTCTACCCTTCTGATCTCTTTTCACCATAAATGCCTCCTTTGAGGCCCTATATCCAAATATAGTAACATCAGTGTTAGGATTTCAACCTACAATTTTGGGAAGATGCAATTCAGTCCATAACATCCATGAAAGCTTAAATGCAGACGTTTAGCTTGTATATATCCAAAACACTTTAGAAATAATGATAATGAAAAGAAAAGTTATACACTAACAAAGCAGAAGTATGCTAGAGAAATGACACTGGATGAGCAAGGCCAACAAAATTGTAAGAATTATAAAATAGGCAGATGTTTGGTAATAGAATTAACACAGAATAAAAGGATGAAATCCAACTACTTGTAAGTCAGGAGGCAACAAAAAGGAAGAAAACTTGCTATGGAAGCATCAAAAGGCTCTGGAATTAGAAGTACCAGTAGCTCTGAAGGTAGAAGAGATAGAGGAAAGGGACTGAAAAGAGCAAGATGGATTAAAAGTATGCCATTTAATTGAAACCTTCAAATCATTTTCCTGACCTCATTATGTCAAGGGTCCTATTCCTTTTTTGACATGATGGGAGACGAATTACTCCCTGGTTAATTTAAACTAGAGACTTTTCAGACTTGGGGAGACCTGGCATCACCAAGAGTGACATTGATGCATGAGACTGAAAAATATGAGGATTGTCTTCTAAATAATGGCATCTCCCATTCCACTTCTTTTACTCACATTCCAGAACATCAACATACAGAATTATATCCAAGATAGGAAATTTGAAAAATACACTCTTGAGAAATGAATTGGCTTAAGAAAAATGACTAGAAAAAGGGTAATTTGTGTGTCCTCCAATTCCTTCAATAAAATGACTGATACACTCTACAAAACAACAGCAGCAACAACAAAACAAACACAATGTAAACATTCACAGACTGTGGGTGTTACTTTCTGGGAGACATTTTGCCTGGGATAAGTGTTCCAAGAACAGAAATGTATTTGTTTTCCAGGAGGGTTATGCCTAAGGCTAGTGCTTAATGGCCTTATGTGACCTATTAACTGTTTCTGCTATTATAAAGTAACATTTGTGAGAGAGCATGCCTTGATTCAGACATCATTGGCTTTCCTGAATGAACTATCTCCTGTTGGCAAAACATAGTCCAAATCAGAGATCCCATAAGCCGCCCATTTCTACTTCCGGGTTTGAAATTCAAATGAAATTGAGTGGAAATAAGCAGTTATGAACAATGGTGTTCTTACTTATTTTCATTAAATTTCTACTCTCAAGCACGAGACAATACAATTTAGATTTTAATTTCAGAGAAATATAGTTGTTTGGACTCTCATTTGCAAGAGAATTTAATTTTCAAATTTTATTTTTTTTTCTGTGTGTTTCACAATGAGCGTCAGTTAACATTGAAGTGTAAGGTATCTATCTCTATTATGCCGAAATTTTATCTCATTGCCTTACCTCTGATAGGTTACATAGGATAATGCAGTTGCAGATAATCTAAGCTGCATAATAAAGTGAATTTTCAGGCTTAACTACAGAGTTAACTTGAAGTTGATTCATTAAATGTATAATCCTGACCTATTTCTTAGAATTTTTAGGGCAAAATTTATACTTCAAATTCCTATCTGTGGTGGACTCCCAAAGAAAATTGGTTGCAGAAGTAGATAAGTCATGAAGCTAATAAAACAAGCTTCAGGGCCCTTAACCTGCATAGGCCCCTTCTAAGACCTTGAGAGGGACCCAGAAATGTGTTCAGTTGGATATATATTTTGGTAAAATTTTCAACCTTAAAAATATTACTTGCATTCAGTTAAGATCATTGTCCTTTTTTTACTCTGACACCACTTACATCCCACTTTTCTCCCTGTTACGTAGTGCTCAAGGATCTGCAGGTACTTTTTGGATCCAAATTAAGGAAAGATGAGTGGAAAATATATGTAATGTGAGTTTAGGGAGATGACATGTATACAGTTCCCGGTAATATTTGTTTAGTCTTAAATTTTACTGCTAGCTGTCCTGTTGTAGAAATGACTTCCAGGAATACTGGTACTTCCCACCAAGTTGCCTCACCAGGTGAGGTAACAAGCTGCAGAGCCAGAGGTAATATAATTCAAACACTTCCAATAATGTCAATACCAGAAGATGTGGGTAATGGAGGAGAAACAGATTCAGATGTATTAAACTGATAACCACTGTGGACTATCCAACTATTAGATATAAGGGGAGATTTGTTTCTTTTCACCATGTAATTGAAATTAAAGTTCTCTCAAGTCAGTAAGATACTTAATAATAAAACACATCCAATTATAATTACATCATTGCCTGTTTTGAAATAGAAACTGCAATACAATTTATCAGTATTTCTGTTTTTTCAATAAACATCAAAAACTACTGCCTAAAGACACATTTTATGCATTCCAACTATGAATACTCAAAAGAAATTCTGTAAGTCATAAATACAAAAAAGGCTAATATACTTTCTTCTTGTATAGAAAATTGTATTGCAATTATTGCCATAGATAGGGCATATCAAAGATAACAAAAGAAACACTAAGTACAATAAATTATTATATCTCTTTAGAGATACAGGAGACTATAATTCCACCATAAAACAAGAAGAGTATTCTATAAAAAAGAAATATTCAGAAAATAAGAACTCTTAAGAATATACATACAATAGAAACTTCTGAAAACCAAAAACATGACATCAGAAATGTAAATGGAAAAGGAGATTTCTTAAGATAAGCTTAAAAAAAAACTCCAAGAAAGCAAAACCAAAGGCAAGTATAGAAAGTAAGACAGACAATTTTAAAAATGAATTAGTGTATCTAGAATATTCGGTTTATCAGTAACTGAATTTCCAAAAAGAAAGAACAGATAAAATGCAGAATGAAAAGTATAAAAGTATTAATTCAGGAAAGCCTTAAAAAAACAAAGATCTTTTAAGGTTCTCTCTCTGTCTTTGAAACCTGTTGAAGGATCTCTCTCGCTCGCTCGCTCTTTCTCTATCTCTGAAACTTGTTGAAGGATACTTCCCACATAAAGGAAAGAGTTAGGCTGGGCGCGGTGGCTCACGCCTGTAATCCCAGCACTTTGGGAGGCCGAGGTGGGCAGATCACGAGGTCGGGAGATCCAGACCATCCTGGCTAACACGGTGAAACCCCGTCTCTACTTAAAAAATACAAAAAATTAGCCAGGCGTGGTGGTGGGCGCTTGTAGTCCCAGCTACTCCGGAGGCTGAGGCAGGAGAAAGGCGTGAACCCAGGAGGCAGGACTTGGAGTGAGCCGAGATCGTGCCACTGCACTACAGCCTGGATGACAGTGCGAGACTCCGTCTCAAAAACAAAAAAAAAAAAAAAAAAAAAAAAAGGAAAGAGTGAAAAAAAAAATTTCTAGGATCTAGAGAAAGCACAGACCCATGACTGGAAGAAGATAAATGCAACGGCCATGGTGAATGCTATATGCCAAGTGTAAAGGATGATCCCAGCACAGACATTTCTAGCAAATGAAAAGTGATTATATTGTATTAAATACCTGAATGATGAATGTATTCGGTTCCTATTACTGCTGTAACAAACTTGTAGATTCAAAACAACAGTGATTTATTATCTCAGAGTTGCATAGATCAGACATAAATGAGCTTGGCTGGGCCCAAAAAATCTGCTTAGGATCTCTCTAGGCTAAAATCAAAATGTTGGCCAATCTGAACTCAACCTGGAGGCTACAGAGGAGACTCTACTTCGGATTTCACCCAGGTTGTTGGCTGAATTCAGTTCTGTGGTTCTGCAGGACTGAGGTCCTTGTTTCCTTGCTAGGTTTTGGCAGGGCTTCTTCTCAGCCTCTAGAGGCTGCCTGCATCCCTGGACTTTTGGTCCTCTTTGTGTTCAAAAAAGTAATGGTTGATTGAGTCCTTCTCACACTTCATGTCTCGCTGACCTCCATTACTCTGCTCACTACTCTTATTTTATTTTCTGCCACATCTCTTCAAGTGATTATGCCACTTTCCTTTTCTGGTTTTAAGGGCTCATGTAATCACATTATAGCCATTCATATAACCCAGTATTATCTTCCTATTTAAAGTTCAGCTGATTAGTAACCTTAATTCCTTCTTCAAAATCCTTTCACAGTAGTAGCTAAATTAGTGTTTGATTAAATAACCAGAGGATAAGAAGCTTGGGGGAATTTCTGTAGAATCTATTCTGCCTGCTACAGTGAATAATAGTTTAATCTCCATAGTAATGTAAACACTGACTATTGATTTGGCTATATATTGTATATCAAAATCTTGAGAAGATAGGAGGAAGGGATGCCTTTGTATAAAATCTTAAGGGTTTTGAGGGGAGTTGGGTAAGTGTAGAAAACCTAAACTACTCTCATATAGAATTTAGAAACATGGAACCATATTTCTAAATTTCTCTTAGGCAGTACTAAGAGTACTAAGTAATTTCTCTTAGGCAATACTAAGAGAAATTAGCTAAGAGTGTACTAAGAGAAATACTAAGATAAATTAGCTAACTGAGTTAACAGTGCATGACTCTAAAAATTGGGACAATAATAATGAGAGTTTAGGGACAGGAGAATACCTTTTTATAATTATAAACCATGTAATACCATTTTATTTTTATAAATTAATTACCTTTGTTACTTTGATAAAAATTAGAATAAAAATCACAAGAC
This sequence comes from Homo sapiens, assembly GCF_000001405.40. Taxonomy (NCBI): domain Eukaryota; kingdom Metazoa; phylum Chordata; class Mammalia; order Primates; family Hominidae; genus Homo; species Homo sapiens. The sequence goes on along the minus strand of NC_000004.12, from coordinate 29,369,525 downwards.
GCATTTTTAAAATGTCAATTCTTTTTTTTTTTTTTTTTTTTTTCTCTCTCTGACGGACTCTTGCTCTGTTGCCCAGGCTGGAGTGCAGTGGTGCAATCCCGGCTCACTGCAACCTCTGCCTCCCGAGTTCAAGCGATTCTTCTGCCTCAGCCTTCTGCCCCAACCTCCTGAGTAGCTGGGACTACAGGCACCCAACACTAGGCCCGGCTAATTTTTTTTTATTTTTAGTAGAGACGGGGTTTCACCGTGTTAGCCAGGATGGTTTCTATCTCCTGACCTCGTGATCCGCCCGCCTGGGTCTCCCAAAGTGCTGGGATTAGAGGCATGAGCCACCACGCCCGGCCTAAAATGTCAATTCTTAAGTTACTGACCCATCCTATTTAAGCATAATACTTGGATTTCTCTTGAAAGGTTATGGGTTATAGTCTTTCTCTTCTCTAATATCTGTGGTGTTCATTAACTTAAGCGAAAATGGGTGATAGGGTCTCAGTTTTTCTGTATACAAAATAAGCATGCTCAAATAAAGACTCATATTTTAGTCTCGTTAGCTTTTTTTTTTCTCTTTTGTGAGACGGAGTCTCGGTCGGTCCCCCAGTCTGGAGTGCAGGGGCATGATCTTGGTTCACTGCAACCTCCCCCTCCCAGGTTCAAGTGATTCTCCCATCTCAGCCTCCCCAGTAGCTAGGAGTACAGGCACCCTCCACCACGCCTGGCCAATTTTTGTATTTTTAGTAGAGATTAGTAGAGATGGGGTTTCACCATGTGGGTCAGACTGGTCTCCAACTTGTGACCTCAGGTGATCTGCCCCCTTCGGTCTCCCAAAGTGCTAGGATTGCAGGCATGAGCCACTCCGCCTGGTCAGTCTCCTTAGCTTTCTTATAAACGACTTATAATATAAATTGGGTACTGAGTATGAAATCGTTGAATTAATGAGCCCAAATGGTAAATGTAGGTAGTTTACTTAAATAAAACAATTTGCTTAAAACATGTTTGAAAAAACATTTACCACTAATTTGTCAAAAATTTAACTCCTAGAACCAGCTAGTTTTTTATAACTATTAATGGCCACTGTAGCTCCATGATGAGGGGCCATGTTTTCCAAGGGAAAAACAAACGACTAATTCTGTCTATGATCTATCACAAAACTTCTTTGTAATCCTGAACACCAGTTTGTAAGAGTAAATGACGAGGTGCTAAACCTAGGGTCAAAAGTGTTTGGCAGATGTTTTAATTTAGAAGACATAATCTCTTGATCATGGCAGTAAATATATTTAGAAAAAGATTATTTTTACAAGAAAAATACAGATATGATAATTTTCCAAGTTTTTGTAACAGAGGAAAAATGTTAAATATTTTGAAAAATACTACTTTTGCAGAGATATTTAAATATTTTATATATATTTAATTTTTAATTATCAAAAATAGATTGAAGTAGGTATATATACCTTCTTATTGACAGGTAAAGTAAACCAATTCATTCTCAAGTTTTATTTAGTATTATATAGTTGTTTTTCATAGTTCTAAGTTAAATTTAAATTACTAAAGTTACCAGAAATTTCTTCAGGTAAATTTCTTTAGTGAATTCTTAATGCTTAAAAATTAGCAATTAGTCATATTCAGCAAAAGAAAACAGATGCAGTAATTAATTATTTTTTTAATGGGGATTGAAAGAGTAACATAAAATGTAGATGAGTTACATTGTTTAGTATCTCAGTAATATAGAAACTATGAAAAATTCAGACTAAGCATTAATCATTCATGGGACAATTAATTTTAATTAAGGCAAGTATAGAATCCCACATGGTATTAGATATCATCTATTCATTAATGCAAACAGTCTGAGAGGAGCCGTTTGGAGCATTTTGGTTGACAGAAATGGTAGTCAGCTCTAGAAACACCTGGTTAAACATCCTCTCATTTTTATCCTCTTGTGCATCAGTGGGCAAGAATCCGTGTTTAACCGTCTTTGGCATGATTGACTATGTGAGAAGAATTTATTATATCCATTTTTCTTTAAAAATCCATATCACACACCATGCTTTTACATGGGGAAATTGGATATCCTCGCTTCACAAATTTTTCTGATATATTCTCTCTTGGTATTATTTTGAATATGCATATATTTCTCTTTGTCCCATCCATCAACAGGCATATACATAAGCACAGAAAAATTTACAATGATACATGAATGCTAATGTTTCTTTTTTTATATACTGTTCTGTTTATATTTGTTATCTGTTGTAGTATATCTGACTACCCTTCAAACTTAAAGGTTTAACATGACTAGAATATTTATTAAGTCACACATTTTCTGTAGGTAAGGAGTTCAAGAGAAGCATAAATGGTTACTTCTGCCTGAAGATCTTTCATGAGGTTGAATCCACGATGTGAACTGGGGCTGTAATCATCCGAAGGCTTAACTGTGGCTGAAAGATCTTCTAAGATGGCTCATTTGCATGATTGTCAGTAAGAGGCTCAGTTTCTTACTGGTTGTTTTTGTCAAGAAGCCTCAAATCTTTACCATGTTGATCTCTATTTAGGACCATAGTCATGGCCTCAGAATGTGGCAGCTGATTACTCCTAGAGCAAGTTACTCGTAGAGCAAGGTGAAAGTCGCAATACCTTTTATAACCTAGCTTTGTCATATTTCACAAAAGCCTATTTTTTCATGCATCAGTCCTATTAAACATGGGAGAGAATTATAAAAAGTGTGAATACTAATAATTGAAAATCACTAGCTACCACATTGCTGAAATGTATGGACTCAGAGTGAAACCTTTAAGCCTAGAAGCCATGGTTCATCTCTACCTCAGCATGTATCACCAAATAGCACCAGATTTGGTGTAAATGTGGAGCTGTTTAATAAATAAATAAATCATTTTTATTTATTACTGTTTCACTTCATTGTCATGTCAATATATATCCTTTTAAATGTCTCCAGTCTATAAGTTAACAACAAAATTGGCCACCTTAACATTAAATGTAAAAGTCATATTAAAAAGAATGCATTTTAAATGGTAATTTTTTTTTTTTTTTGAGGCGGAGTCTCTCTGTTGCACAGGCTGGAGTGCAGTGGTGCGATCTCGGCTCACTGCAAGCTCCGCCTCCTGGGTTCATGCCATTCTCCTGCCTCAGCCTTTTGAGTAGCTGGGACTGTAGGCGTCCACCACCACGCCCAGCTAATTTTTTGTATTTTTAGTAGAGATGGGGTTTCACTGCGTTAGCCAGGAAGGTCTCGATCTCCTGACCTCATGATCCACCTGCCTCGGCCTCCCAAAGTACTGGGATTACAGGTGTGAGACAGCATGCCTGGCCTAAATGATAAATTTTTTAAAGGTACTAGATTTGGGCTATAATAGCCTTATGTATGTTGTTTTATCAAGAATTTTGTTACTTTTCCTAGGTACAATGGCCTTTTAATAAAAGGACACAGAAGACTATAAGCTTGAAATAGCTAACCTTTTTATTTTTCATAATAAAAGTGCTGAAGAAAATATTCTAATTTGTGAATACAAAGTTAAAAATACTATAATATTAATCAAGAAGCAATTTTTTAGTAAACTGTTTCTTAATAGACATTATGAAGCTTATTCTGCATATCAGTAAATACTGTTAACATTGCTTTGTGTAATATTACTTGGAAGTCCATGATTTCTGAGAGTTAAAATTCAACTTTAACATTTCATAAATGTCATTTTTTTGGTAGTTGATGTAGAAAGTGTTACTTTTGAAGACGAATTGCCTTTATGGTCTCTGTCTTTTGTCTAAAGTGATTCTTTTTATATTGAAAAAAACAATGATAAAAAGAAGAAAATAATTCAATGACTGTTGTGGTTTTTTAAAGCAGCAGTGATATTAGCAATTTTGGTGAATATTTTTATTTCCTTTGGTTAGATTTGCCTCTTTCAAATGTTAATGTGAAAAAAATGTGCTAATTTGAACAACAACAACAAAGAAAAATAGTGTTATGTAACAGAGGATTTTTTAAAATTAATTGCAGTGACCAAATTATTTTGTTTTGATTAAGTGGATAAATTTTGTTAGGATTAATTAATTATGATGGCTAAATGAAGGTGAAATTTCACTTAAAACAAAACAGAAACTATGTTTCTTGATCCATACTTTTGATCGTTGTATAATTTATCCTTTTTCTTTCTTAAAAGATATTAACCTGAAGAAAATTAGTCTTCCATTTATTCTGTAAATATTAATTAACATTTTTTATCACTCCAGAAACGTGTGACTCTCTGAACATGAATTTTACTCTTTAGTTAACAGACTCTTAAAATTCAAGATTTATCTTTTTTATATCAATGGTTAACATGTACTTGAACATAGAAATCTTAATAATCATCATCATCACTAAAACCTTAACACTAATATATACCCTGATATTGTTCTTTTTCTTAACATATTTTCATTAGAGAAGATATAAAGCAAAATTCTGGGAAAAAATCAATCCACTTATTTGAGTATCCTAATTAATGGATTTTATTTGGTTAATAATAATAATGGTTAATATTGGTTTTCATTATTTTTAATACTCATTATCAGAAAATATTGAAATTACCTATAGACACTCTATTAGTAATCTATTGCTACATAAAAATTAACATAAAACTTAGAGACTTAAAAAAACAAATATTTATTATCTCAAAGTTTCTATGGTTCAGAAATCTAGGCATTGAAGATCTTGTTTCTCTGGCTCAATACCTCTCATAAGATTGTAGTCAAGTTGTCAGCAGGGGCTGCAATCATTTCAAGGCTCAAGTGTGAAAGAATCCACTTCTAAATTTACCCAAGTGCCTTTTGGCAGGATTGAGTTCCTCACAGGTTGTTAGATGAGGGCACTCGGGTTCTCAGTGCCTGTTGGGTGGAGGTTGTCCTCAGTCCCTTGCCACATGGGACTCTCCATAGGGCAGCTTACAATGTGACAACTGGCTTTATTATACAAGAGCAGAAAAGAACCAGACAAAGAGGGTAACAGATATTTGGAAGTAAGTGATCTGAAGATGCAGGCCCTGTGGTAATTTCTCTCTCCCAAAATAGTAGGAGGTGCAGCAAGATTCAGTTCTCCAAAGCACTAGCAGAAATGCACATTTTATATGTAGAGGGAGGATTGGAGGCAGTGGAGCCCTCAGCCGCAGCAACATTCTGCAGAATGGAGTTGGCTGTTATGCCTGATAGTGTAGCTCTTTATCAGGTTGTTCATCTATACCAATGACATAAACTCACCAAACGTGTTTTTAAAAATTCCCTCCTGCTTAAATTATCCAGATTAAGATTCTGTTGCCTGCAGCTAAGTGTCTGGATGGATGCATGTGTTTTCTTCACTCATCATCTATGTTTTATTTTCAATAAGCAAGAATTTTAACATAATTGTTGAAAATTAAGTCAGAAAAATCTCTACTATTTTTGACAATTAACACTAATTTTCATAAGCTTTTATGTATTATTCTGTAGACATAGAATTAACAAAAACTATACATTTTGTTACTATACATTTAGATTTAAATTTATTGTGCAGTTTTTCTATATGCCAGGCATTGTTTCATGGCTTCTATGTATATTGTTTCATTTAATTCTCATAGCTATTATATGAGATATGTTGGTAATTTTTTTCAGACGATTCATGTTGAAAGGATAAATGAATTTCCTGCTATGATTTGTATGTTTGTTTCACCCAAAACTCATGTTAAAATTTGATCCCCAATGTTGGAGGTGGGGTCTAATGAGAGGGGTTTGTGTCATATGTGTGATTCCCCCATGAATATATTAATGTTTTTCACTGGGAGGGAGTACTTCTTATTCTATTAGTTTCCATGGGAGTTGGTTGTTAAAAAAAGCCTGACTCTACCCTCCACTGCCACACACACACACACACACACACACACACACACACACACACCTCTCTTGCATCCTCCTTCACTCTGTGATCCCTCCATAGCCTGCTCCTCTTCACCTTCCACCATAAGTGAAAGCAGCTCGAGACCTTCAGCAGATGCAGATGCCAATCCTGAACTTTCCAGCCACCAAAATCGTGAACAAAATGAACTTTGTTTTCATTATAAATTATTCAGCCTCAGTTATTTCTTTATAGCAACACAAAGTGGACTAAGATAACCCCCAAAATAATATCGCTGACAAGTAGGAAAAGTAGGATTCATTTGCAGATAGTTAAATACACTGAGCTCTTGCTATCAAACACAATACTATTATACATGTTTTCCAGTTCCATACTAAACAATAAGAAATATAGCACTATTCAAAGTGAGAAGAACATTTGACATAAGGCACACAAAGAAAAGCAAAGAAAAAAATAATTACTCATTGGAATAAAATAAGAACTTGTGCTCATCAAAAGTCACTATGAAGGGAATTACAAAGACAAGTCCCAGTGTAGGAGAAGAAAATGCATGCTTGACAAAGACCTATATTCATAATAGTTTCTACAAATCAACAACTGATAACAACATCTAACAGATTATGATAATAGCTATGAACAAGCACCTCACAAAGAAACATATGCAAATGCCAGATTAAAAGTTACTCAACATTTCATTATGGAAATGTACATTGAAATCACAATGGGATACAACTGTGTACTTTCTCGTTCAATGGCTAAAATGAAAATGACACTATTTGTAAAATGTGGAGTATCTGATGTGCTTATATGTTGCTTCTTGGTCTGCCAATTTCCACCTTGAAAAGTCTTTTGCCAATATCACTTAAAGGTGAACAACAGCAAATCTTGCAACTCAACAGTTAAACTACTAGATAGCTAAATGGAAGAAATACTTATATAGCTTGTATAGCTTGACCAATGACATATACAAAAATGTTTATAATACACTATTTTTTTTTTGAGAGATGGTCTTGCTCTGTTGCCCAGTGTGGACTGCAGTGGTAGGATCACAGCTCACTGCAGTCTTAACCTCCTGGCTTAAGTGATACTCCCACCTCAGCCTCCCAATCAGCTGGGACTAAAGGCATATGCCACCACACCTGGCTAATTTTTGTATATTTTAGTAGAGACAGGGTTTCACTATATTGCCCAGGCTGGTCTCAAACTCCTGGGCACAAGCAATCCACCAGCCTCAGCCTCCCAAAGTGCTGGGATTACAGGTGTGAGCCACCATGCCTGGCCCAATAGCATTATTTTTAATCATCAAAACAACGTAAATACCAATCAACAGTAAACTGGATTGATATTTTGTAGTATACTCATATGATGGTATGTATGCTATATGGCAGTGATAAAACAGGCTATGGCTATTAGGGGCAAGCATACTGAAAAGTACACATATTGTCAGGGTACAACTTACTAAATTTTTACAATGTAAATACATCTTTGAAACCAACACTAGATCAAGTTATACAGCATACTAGCATAATAGAGTGCCCTTTCTTTATTTCCCATCCCACTCTAGTGAGATAGGATGTGTGACTACCCCATAGGTCACACAAATTTTGGTTTCTAACACACAGCAGTAGCTTCTCTTTTTGAAACTTATGTACAATGAATCAATCAATACAGAATGTTTGGTAGTTTGTTTTGCTGATACACATTATGTTCGTGCTATTCTTTTTTAGAGGTGTATTTTGGCCTTGTAGAGAATAGTTTCATAAGCCAAATCAAGAAACAGAAATCATGTAAAAGTTTAATAGCTCAATTGTATCAACATGATTAAAAATCTGTATGAAATTGCACCATTATTAAAATAAAATATGCAAAGAAGTAACTTACATTCTATAAAACAGGCAAAAGATGAATACTGGAAATATATAAAGAACTTCTATAAAAGGTGAACACAACAAAAACATGAGCAAAAGATTTCAGCTGGTAATCCACAGAAGGAGGAATATATATATATATATATATATATATATATATATATATATATAGCTTTAAAAATCATTGATTTTTTTAGCTGCATAGCAAATTATAACAAACTTAGCAACTTAATACAACCTTTATTATCTCATGGGTTCCATGGGTCAAGACTGCAGATATATGTCAGATGAGTCCTCTGCTTAGGTACTCACAGGCTGTAATCAATGTGTTAGCTGAGCTACAGCTTCTATTTGGAGTTTAGAGTCCTCTTTCAAGATGATTCAGGTCATTTATAAAAATTCAGTTCCTTGCAGGTAGTCCCTATTTTCTTGCTGTCAATTGGGTCCATTTTTACCTCTTACAGGTTGTCCTCTGGTTTTTGCCTTGTGACATATGTATTCAATGCCAAGTAGAGAGCATCTCTGGCTTTAGGCTCTCCCTTTTACAAGGTCCCCTCCTATAGAAATCTCACTCAAATAATCTCCTTCACTGATGTCAATTGATTAAGGACATTTATGACACCTGCAAAAACCCCTAAAGTTAATTATTTCTACAAAAAGAATCTCTTTACCAATAGGATAACATTGTCACACATACACAGGTTTCATTCATATCCATAAAAATTAGACAAGTTATGTATATCAACATATGGGACTCTTTGTAGCCATCCTAGAAACATGACAACCACAAATGTATTATAAATGTGCATTCTTTCTTTACGTTGAGAAAGGAACAACATAACTTATTAAACCTATTGGAATGGTGAATAATAACAATCCTGGTCAAATATCAATCAACCTTAAAGAAAAAGCTTATCTCATACCCTATTTTTGGAATTTAAAATTTTAAAACTATGCAAATATGAAGAAAATCACTGTGGAAATATATACAAGGTAAACATAAATATAAATTATGACCCTCTATATCTATCTATGCACATACACATATGTTTATATGTAATCTATATAAACCTATGCATTAGATATAATTTTGTTTACAAGCCCAATAGAGTGTAGGTAAGGGAAAGAGAGTTAAGTGAAGGTGATGATGAAAGGGCAGCCAAAAATATGAGAGAAAGCTAAGAAATTGCAGACCTGCAAATCAGAACTAGAGCTAGAGAACAACATATTCTAATCTTTCTTCATCCTCCAGAGCAGGTAAAAACCTGGAACTTAATTTGAGAATACATCAGAATTTTAATTTGGAGATACTATTTAAACAGTAATGTTAATGTTACAAAACTTCTTGAATCATTAACAAAGAAAAACTTATTATGCCAATCCTATATCTCATTTCAGATAGCATAGTTCTCTGGATTTTTTGTGCAATGGCTGTGATGGATAGAAGGCAGCAGCAGAATAATAATTTGATATTCCAGTAAAGAAAGGCAGCATCAGAACCTGAGTGAGGTCATCACATGGAGAATTATAAAAGATCAAAGGGGATCTACTGAGACTGATGAAGAGAAAACCTTGTTTTAATTTGTTTATATTAATATATTATCAGCTTAGTCCCCTTAGTGGACATTAATATCAAACAGTAAATAAGTCATAAATACAGCATTTATTACTTTAATGTATAACACTGGCATCATTGCCACTATTTTGCATTTGGAAATGGATTGCTATCATTCTATTCTATTCACAGTTTGCCATTCTGCCTTTAGAACAGTTAACTCACAAGAGAAAACAGATCTTTTTGTCCCTTTGTCCTAACCATATTCACTTGGGATAAAAACCTGTATACCTTCGTGACATCAGCAAGATGGCAAAGAAGCCACAGGTGATCTTTACTCATAGAAACAGCAACATAAGAAACTATGATCAACAACAAGCCTTTATGCAAACTTCAGAAAACAGTTAGAAAGTCACAGTACTCCAGTCAAGCTCAAAGCCAAGAATAAGTGAATTGAAGAAATAAGTAACAAAAACCATTTTATTTCTACCATAATACCTACTCCTCCAAGCCAGTACAGTGAACCTGCAGTACTTCAGGCAGACACCAAAGGTAGCAAGAGACTACAATTTACTGAATAAGAAACAAGCAAACCAATCTTCCTGGGAAAGTATATTCACGAGCTCAGAGAAGACACACCTCAGAAAAGGTTTAAGAGGTTCTGAGACAAAAACAAAAAGATAAATGAAGAAACAAGGAAACATGACCCAAAAAAATCAATCCCCAGAAACCAACCTTCTCATGAAAGAGATCTAGAAATTACAAGACAAATAATTCAAAAGAATCATCTTAAAGAAACTCAATGCACTACAAGACAAAACAGACAACTAAACAAAATCAGGAAAACCATGCATGAATAAAATATGAGTAATAAAAAGAGAGAGAAACTATAAGAGAAGAGCCAAATAGAAAAACTAGAATAAACGTTCATTAGAGGGATTTAACAACAGACTGTATCAAGTAGAAGAAATTGTCAACAGACTTAAAGAGAGGTTATTTAAAATTATTGAGCTAGAAGAACTAAAAGAAATCAGAATTTTAATTAAGTGAAGACAGCCTAAATAACTTATGAGACAGCATCAAGTAGAACAATATACGTATTATTGAAGTCGCAGGAGAAGAGAAAGAGAAGAAGACAAGGCATCTGAAGAAATAAAGACTGAAACATTCCCGAATTTGATGAAGAAAATGGGGATCCAAATTTAAGAAGCTCAAATGACTCCCACTATAATAAACTCAAAGAGGTTTTAAACTGAGACACATTATAACCAAACCATCAAATTCAAAAACAAAGAAAATTTTGAAGGCAACAAGAGAAACACAACTTGTTATGTACTAGACGCCCCCCAGAGGATTATTGGTAGATTTATTTATTTATTTATTTATTTTTAGCAGATGATACATTACAAGCCCAAAGAGAGAAGAATGATATATTCAAACATACTCAAGGGAAAAAAAAAAAAAAGAAAAAACCCCACTAGGAAATAACATCCTGCAAGACTCCTTCAAAATGAAGGGGAGATAAGGTCTTTCCTAGATAAACAAAGGCTATGAGAAAACATCATCACTAGGCCTGCCTTACAAGAGAGGCAAAAGGAAGTCCTTTAGGCTGAAACAAAAGGATGCTGTACAACAATATAAAAACATACAAAAAGATCCCCAGTTAAGATAAACATATACACAAGTACAGAATTTTGAAATACTATAATGGTGGTGTGTAAACCACCTTTAATTCAGGTGTAGAATTTAAAAGACACAGGCATAAACATAACTACATCTGTTACCATAAAACTACATTAATGAATACAAAAAAATACAAAAAATCAATAAGTCACAGAAGAAAAATCAAGAGAAGAAAAAAGAAATAAAATAACTATAATTGCTTATAATATAGCCAAAATGACAATTATAAATCCTTCTGTATTTGTTATTATTTTAAATGTCAATGTATTTAACGCCCTATTAAGAGGACATAAAATGAAAAATAATATTCCATGCAAATTATAACCAAAATATGTGGTTATACTATGTTAAAAACGTAGACTTTAAGTTTAGAAAGTTACAAGAAACAAAAATGGGCATTATATAATGAGAAAAGGATTTGTTCACCAGGAAGATACAACAATTATGACTATGGTCTTAACAGTATAGCACTCAAATATATGAAGCAAACATTAAAAGAAATGAAGGAAGTAATTAACAGTAACACAAAAAATAATAGGAAATTTAAATACTCTGCTTTCAACAATGAATATCAAACAGATGAGATCAATAAGGAAAGAGAGGACTTTAATAACACCATAAACCAATTGGATGTAACAGATATATTCCGAATACTCCAACCAACAACAGTAAATTGCATATTTTTAAACACATGGAAATTCTTGTTTTGTGATCATGTTAGGCCACAAAACTAGCCTAAACAAATTTTAAAATATTGAAATCATACCAAGTATCCTTTCCGATTACAATGAAATGAAACTAAAATCAATAGCCAAAGGAAAACTGGAAAATTTACAAACATAATTAAATAAGACACTATTGAACATTAAAAGCGTCAAAAAAAATCAAAAGAAAAATTAGAAAATATATTGAGACAAATAAAACAAAAATAAAATATACCAAAAACATAGGATTCAGCAAAAGCTACACCAAGAGGGAAGCTTATAGAGGCAAATGCCTACATTAAAAATAAAAATTATCTCAACAACTTACCTTTACACCTAAAGAAACTAAAAACAGTAAGCCAAACTAAACCCAAGGTTAGCAGAAAGAATAAAATAATAAGGAGTAGAGCAAACGAAAATTTCAACAAAATGAAGGGTTTGTTATTTATGGAAAGCTCAACAAAACTGAAAAAACTATAGCTACATTAATGAAAAGAAGTTTAAAATAACAAAATCGAAATGAAATAACAGACATTATAATTGATGTCACAGAAGTAAAAACATTCAGAAGAGAATATTATGAACTATTATATGCAAAAAATTGAATAATCTAGAACAATGAAGTAAATTTCTAGATACATACAGCTTAGCAAGAATAAATCATGAAAAAAATAGAAAACCTAAACAGGCCAATAGCATATAAAGAGATTGAATCAGTAAGCAAAAACTACCAAAAAGCAAATCCCAGGATGAGATGGCTTCACTGGGAAATGCTAACAAAACATAAGAAGAATTAATATCAATGCTTCTCAAACTCCTCCAAAATATTGGCAAGAAGGGAGTACTTACTAACTAACTTACTAACTAACTCTTTTTGTTTTTCTTCAAGGCCAGCACTACCCTGATACTAAAGCCAGACAAAAGCACCACTAGAAAATAAAATGACAGATCAGTATTCCTGATGAATATTTAATACACACATCCTCAACAAGATACTAGTAATCTCAATTCAAAAACATATTAAAAGAATCATTCACCATGTTGAAATGAGATTTATTCTTGGATGGAAGAATAGTTCAACATAGTAAAATCAATAAATGAAATATACCATATTAAGAGAATGAAGGAAAAAAAACACACGATTATCTCAACTGATGTAGAAAAAACATTTGATAAAATTCTATATCCTTTCACACCAAAGCATTACTGGCATAAAGACAGACATACAGAGCAATGGAAAAGAAACAAGAGCACAGTAATGAATCCTTGTGTATAAAGTTAAATCATCAGAAAGTGTTCTAAGACTACACAATGAATAAATAATTTTTTCATCAACAAATGGTGTTGGGAATTCGATGTTCACATGCAAAAACATGAAGTTGGACCTTTACCTCACACCATACACAAAAATTAATTCAAAATGGATTAAAGATTGAAAAGTAAGACCTGAAATTCTCAAACTCTAAGAAGAAAACAGAGGGAAACTTTATGGCATTGGATTTGGCAATGATTTATTGAATATAATACCAAAAGCACAATCAACAAAAGTAAAAATAGACAAATGAGATTGTTTCAAACTTTAAAACTTCTGCATGGCAAAGGAAATAGCTATCACAAAGAAAAGGCATATGGAATGGGAGAAAATATTTGCAAATTATATGTCTGAACAGGGGTTAAAATCCAAGATATATATAAAGAACTCTTTGTATTCAACAATGACAACAAAGTACTAGGTTGATGCAAAAGTCATTGCAGTGTTTATCATTTAAAAGTAATGGCAAAAACTGCAATTACTTTTTCACCAATCTAATAGCAAATATCTTAATTTAAAAATATCCAAAGAATTGAATACTCAATTCTCCAACGAAGATATATTAATATAAATAGTCAACGAGAATAATAATGATGTCAGTATCACTAATAATCATAACCAGGGAAATGAAAATCAAAAATACAATGAGATATGACTTATTAGGGTGGCCACTGTCAAAAACAAAAATAAAATAAAAAAATACATATTGGAGAGGATGTGGAGAAACTGGAACACTTATGCACTGTTGTTAGAATATGAAATGTGCAGCTGCTATGGAAAACAGTTTGAAGTTACCTCAAGAATTAAAAGTAGAATTACCATATGATCCACCAGTCAGTCCCACTTCTGTGCATATAACCAAAATAATTGAAAATAAGATATTGAAGAGATATTTGCAGCAATATTCAAAGTAGCCAAGAAGCAGAAGTAACCTAACTAGCAATCAAAAAATGAATGTAACAGAAAATGTGGTATATACATAAAATGGAATATTATTCAGCCTTAAAGAAGGAAATTTGTAAATTTGGCCTGTAATCCTAGCACTTTGGAAGGCTGAGTTGAGTGGATCACGAGGTCAAGAGATCAAGACCATCCTGGCTGACATGGTGAAACACCATCTCTACTAAAAAAAAAAAAAAAAAAAAAAAAAAAATACAAAAATTAGCTGGGCGTGGTAGTGCATGCCTGTAGTCCCAGCTACTCGGGAGGCTGAGGCAGGAGAGTCACTTGAACTTGAGAGACAGGGGTTGCAATGAGCAACACACATACAAACACACAATACAGTCTTTTTCCACTAATTTGAGATCTAAAGTAGATAAGTTCTTAGAAACAGATATTAGAATGATGGTTTCCAGAGTAAGGAAGGAGGGGGGGAAAAGGTTGTTGTTTGTTTTGTTGCTTAATGGTTATAGTTTCAGTTTTTCAAGATGAAAAATTTCTAAAGATCAGTTCCAAAATAATTTTCATATAGTTAACACTAGTATAATTTACACCTAAAAATGATTAAGATAATAAATTTTATGTTGTATATTCTTTCCAAAATAGTAAAAATAATAATGAAAACTAGAGGAGAAGGAAAGAAAGTATAAAATCTTCCTACTCCTTTCCAATTTCTAAAGTTCGGACAACATTTTTGGAATACAGATCAGACACCAAAACTAAGATAAACAAGGTCTTTTGAGACCAGAAATAGTCTGCATAATGTAAAAACAGATTCTTAGTAAGTTTTGTGGGTGTCTTTATTAATCCGTTTTCACACTGTTGTAAACAAATATCCGAGACTGGGTAATTTGTTAAGGAAAGAGGAATTGACTAAGTTATGCATGACTGGGGAGGACTCAGGAAATTTACAATCATGGCAGAAGGTGAAGGTGAAGGTGAAGCAAGCTTAGACCTTCTCACGTGATGGCAGGAGAGAGCAAAGTGAGGAGTGAAGGGGGAAGAGACCCTTATAAAACCATCAGATTTCATGAGAAAGCACTATCATGAGAACAGCATGGGGGAAACCACCCCCATGATCCAATTACCTCCCACCAGCTCTCTCCCTAGACACATGGGGATTATGGGGATTATAATTCAAGATGAGATTTGGGTAGGGACACAAAGCCTAACCATATTAGTCCCCATTGGACTAATGTAAGTGTTCAGGGACTTAAGTTAAAAGTAGTTCTTATTATATCCTCAGGCTATATGTGCTGTTTATCTACCCTGGAATATAACATGCCCAGGAACAAAGTTATGTTATGTTGCAATTTGCTTGTTTTTTTTTTCTTTGCAGCATATGGTGTTTACTGTATTTTGACTACACACTTAAAAAATTTTGAATGTAAACTTATAACATTTTTGTAGTACATTAATAATTATTTCTTGACCAAGAGTATTAGGAGTTGGACTCTGGATACAGAAAAAAGAGTCATGAAAATGTTGTCAAGGATCCAATTTTATTAATGCAAATATGTGGAGATTTATGTTTGGGGAAAGACTAAAATATCTACGTGGATAAAATGAGAATACAGTTGTCTTGTGAAGAAAGGGCATCTTAAGGCATTGTGGCCAAAAATGATTATGAATTTTGAGAGAAGTATATATTTATTCTCTATTTTTTATATTAGGAGCACTGAAACTACAACGTAATTTCTGCCACAGCAAAGTGTACAATCAAGTGGCAGAAATTGATACATAAACATTTTACTGCAATACAATGAAGAACGGCATGATAATAAAGGTTTTCATAGTATAGAAAAGAAACAACTAATGTGTTAAGAAAGATAAGAAACTGATCTGGGACTGAAAATACTCTAAATACTGTGCTACAGAGAGAAAGAAAATTGAGGCAGGCTGTTTCAGACTGAGAAAATAGCAGAAATTCTTTCTTCTTTTCAAAAAACAGTTACAAAGGAGGTTGGTGCTGGGCAATATCAAAGCCAACATCATTGTGAAAATGCCTGGGATGTAAATGTCACTGGGCCTCTGGCAGAACATTCCTCAATAGAAATAAAGCTGCAATTCTAGTTTGAGACCAAATGAAGTACTAGCTTGAATGCCACTAAGAGAGGTTGACTTTAGACTGTAGACACCAAAATACTTCTCCAGATTATTCTCAACAGGAAAACACAGTATCAAAGAACAGTGCTTTGATGAATGTATAGTTTGTGAATATTTTCTCCAATTCTGTAGGTTGTCTGTTTAATCTGTTGATAGTTTCTTTTGCTGTGCAGAAGCACTATAGTTTAATTAGGCCCCACTTTTCAATTTTTGTTTTCATCATAATTGCTTCTGGAGACTTAGTCATAAATTCCATTTATTACTTTTATTGCCAAGGCCAATGTCCAGAATTTCATTTCCTAAGCCTTCTCCTAGAGTTTTTACAGTTTTAGGTCTTACATTTAAGTCTTTAATCCATCTTGAGTTAATTTTTGTATGTGTTGAAGGGAAGGGGTCCTGTCTAAATCTTCTGCAGGATAATGGCTAGCCAGTTATTCCAGCACCATGTATTGAATAGGGAGTCCTTTCTCCATGGCTTGTTTTTGTCAGCTTCATTGAAGATCAGATGGTTGTAGGTATGCAACTTTATTTCTGGGTTCTCTAGCCTGTTCCATTGTCCTCTGTGCCTGTTTTTTTGTTTGTTTGTTTGTTTTTCCACTAGTACCAGGCAGTTTTGGTTACTGGAGCCTTACAGTATAGTTTGAAGTTGGGTAGTATGATGCCTCTGGCTTTGTTCTTTTTGGTTAGAATTGCTTTGGCTATTTGGGCTCTTTTTTGTTTCCTTATGAGTTTTAGAACTTTTTTTTAATTTGTAAAAAATATCATTGGTAGTTTGAAAGGAATATCATGTAATCTATAAATTATTCTGGGTAGAATGGCCATTTTAACAATATTGATTCTTTCTATCCATGAGCATGGATTTTTTTTTTTATTCACTTGTGTCGTCTCTGTTTTCCTTCAGCAATGTTTTGTAATTCTCGCTGTAGAAGTAGTTCACCTCTTGACTTATCCATATTTTTAGGTATTTTATTCTTAACATGGCTATTGTAAATGGGATTTAATTCTTGATTTGGCTTTCAGCTTGGATGTTATAGAAATGTTACTGGTTTTTGTACACTGATTTTGTATCTTGAAACTTTATGGAAGTCATTTATCAGTTCTACAAGCGTTTTGTGAAGTCTGTGGGTAGGGTTTTGCATCTGACAAAGGTCTAACATCTAGAAACTACAAGGAACTTAAACAATAAACAACAACAGAAAACAGCATCTGACAAAAGGTCTATTATCTAGAAACTATAAGAAACTTAAAAATCAACAACAACAACAAAACTATAATCAATTAAAATACAGGCAAAAGACATGAGCAGATACTTCTCAAAAAAAGACATACAAGTGTCCAACAAACATAAAAAAATGCTCTACATCACTACTTATCAGATAAATGCAAATTAAAACAACAATGAGAAACTATATCATACCAGTCAGAATGGCTATTATTAAAAAGCCAAAAAAAACCCCAACAGATGTCGGTGATGTTGTGGAGAAAAGGAAACACTTAAACACTGTTGATGGGAATGTAAATTAGTTCAGCTGCTGTGGAAAGCAGTGTGGAGATTTCTCAAAAAACTTTAAAGATAATTTTCACTTCATCCATCAATTTCCCTACTGGCTATATACCCAAAGGAAAATAAATCATTCTATCGAAAAGATGCCTGCACTTGTGTGTTTGTTGCAGCACTATTCAAAATAGCAAAGACATGAAATCAACCTAGATGCCCATCAACAGTGGACCGAATAAAGAAAATATGTATGTACACCATGGAATACTGCACAGCCATAAAAGAAGGAATGACATTATGTCTTTTGCAGCAACATGGATGCAGCTGGAGGTCATTATTCTAAGCAAAATAACACAGGAACAGAAAGCAAAATACCACATGTTCTCACTTATAAATAGGAGCTAAATATTTAATACACATGGACACAAAGATAGGAACAATAGACACTGGAGACCACTTAAGTGGGGAGAGTGGGAGAGAGGAGTGGCTTGAAAAACTACCTATTAGGTGCCATGCTCACTACCTGTGTGTTGGGATTATTTGTACACCGAACCTCAGTGACCTGCAAATTATCAATGCAACGAACCTGTGCATGTACCCCCGGAACATAAAACTCAAAAGAAAAAAAATAGTAAGTAAAAATGTTTAAAATAATAATTACAATAAAGAACCATCCTAAATTTTGAAATCCCAGGAAGTGGTGAAATACTAGCGCCAATACACGGAAAAGGAAGTTTACAACTCAAGAATCTTAGTACTTTCTCACCTCCCATATCAGTTTTTTTTCTTTTTCCAAATCTTTTATCTGCCTACAAAGAGGCTTAGCTTATATCAAATTATAGTCAATTTCTGAGTATCTTGATTCCCATGCCTCACCCATGCAAGTCTATGAACTTCAAACATAATACATATTCACCTCTTTTCACATTATCTCTCCTTGATTCTTATATATTTGTCTCTTTGCATAGGAAAGTAACCTGGTGAAGTTACTGCAAATAATTAGTGACAACCCTTTAGGCTGGTGTTATTACTTTAGAACAACTGCTTTTAAAACACAAATTTGTAATATAAAGAAGTACAGCTTTGATAAGAAATCAGGAATTCTGTGTCAAGAGTTACCAAAAAAGAAACCTTAAAATTGTACCACTAAGGAAAATCACTACTTTTGCCATGTTTGTGTGTGTGTGTGTGTGTGTGTGTGTGTGTGTGTGTACAAGTACATTGAGAAATCCATATTCTTTAATACAGAATTCAGTTTCAGTACTGGAAAATGATATTTCCTAATATAATTTAAAGTAACAAGTAAATGCAATTTAAATTTTTGAGCACACAGATCATAATTGGCAAAATGCAAATTGGCAGCCATTTATTGTGCATCTGTCATATGCTAATACTATTATTATTTTATTTTATACAAAGCACTCAGATGTATGGAAATTTCAGTGAACTTAACTATACCTGATCAAGTTTCCAACAACTTTATGCAGATAGCTTTAAAAATAATTCATCAATCTGAAATTCCACTGCAGAACATAAAATGATGTTGCCAAGCAACTAATGGAAATCTTTTACCTACTTTGTAGATTTGAGACACTATACTTGTGCTTAAATTTTAGAAAAATTTAAAGAATATTTATGTACCTGTGTGTTCTTTTTAATGTCCAGAATTTTAAAAATGTCAAATGTTAAGGTTTGTCTTTTGCTGTTTTTAGAAAAGAAGAAAACACACCTTACTGTCGCTTTTTAAATTACTAATAATTCGCATAAAAATTTGTACACAACTGAGTTCATAATGAATTTTTCTTATTTTATTTAGAAATTTGGAGATATGAGTTATCTTACACACTCTTATAAGAGACCTACATGTTTAAATTCCACACTCAATTTATCAAAATAAACATGTTAAACCGGCAGCATGTGCATTACTTCTTTCCTGAAATATTGTGACTTTTAACCATACTACCTACCACTATGCTTTTAATATTTGTGATAAAATATTGGGTATGAAATTGATTATTGTCTGAAACAAAAAGCTACATTTTAATGCTATGATATATCTATTTACCACTTTTAACATTATTTGGAGTGTTCAAATAAAATTTTTTTCAGTATGAATTATTTTACTGTGTTGGCAACTGGAATCAGGAATATAATGTTTTGTCTTTATATAGCTTATTTGTAAAATCAAATTTACGTTGGTAATTGGGTCTTGTAATTTTGAATAATTTTTAAAATTATGTCTTGTGATATTCAGTTTCAATATTCAACACTGTAAAAAATGCCCTTAAAATGTGTTTTCCCATTATTATTCCCTCCCAATTCATTTACAAATAGCTTTATCTCAGAAGTTTTTAAATAAATGATAAAAAGGCGTTTTGTTTTTATTTTTGTTTGTTTCTGTTTGTTTGTTTGTTTGTTTTTGAGGCGGAATCTCGCTCTTCGGCCCAGGCTGGAGTGCAGTGGCACGATCTCAGCTCACTGCAAGCTCTGCCTCCCGTGTTCACACCATTCTCCTGCCTCAGCCTCCCGAGTAGCTGGGACTACAGGCACCCGCCACCATGCCTGCCTAATTTTTTGTATTTTTAGTAGAGATGGGGTTTCACCGTGTTAGCCAGGATGGTCTCAATCTCCTGACCTCGTGATCCACCCGTCTCGGCCTTCCAAAGTGCTAAGATTACAGGCGTGAACCATGGCTCCTAGCCAAAAGGCGTTTTTATTTCTTTTACATTTTACAGTTACTAAAAGTTGACAAACGTTACCAAAGATAAAGTTGTAACTTTGCTCTTAACAAAATATTGAGAACAATGGAACATCAACATCATTCATTCTTCGGAGGGACATGTTATTATCCATTGATTTGTATTGAGTCTATTAAATAAATATTAAAGAAAAATTATCACACTCTTACTTCTACACTATTAAATAAGAAAATGATTCATCAAATGTCCTGTGGTAAACAACCATGGATATACATATACTTGAAAAGCAGCATTTTCTGTTTGCATGACAGTAGACCTAAAATACAGTTGTAATCATGATGAAGTTTGGAGGAAGAAGAAAAACTCTTCCTGTGGCTCTCATTTAGGACGGGACTTCCCCAGGGTACTCCAGCAGCCGGATCTTCATATCTCATATATGAGAATTGAATCAAATAGCCATTCACAAATCATTCAACAACAGTGAGATTGTAATTAACAGTATTGGTTTAGATTAATTATTTTAGATAGAAAGGCTCTTCTAGAGTCAAACACAGTATCCACTGCATTACCCATTTCAAAGTTGCACACACAAAACCACACACAGCTAGCCTTTCTTCATTTGTCACATTTTACCTCTATAGGGGGAATTTTTTTCTCATTTATTTTTGCATGTTCAGCTTTTAGTAGTTCATAGCACACAGTATATGTTCAATATCTATGTGATAAATGCTGAATTAATAATTAGGTGACAGAATGAAATGCAGCATTTAAAAGATGAAGCAAGGAGTGCATTTGAAACTGCTAGAGAGGGAGGTTGAGGTGAACTTGCTAATTGAAATAGAGAGTAGAGGAGGAGAAACAGTCTTTATTTCCATAGGAATAGACATGCAGCATGTTCACTACCTAATATTAAATTTTGAGGTGCTGCAAGATATTTATGTGTACTTAACCAGTAGAAGAATTAAAATAAACTACTAAAATTTAGGACGGGGCTACATTTGAGTAGAGCTTTGATAATCATTTGTTTCCTAAAATGAATGTGTTTCCCCAAGTCATTTGAGAAAGTCATTAAAATATAATGCCTTAGCATATAGTGAATCTGAAAAGGAGTAAAAGCTAGAAAAGAAGACAGAAAATAAACATTCTCGGAGGGAGGGAGTGGAAGAAACTTGGGTTAGTAGTGAATAAGATAAGAAAACCCACAAATTTTTGAAAATGGTTTTAGCAGGAGTGACCACAGGGTAGAATCATAAAGAAGGAGAAAATTATAAACAATTTCTTTTTTAAAAACAATTATTTTATTTTAAGTTCCAGGATACATACATATGAGGATGTGCAGGTTTGTTACATAGGTAAATGTGTGCCATGGTGGTTTGCTACACCCACCAACCCATCACCTAGGTATTTAAGCTCCACATGCATTAACTATTTATCCTGATGCTGTCCCTCCCACAACCCACTGACAGGCACCAGTGTGTATTGTTCCCCTTTCTGTGTTGATGTGTTCTCATTGTTCAGCTCCTAAGTGAGAACATGTGGTGTTTGGTTTTCTGTTTCTGTGTTAGTTGGCTGAGGATAATGGCTTCTAGCTCCATTCATGTCTTTGCAAAGGACATATTCTCATTCCTTTTTATGGCTGCATAGTACTCCATGGTGTATATGTACCACATTTTCTTTATCCAGTCTATCAGCGATGGACATTTAGGTTGATTCTATGTCTTTGCTATTGTGAATAGTGCTGCAGTAAACATATGTGTGCATGTGTCTTTATAATAGAACAATTTATATTTATTTGGGTATATACCCAGTAATGAGGTTGCTAAGTTGAATGTTATTTCTGTCTTTAGGTCTTTGAGGAATCATCACACTGTCTTATACAATGGTTGAGATAATTTACATGCCCCCCAACAGTGTAAAAGCTTTCCTATTTCTCCACAGCCTCCCCAGCATCTGTTGTGTCTTGACTTTGTAATTATCACCATTGGGACTGGTGTGAGATGAAATCTCATTGTAGTTTTGATTTGCATTTCTCTAATGATCAGTGATGTTGAGCTTTTTTCATATGCTTGTTGGATGAATATTTTTTTAGAAGTGTCTGTTCCTGTCCTTTGGACACTTTTTAATTTTTTTCCTGTAAATTTGTTTAAGTTCCTTGTAGATTGTGGGTATTAAACATTTTTCAGATGGATAGATTGCAAGAATTTTCTCTTTCTGTAAGTTGTCTGTTCTGTTTTTTTTTTTCTGTGCAGAAGCTCATTAGTTTAATTAGATACCATTTGTCAATTTTTGCTTTTGTTGCTATTGCTTTTGACGTTTTCATCATGAATTATTTGCTGGTGCTTATGTCCTGAATGGTATTGCCTAGATTTTATTCTAGGGTTTTTATAGTTTTGGGTTTTGCAAAGCCATAAATAATGCTATTAATAATAGTTTTATGGGCTGGGTGCAGTGGCTGACATCCATAATCCCAGCACTTTGGCAGGCCAAGGCAAGGGGATTGCTTGAGGCCAGGAGTTTGAGACCAGCCTAGGCAACATAGTGAGATCCTATTTCTACAAAAACAAAACAAAACAAAAAATTAAAAATAATCTGAGTGTGGTGATGCCCTCCTGTGGTCCCAGTTACTTGGAAGTTTAAGGTGGGAGGTTTGCTTGATCCCATGAATTCTAGGTCATAATGAGTTATGATGGTGCCACTGCATTTCAGCCTTGGTGAGAACATGAGACTCCATATCAATGAATAAATAAATAATATCAATGAATAAATAAATAAATAAGAATAGTTTTAGGTTTTAGTGAAAAAGTGTGGGCAGCAATAACAATCCACACTTTCTGGAAGCTTGATGCTGTAAGGGAGATGGATGATGGAACACATATTAATAGATTTGGGACTGTTTACTTATGAAGAGCTAGAATCAATGTGTTTATAAAATGAGTAAGAAAGACCATGTCAGAGAGTGAGTTAAATACTTCAGTTTTAAAGACAATGACTGATGAATCCGTTTTCTATAGAAATTAAGAAATGTGAGTAGAGATGGCAGAAGTGAAGGGTTTAACTTCAGATAGACTTAAAAGCACCTGCCCCTAAAGATAGGAAGGAAGGTCAGGTAAATAAAAAAGCTTATACTAAGAGAACAGAAGAATTGGAGATAACTGTGGCTAAAAGTAAGTATTTTCTCAGTGAATTATAAGAGCACATTATGCAAATAAATGATTATAAAGACGTTAATCTTTACTGGGTTCTTACAGTGTGCTATATTCATAATAATTATTATATTTAATCTTCAGCAACAATTGTACAATGTAAATATAGTTATACTAATTTGATAGGTGAGAAAGCTGAAACACATGTAACTTAACTAATTTGCCAAAGGCTATACAATTAATAAATTACAAAAACAGATTTAAACTCAGTTTTATTTCAGAGTCCACACTTGTAACTTTATGATAGTAAGTTATATCAGCTAAATAAAATGTTTTGGTGCAAATGCTTCACAATGTGGAAAGTGAAGCTATTGTAAGTATAATTAAAATAGATTTTTAGTAATACTATACTGTTATTAATATTGAAAATTTAACAATTAATTTGCAGTGACAGACTTGATCAAGAATTCAGAGTGTGCACATACCAAAACTATCTAACTCTTCCTAATCACACAAAATGAATAAACAAATCATAGATTTAAAGATTCTCAAAACTTTAAAATTCATATCTATAATCCAAGGAAGTGGGTAATATGATTATTATTCAATGACTATTATTTAATTATACAATAAAATATAAAATAAAATAATATGATTGCTATTCAATGAAATCAACAATGAAGTAAATAATAGATCCTTTCTCTGCCACATTAATACTGTGCATACTCTTCTATTTGGCATAATTAATTAATTGTCAAAAACAGATTTTTATCAACTCCAGAATTCGAGAAAAAATTGAATAATTCAAGTGTGACAATGTAGTTCTAGAAAAGTGTAAGGCAAGATATCAAGGATACTGATAAGAATGCTCTTGTATGATGTATATGTTTCCTTTGCTGCTGTAACAAATTTTCCCAAACTCTGCAGCTTATAATAAAACAAATATATTCTTATAGTTCTACAGGTTAATGGCCCTAAATGAATTTCAATGGGCTGAAATGTAGATGTTGGAAGGGCTACATTTTTTTCTGCAGGCTTTAAAGAATAAACTCTTTAGTTGCCTTTTCCAGGCCTAGAAGCTATTAATGTATGCATTATTTGACTCATTGATCTCCTTCCATCTTCAAAGCTAACAATGATTGGGTGAGTAAGTAACTCTCACATCACATCATTCTAACACTGACTCTTCTTCTGCCTCCCTGTTGTACATTTATACACACTTGAGATTACATTAGGCTCTTTGGGATAATTCAGGATAAGTTCCCATCTCAATGTTATCTGATTATTGACTTTAATTTTATCAGGAAACTTTATTCCTCCTTGCCATTTAACATAACACATTCATGAGTTCTTTGGTTTAGGATGTGCACATCGGTAGGGAATCATTATTCTGCCTACCATAAGTGATGTACTATGAAAATTAGCATTTTTAGGAAAAGAAAAAAAGAACATAAAACAGTTGAAAAGTTGGAAGTATAAGT
The DNA here is from genome assembly GCF_000001405.40 of Homo sapiens. Classification (NCBI taxonomy): domain Eukaryota; kingdom Metazoa; phylum Chordata; class Mammalia; order Primates; family Hominidae; genus Homo; species Homo sapiens. Next base: position 29,344,671 of record NC_000004.12, on the reverse strand, counting down.
TAAATTTTAAATGCCTCAGACCATCTTGAGATGAGACGATGGAAATTTTGAGTTTAGGATGATGCTGTTCTTCTCAGTCTCCTTATATATTTTTATGTGTTTTCATTAGTTTCAATCACATTCTAGATAATTTAACCTATGAAATATAAAGTTCCATCATTATTGATGGGTGGTGCTATTAGTCACTGTCTTCCATCATCTTTCTTTCTTGACCAAGGTTCTTAATGTTGAAAGTATCTAGAGAGAATATAAAAGTATCAGAATGCCCTAGGCTATCCATGCATCAGCTTCAACACTTTGACTTTATTAGGTGACAGATTTAACTTACTAAGTCAACTGATACAGACAATAAACTTTAATGAAATCACAATCACATCATGACAATAACATTATTAATTTAACTTCAGAAGTGTGTTTAAGCACAATCTACATGTGTATGCTTGAAACCTAATATTTAATGTAAATTGATTTATTTTATAATTTTTACTTTATAATTTTTATAGATAAATTTGAAGGGACAAAACTAACTCAAAATCCATGTCTTTGGTCAGGTAAACTTAATACTTCTCCTAAAGATCTATCTATTTATCATATTAGAGCCTATTCTGTATCTGGAAAGCATGAATAATTTTTTTACACAATTATAAACCATCAACTCTATAGTAAATGTAGTGGGCACTTTAATGCCTGAATGTAATGAGGGAATCTCCAAATTTACCTCCTCAAAGAGAAGTAGTAGAAATAAGCGAAATATCATTTAGAGAAGAAAAGACGTTTACATAAACTTAAATTTAGAACTTCTGTACTTCAGTTTTTTTTTTTTTTTTTTTGAGACGGAGTCTCGCTCTGTCGCCCAGGCTGGAGTGCAGTGGCGCGATCTCGGCTCACTGCAAGCTCCGCCTCCCAGGTTCACGCCATTCTCCTGCCTCAGCCTCCCGAGTAGCTGGGACTACAGGCGCCCGCTACCACGCCCGGCTAATTTTTTGTATTTTTAGTAGAGACGGGGTTTCACCGTGTTAGCCAGGATGGTCTCGATCTCCTGACCTCGTGATCCGCCCGCCTCGGCCTCCCAAAGTGCTGGGATTACAGGCGTGAGCCACCGCGCCCGGCCCTGTACTTCAGTTTTAAGCCTACAGTGCACCTTATTCTCAGTTCACCTCAACAACAATATCATTCTGGTATTTTGTTTCTTTTTATTTCTGATTTTTATTGTGCTTTAGAGACACAAGTAGCAATGGTGAGTCACAGATTGTTATTATCTCCCACATTGCTCAAAAATGAGAGTAGTTGAAATACAAGTTTATTGTTCCTCAAATTAATGTTTTCAATTATGTAAAATGCACAATTTGGTCATTAAAATGTTTTTCTTCTTTTCAAAGTACATGACATTAGTATGTTTCACCATCCAAAAATTTGCTCCATTTAAGCCCTGTCAAATCAGAGCCATTGTGAAATGGTTCTAAATTCTCGGTTGAGTAGTTACTCAATTTTCACTCCATTCCCCCATGAGAGGGAGAATTGCCTGACATAAAAAGCGGTGTGTCAGAATATTTCCTTTCTTTTTTTTTTCTTTTCTTTTATTATTATTATTTATTTTTTGAGACTGAGTCTTGCTCTGTCGCCCAGGCTGGAGTGCAGTGGTGTGATCTCAACTCACTGCAACCTCTGCCTCCCAGATTCAAACGATTCTTCTCCCTCAGCCTCCCTAGTAGCTGGGACTACAGGCACGTGCCAGCACGCCTGGCTAAGTTTTTTTTTTTTTTTTTAAGTAGAGACGGGGTTTCACCATGTTAGCAAGGATGGTCTCGATCCCCTGACCTTGTGATCGGCCCCCCTCGGCCTCCCAAAGTGCTGGGATTACCGGCAGGTGCCACCGTGCCCAGCCAGAATATTTCCTTTCTTAACGATAGAGATGAAATTAAAGAACTTGGTTGAGCTGTTTGGCAACAATGATATTTTCAAAATGAAGCATTTTCACGATGAATAATGCATTCCAAGCAGTGCTATACAACTGCAGATTGTATTTCATGAGGGTAAGCCCTGTCAAGAATATCGTGGTTGATACCATGTATTGGAACCTAAGTTCTCTATTTAATATTAATGGAAATACATTGGTATCATCTAATTATAAAGATGTTTCATAATGTGACAGAATAAAAATTGTAATGTATCATACAAAAAAAACCACAAAAAACAAAAAACAAAATTAAGCCAGGCTCATGCCTATAATCACAGCACTTTGGGAGGCTGAGGCAAGGGGATTACTTGAGGTCAGGATTTCATGACCTGCCTGGACAATATAGTGAGACCCCATTTCTCAAAAAAAAAATAGCTGGACATAGTGGAACATGTTTGTAGTTGCAGCTACTCAGGAAGCTGAGATGGGAAGATCCCTTAAGCCCAGGAGTTTGGAGCTGCAGTGAATAGGATCCCAAAACTGCACTCCAGCCTGGGTGACAGAGTGCGACCCTATTGCTAAAAAAATTATTAGATAAATAAAAATTAAAAGTATAATTTATATGAGAAAATTTGAATTTTCTAAAAATCAATCTATAAAAATGCAAGGCATAATGGATAAAACAATGACATTCTGGAATCTAGTAATCCAGGTATAAAACCATTGCAGTAATCCAGGCAAGTGTAGATTACAACCTATTCTGGGATGGCAAAGTGAGAAAGGAGAAAGAAAAGATCCTTGTTTACAGCTAATATCGTTTATTTTATTATTGCCTATCATTGCCAGATCTAGTTCTATCAAACTGATATTCACTTATATTTTTATGAGTCACTTCTTTGTATTTATTATGGCTAATCTTGGCTTAAATAATTCGGTGGTTTATGCAATTCTTTTTAACTACCATGATGAATGTAGTACAGTATTTTCAGGACCCCCTGAAAAGAACACATATAATGATCATTTACAAGAATACAACAATAAGTGAAAAGTAGATATTTTACAGAGAAGTTTTTTTTAGGAGGTAAATTACACAATATAGTGATATTTAATTGGGGCAAAGGAGATGGGATTATGGTGAGAAAAAGATGACAATCAAGGGCTAACATGGGACATAAAGTCTAACTTTTAAGAAACTGAAGAAAATGTTTTTATTAATCCATTATGTCTTTAATGAATTAAAGAATTAAATGTAAGACCTAAAGCTATGAAACTACTTAAAAGAAAATATTGGAGAAACTGTCCGGGACATTGGTCTGGGCAAAAATTTATTGAGTAATACCAAGAAAGGCAACCAAAGTAAAAATAGGCAAATGAGATCACATCAAGTTAAAAAGCTTCTGCAGAGCAGCAGAAATAAAAAACAAAGTGACAAGACAACCCACAGAATGACATAAAATAATTACAAACAATTCATCTGATATGGGATTAATAACCAGAATACATAAGAAGCTTAAACAACTCTATAAAAAATCTAATAATTTTGAAATTTGCAAAAGATCTAAACATGTATTTCTGAAAAGAAGGCACATAAATGGCAAATAGGTATATGAAAAGGTGCTCAACATCATTGAACATCAAAGAAATGCAAATAAAATCTATAATCAGATATAGCCTAATGCCAGTTGAAATGGCTTTTATCCAAAAGACAGGCAGTAACAAATGCTGATGAGAATGTAGAGAAAAGGGAACCCTGGTACACTGCTTTTGAGAATGTAAATTTGTACAGTCACTATGGAGAACAGTACGGAGGTTCCGTAAAGCACTCAAAATATCACTACTACAGCAATCCCACTGCTGGGTATATACCCAAAAGAAATATCAGTATAAAGAAGAAATGTCTGCACTCCCATGTTTATTGCAGCACTATTCCCCAGAGCCAAGATTTGAAAGCACCCGAAGTATTCACTAACAGATGAATGGATAAAGACAATGTGATACTTACACATAATGAAGTATTATTCAGCCATAGAAAAAATGTGATCTTGTCATTTGCAACACGGATGGAACTACAGGACATTATGTTAAGTGAAGTAAGCCAGGCACAGAAAGACAGAGACAGAGACAAAACTTCACATGTTCTCTCTAATTTGTAGGAGCAATTTATTTATTTATTTATTTATTTTGAGACAGAGTCTCACTCTGTCACCCAGACTGGAGTGCAGTGGTGTATTCTTGGCTCATTTCAACCTCCATCTCCTGGGTTCAAGGGATTCTCATGCCTCAGCCTCCTGAGTAGCTGGGACTACAGGTGTGCACCACCATGCCTGGCTTTTTTTTTTTTTTTTTTTTTGTATTTTTAGTAGAGATTGGGTTTCACCATGTTGGCTACACTGATTTCAAACTCCTGAGCTCTGGCAATCCACCTGCGTCAACCTCCTAAAGTGCTAGGATTACAGGCGTGAGCTACCACACCCTACCGGGAGCAAAATTAAAATAATTGAATGCCCGGAGACAGGGCATTGATTGATAGTTACCAGGGCTGGGAAGGGTAGTGGGGAGGGGACAGAAGGTGGGGATGGTTAATGAGTACAAAAATGTAGTTAAGTGGAATGAATAAAATATACTATTTGATAGAACAACCAGGTGACTATAATCAACAATGATTTGTTGTACATTTTACTTTATGTTCGAAACAGGGTCTTGTTCTGTTGCCCAGGCTGGAGTACAGAGGCACCATCACCGCTCACTGCAGCTGCAACCTTCTGGGCTCAAGTAATCCCCTACCTCAGACTCCCAGGTAGCTGGGACTGCAGGTGCATGCCAGCATGCCTGGCTAATTTTTTGTTAAAATGGGGTTTTGCCATGTTGCCCAGGCTGGTCTCTAATTCCTGGGTGCAACTGATCCACCCACCTCAGCCTTCCTAAGTGTTGGAATTACAGGCATGAGCCACTGCACTTGGCCTGTACGTTTAAAAGTAACTAAAATAGTGTGATTGGAATGTTTGTAACATCAAAAAATGATACATGCTTAAAGTGACAGGCACCTATTTTCCCTGACATGATTACTACACATTGTATGTCTGTATCAAAATATCTCACGTTCTCCATAAATATATACACTTACTATGCATCCATAAAAATTCAAAATTTAAAGAAACAGAAGAAAATGTTAAATGGGAGCAAATGTAGTGATAAGAGAGTTAAGAAACAACGATAATGGAGAGAAGAGTCTGTAAACTTTCCATTCCTCTTTTTCTACTACTGCCAAGATCCCCTAATAGACAAATGTGTATCTACCAGGCTAAAAAGCTAGGACATGTTATTTATTCTTCTTTCTCAGGGTCTATTTCATGAACATTATTTTTCCATACTTCTAAAAAATTTCTATCATTAACATGAGAGCCTTGTTTCACTTTTTGGGCTATGGTATGATGACGAATGATGAATCTCCTGTTTTTCCTTTCCCTAAATTATCTTTCTTTAAAGCACTCATTATCTTTAGCACATATTATGCTTTATTTATGTATATAATTATTGCCTGCCTTATCAAACAAGATTCTAAGCTCTATAAAGACAAAGAGTTTTGTCTGATTTGGTCACAACTAACTCTTCAAAATCTAAATTATTTAATTTATAGTAGATAATAAAAATATTGATTGAAAGAAATGAAGGAATGACTACTTCTGGGATAAGAAATCAACTTCAAATTTAAGATTTACCCACTTACGTTAGGACAGAATAATTTATGCTGCTATGGTATGATATAATACGAAATGAATGAATGCTTAAAGCTGCATATTTATAGACAGCAAGAATTTATAAGCAACATAAGCACAAAGATAATTTCTAAATAGAGCCTTTCACATTATCTCCTGTGTTTCATCATCACTTTTTTCTCTAATTTGGAACATAAAAAATTAAATGAAAACTATTACACACAAATTTGGTTCTGTTCATCCCCGAGCTGGTATGTTTCATGAAAGGATCAACTGATGTTACTTTTTTAAAATTCTTAACTTAAACTGTAATCTTGCCATGTAAATTTCTCCACTTAAGTCTGGGACAGGTGTTATTAGCTTGCTTTGTGCTTCAAAGTCTTGAGAGTTTGGACAGTTTGGTCTTGACAAAAATGCAGATTTGGAAACTGCAGTTTGAATATTCAGTAGGGTTTGGGCATGCCAGTGACTCAAATGCAGGTGGGTTAAAGGTATATATTTTTAAAAGATTAATTCAAACGATGATTACCAAAATAATGTGATTCACTGTTCACCCCTTTCATTTTCCACTCTGGACTCTATCCACTGCCCAAATCAAATTTACCTAAATTACGTTGCTGCAAACCCTCCCTATTGCAGGGTTGGGTATTATTAAGCATTTAAGACTAAGACCACAACATAAAATTAAGAAAAATGCAAACACGTATCCCATTTTCAGAGTTAACTACCTTGCAATTGATAAGATGCAAAAAAGGTGAAAGAAAAACTAAAAGGTAATTCAGGTATAGTGTTAGCTGGTAGCAAACAAGAGACAATGTAATATTGGTGAAAAAAGTCAGTGATTTTGTATGTAATAGAATGTCAATAGGACTCAAGAGATCCCAGGAAACACAGAGTTTCTTGTGCTTGACTACAGTAGCTCCTTAAAAGTTCTAGAAAGATGGAGTGTCTAGATGGGACCTGTGGAATTGAAAAGGGGTTGAAAAAATATTTTAAAATAATCAACCCTAACTCAATATTATTCTTCACTAGATTTACTGCCTACTCATTTTAGCTAACAATCAACCAGTTGGAAAGACAATACATAGAGAAAAGCCCTTTTTCTGCAGAACAGCTCAATTCTTTAGCCAAGGATCATATAGCAAATAGTTTTGTCTGCTGAATAAAAATGGGTAATAAATATGAGGAGCTATATTCTTCATTATTTGATCAATATTTAGAAAATTTCTTTTGAGGTTGACACTTGTAAGGATCTAAATGAACTTGGACTTGATAGTAATGGGACTCATTGAGGAACTAATAGAGATTAACAAGTTGATTGTCATAGAATTGGACTACTGAACCACTTGGCAAGTACTTACTAAATAAAATAGAAGTAAAGAGGACTCAGGACTTACACTATTTCCTGACCTAATAAAGCTTCATATTGTTAAATCTGTGCAACAAAGCCAAACTGGTGAATTAGTAAGTTGTCTCCTGATATCATGATCCAAACAATATACAGGCCACAACTTGTTATTCTCACTAATCAGAAAGGAGTATGAGGAGGATGAAAACTTCATGAATCTCCACCATAAACCCTTCCTCAGACATTGTGTGAAATTCTTGGGAAGAAGCAAGGGTTAAAGATTCTTATGATTGCACACGTTTAAAGAGACCTAAGCTGAAGGCAGAAAATAATTAACTTGGATATTTCATCTTTTTCCATTTATTCAAATGTTTATATTCACCCCAAGACAGACAAGTCCAATATATTATTATTTCATTTATGGTAGAGATGCCTGGAATTTGAAAGAGGGTATCTAAAGGCATTTGAAATTTTTGCTTGGGATTGGTTAAGTCTTCTAGGATTAGGTTGTAGATAACAGAAAGTTGAAAAGTATTCATGATTTTTCCTTGCTACCCTAGAAGAGCTTGATAATTTATGGTTTCTGATGGGTGAATGCCAGACAGGAAGATTTGGAAGGAAACACATTTTATACTGGCTTGCTGGAAGGCACAACTCCCATGGGCCTCCTGAATTTTATAGCATAAGCCTGTGATTTGGTAGATAATAGAATGGTAATATGATTCCAGGGACTCCACGAAAGACAAACTTTGTTGTGTGTGACTCCAGTTGCTCATTATGGATTGTACTGATACAATGATAAAGATACAGTGGCTTACTGGCTAGATGGAAACTGTAGAATTGAGTGAATATTTTAGTATAGGCAAAGATCATTTACAAGTGTTCATACATTATATTTCCTACTGTGAGTCAAGGTTGAGATAAAGCAAAGCTTCGCCTCTGAGAAGGATGGCAGACTCCAGGATTCAATTAATTATGCTAAATTTTCTTGAACAGTGTATTCTCCATTGTACCCCGAAGTCCCAAAGGAAAATGGTTGTAAAAAGGAATTCTAGTGTTGCTACAGGGATAGCAAAATAAAGATGTTATTATCAGAATAATGTACTCGAGTAAAATGTAAACCCAATATCTCAGTCTCAAGTTTAGCAGATCTCAAGAATTTCAGAGAGCAAAGTCATTCATGATTAAATAGAAGTCCATGATAAATGATGATAAATACTATAACAGTTATGTATAAAAGTTATGCAATTAGAAAGTAAAGGAAATCACTGATTTTTCTAAATTCTGCCTTAATTGGAAGAGTGATAGAAATTGAAAAGAGAAGATGATTTTCAACTGTTTTTAAAATGGGAAATAAAGGGGTTTTGTTTTGTTTTGTTATTTTGAGACAGAGTCTCACTCTGTCACCCAAGGCTAGAGTGCAGTGGCATAATCTTGGCTTACTGCAGCCTTGACCTCCCTAAACTCAGGTGATTCTCCCGTCTCAGCCTCCTGAGTAACTGCAACTACATGCATGTGCCACCAAGCCCCGCTAATTTTTAAATTAGTTTTTAGAGACGAAGTTTTACCATGTTGCCCAGGCTGGTCTTGAATTCCTAGGCTCAAGCGATCCACCCACCTTGGCCTTCCAAAGTGCTGGAGTTGCAGGTATGAGCTACCATGTCTGGCCAGAAATAAAGGGTTTATAGAAGAAAAAGGAGGAAGGAGGAGGAGGAAGCGGCTATAGGTTGGGTACAGTGGAGGAAACGATTTTCAGGGAGAATAATGAGATTCACCTACAATATATGGAGGAATTGGCAGAATAACTGGAAGCCATGCATAGAGAAGAGGCTGGGGGGAAATTTTTAAAAGTTTTGATTGTAAATACATAGGCCAAACTTATGTCCTGAAACCCTGATTGTATTCTCTGAATATAAAGCAAACTAATATCCAGTTATCTCCACTTCCATTAGGCTTCAGAAGAGCCTTTGCATCTCTCAAAACAGCTAGCTAGTATCCTATATAGAAAGAAAAAAATGATTCAATATAGTTTTAGTAAATAAATTAACAGATATTAATGGAAAGAAAAGAAAGTTATTTGGATCCTGGTAAGACGGTATTTGATTTAAATAGCTCTATGATCATCTCCTGTTCCAGAAGTATGAGTAGCCTAACTCAAATACCCATACATGGCTATTTAAATTTACTTTTTGATTAAATAAATTAAATCTAGAAATCAATTCATCAGCTTCATTAGCCACATTTTAAGTGTTCAATAGCCACATGTGGCTCGTGTCTACCATACTGGATATCTCAGATGTTATAATTTCTTCTTCATCATAGGGACCAAGACAAATCTAACCTATGCTAATCTTAAACATATAGGCATAGTTTAGTATGCCCTAGAAATTTCTTTAATCATTTATTTATTTCTTCATCCATAGAGTAACCAACTTCTCGCAGTTTTCTCTAGTCTTTGTTTATGTTGGCACCAAGGCAGAGGGGGCAAGAAGGAATATTATCCAAGCTCTCATGAAGATTTTACACTGGGAATTTGACAGTAATTAATTCATGAGGATGTGCTTGGCTACTTCTATGCTAGTTTACTCCATAGTATTAAGAGTTTATATTGATTTACTACCTTGTAGATTGATCTTAAACCTTGTTTGCTACTACTTCATTCCTCTAACATACTATGAGAAATAGGGCTTTTTTCCTAAGACAAGATTGTGCCTAGGATCTAATATCATGCTCAGACTCTTTCTCCCTGGGCTCCTACCTTGACAATTACTCATGTGACCACACTTGAAGTGGTCAAGGGAGTATACTCTGTACCAGGTTGTACAGCCCAGGTTTCCACAGTCACAGTTTTTATTATTTTTTTGATAAAGTAATCAATTTCCTTCTAAGACAACTCAGTAGATTACTGATCCTTTTTGCTTTCATTCAGTTCCTTAATCCAGTAATTTTCACAAAATTTATTTCCAGGAAAAATTTCTTAGACTGATTTTTATTCTTATTTCTTTGTCTTTATGCCTCTCTTATTGTAATATGAGTCCATTCAAATTTGAGGTGACATAAAACAATACAATTAGGTAGAAAATCTTGTATTCTATAGTTTGGTGCCCAATAAGAGTTGACTTCTCCTTATCTGTAAGCTTTTCATACCTTGACTCTTATCACCTTAGATCTCTTCTCTCGAAGAGAAAGCCCTTATTTTAGTTATTTTTTTTTAAATTAAAATCTTACTAAAGGCAGCAGTACTGAAATTCTCTGTTTTTAATTAACATCTTAACTAAAGGCAGCAATACTGAAATTCTATGTAGGCTCTATTGGATCTCTTTCCCTAGGACTAAAGTAATGGTAGGCTCTTTGCCCCCTGGTTTACTGAAGTAATGATTTCATCAAGTGTTTTAAGTGTTTTTAGTCAATGTGTGACACAGGAATCCTTTCCAATCTGTGATATCAGTTTTATAACTGCCTACCACGTAACAGTCAAGCTATATAGTGATTTAGATATGAATTAGTGTAGGGTTTTGCTTACTTAAGAATCTTGGACAGAATTCAGGTGATTCAAGTGGTCACCCTGACATATTCAGAGACCCAAGATGAAGAACATTCTGTGATATTGCACATACAACTTTCCAGGTTAGCATGGTTTTCTCTATCCATTTAGCAGTCAGGGTGAAGGAAACATAGAGGACTTATTTCGGGAGGTTATTTATTTGGAGAGAGTGAAGAGAGTGTTAGACCACTTCCTCTTACCTTTCATTGGCTAGATCTGAGGAACACGATCAAATCTAACTTCAAGGGAGCCTGTGAAATGCAGTCAAGTTGTGCATCCAAGAAGAAGATTACCCCAATTTGATGAATGCCAGCAGTCTCAAATACAAAGATTCTCATCAGTAAGTGACAAGCGAGTCCACTCAGCACTTATTCACTTTCCACAGTATCTTTCAAATGTTGCTTGCCAATCTGTTTCTGCTCTGGCATAAGCTCATGGTTTCCTAGTCTACTACTTCTTCGCCCACATAAATCTTCTCTCTCTTCTTTTCTTCCCCAACCTATGTTAACTGTATTCCTGCAAGTGGGGGAAAGAAACTTCTGAATTTTTTGTCTTGACTCATGCCAGGGGATGTAGACCTATAGAGACCATCATATGAGTGTTTTAAAAAATGATTTTACAACAGTTATTATATTTACGTGCTTGCACCGCGGGAATGTTTGACTGGAGCTTATTGAAGTTGAAATGATATGCTGCCACGCTATCTCCTTCCTCTGTGGTGGAAACAGTGATGAACTTACTAAGCATAGGAATCAGTAATCCATTTTTCTGCCCTTATACAGTATGAAGAAATATATCTTGGAATATTTCTTCATGTCCTACCTTAGGCTACAACACTAGGAAACTTAGGACAATTTCACACTGTTGGAGTTTGCTGAATACTTCCTGCATCTTATAGCAGCTTCTTATGTAGCAAATCATGCTACAGAACTGGCCAGAGAAATCATAGAGGGAAAAAAGGACTTTTTCAGTGGAGATTGTTCCACCTGGAGACTATAAATAAAAGCAACTGAATGAAATAATCTGGAACTTGACACAGTTGAAAAACCCTGAGATACGGGAAATTAGAAAAAGCATAACTTAGAACTCTAGGAGAAACCTGGCCCCACAGATCTCTCACAAACACCTAATAATTTTTCTGTGCTTGGCAAATACCATTATTTATGATAAACAGGATCATTTTGACACTGCAACCTGAATGTCATGTAGGGACAGATACACATTATTGGCATTTATTTCAAATTTTCTCCAGGCAGAGGTTAAAATGAAAGCAAATTACAGGAAAATGAAGTCTGAAGGAATAGGCAAAAACAACATTTTAATGTTTAAAAATAGAGATATTCAGCATGCCCTGTCATAGACTGAAAATTATAACTGGAAAATACCCCTGAAATTGATTCAAAACGGGCAGAAAATAAACCCATTCTGTTTTTCCATAGGTTCTTTTTTGTTTGTTTGTTTGTTTGTTTGTTTGTTTGCAAAAGGCTTTGATTCTCTCTCACGTTTGAAGAATAATTTTGCTAGATTTATAATTCTAGATTGATGAAGTTTTTTTAATATACTTTAATTTCTAGGATACATGTGCAGGACATGCAGGTTTGTTACATAGGTATACATGTGCCATGGTGGCTTGCTGCACCCATCAACATCATCTACATTATGTATTTGTCTTAATGCTATCCCTCTCCTTGCCCCCCAGCCCGCAACAGGCCCCAGTGTGGGATATTCACCTCCCTGTTTCTATGCGTTCTGTGTTCTCATTGTTCAACTCCCACTTATGAGTAAGAACATGCGGTCTCTGCTTTTCTGTTCCTGTATTAGTTTGCTGAGGATGATGGTTTCCAGCTTCATCAATGACCCTGCAAAGGACATGAATTCATCTTTTTTAAGGCTGCATAGTATTCCATGGTGTACTTGTGCCACATTTTCTTTATCCAGTCTATCATTGATGGACATTTGGGTTGGTTCCAAGTCTTTGCTATTGTGAATAGTGCTGCAATAAACATATGCGTGCATGTGTCTTTATAGTAGAATGATTTATAATCCTTTAGGTATATACCCAGTAATGAGATTGCTGGGTCAAATGGTATTTCTGGTTCTAGATCCTTAAGGAATTGCCACACTATCTTCCATAATGGTTGAACTAATTTACACTCCCACCAGCAGTGTAAAAGCATTCCTATTTCTCCACATCCTCTCTCACATCTGTTGTTTCCTGACTTTTTAATCATCGCCATTATAACTGGTGTGAGATAGTATCTCATTGTGATTTTGATTTGCATTTCTCTAATGACCAGTGATGATGAGCTTTTTTTCCTATGTTTGTTGGCCACATTAATTCTTCTTTTGAGAAGTGTCTATTCATATCCTTTGCCTTTTTGATGGGGTTGTTTTTTTCTTTTAAATTTGTTTAAGTTCCTCGTAGATCCGGGATATTAGACCTCTGTCAGATGGATACATTGCAAATATTTTCTCCCATTCTGTAGGTTGCCTGTTCACTCTGATGATAGTTTCTCTTGCTGTGCAGAAGCTCCTTAGTTTAATTAGATCGCATTTGTCAATTTTGTCTTGTGCTCTCATTGCTTTTGGTGTTTTAGTCATGAAGCCTTTGCCCATGCCTATGTCCTGAATGGCATTGCCTAGGTTTTCCTTTAGGGTTTTTAGGGTTTTAGGCTTTACGTTTAAGTCTTTAATCCATCTTGAGTTAATTTTTGTATAAGGTTTAAGGAAGGGGTCCAGTTTCAGTTTTCTGCATATGGCTAGCCAGTTCTACTAACCCCATTGATTAAATAGGGAATCGTTTCCCCATTGATTGTTTTTGTCAGGTTTGTCAAAGATCAGATTGTTGTAGATATGTGGTGTTACATCTGAGGCCTCTGTTCTGTCCATAGGTTCTATGGTCAGGGCCAGCCAAATCCTTGCAATTAGAATATATGTTTTCTAAAGTCCTGAAACCATCTCCAGACCCTAAAACATGAACAGACCAGAGGTGCCCTATGGAACAGTGAGAATAGTGGCGTAAAGACAGAGGCAGGTATTTTAAAAAGTTCCTCAAGGACCGAAGAATCAGAAGGAATGAAGTGCAATGATCAAGGCAGCATCGTCCAGAAAACACAACCCAAAGCCTCAGATTGGAAAAACAAAACAAAACAGGCAAACAAAAAAACTTAAATAATAGCATATGAATAGTTTGTTATTCCATTTCAACAGGCTATGATATCTATTATGACCTAGGGGCCATTATGTATTTCCAAATGGGTGTTTTATTCTACTTTCCTTATGCTTTGTCCCAGTGAATATCTTGGACATCCGGGGCCAAGTTAAACTTATCAGTTAATGACAGGCTGCTAGCCAATGGTGAGCTACAGACAAGTTTCACAAAGAGAACTGAGTATCATCCAGAGATTCTGGGTATAGAATGGAATGTAATCACACATCATATTTTGTTGTTCCTCTTCTTTTTAGGAGGAGTTAAATATATGCATTTATAGCATTAGACATGTTTTTAAAGACAGTTATGAGAAGGGGATTTTTAAAACATTGGTTGGTCAAAAAGTTGGAGATTATTGTTTATTGGTCGCCTTTCTTTTAATAACACTAATTCATATTTTCTAGCCATGTAGTTGAATTAAGATTGACCCCCACCTCTATAATCAGAAATATGACTGATTGACATAATCCAGTTAAAATACTCCTTTCTCTGGTTATAAATCCAATTAGAGTTGTGCAGCTTAATTTTTCTTTTTTGCTAGATTTGAATATGGGAACGTGTAGTCTGGGGAAATACTAGACAGACGTGACTCAGATGGAAAATGGAAGTTTTCCATAAAATAATCCAAAGCAAAGCTGACAAGCTAGGAAAGACACAGATGAAATTGAGCCCTGATTACATTGTTTGATTAATCAAATAAAAATGAAATTTCATTTGTTTTAGAAAATAAATCCAGATTAATTTTAAAGCTGATTTGAAAGCAGTCACTGATTCCTGAAACTAGAATTATACTAAGTGAAACAAATGATGAGAAAAGGATTAAAGATTATCAATGGGAAATACATGTTGCTAAAATTTTACATAGCCAAAAATATTTAAACTAACAATTAATATTCTTGACCATGCCAAAATTTCTCCAAAAAAGTATCAAAATATAAATGTCATGTACCCAAATAGGGTTCCTCTAACCAATTCCAAATGACCCAATTTTAGACAACCTCATGAATCACTCCTCTAGACCCAATAATTAGAATAAAAGGAAAGCACCAAAGGGTCACAAATAGAGATAATTCATATAGATGAGTAACCTTTAGAGATAGGAATAAAGGCAAGCAATCTAGAAATCTCAAGACTTTATATAACGAAAGGGTATACAGAGGAGAGAGAAACTAAGACCTAATGATTGCTTTCAATTGCCATGGATTATGTGACATTCTTTCTCACATTTTATTTCTGATAACCTTTATTATAATTCTCTAGGGCAAGTGTGCATTTTCCTTGTTCTCAGATGCGTTCAACAAGTATTTTAGCCAGACCTTGTGTCAGATATTATTAGCAATATAGCTGGGTTTGTAATAGGTATCAGTTCCTCTCCTTTGTATGTTGTCAAAATTCAGATTATTAATCACCTTGCCCTAGAGTGTAGAGTTACTAATTAAGTAAGCAGAGATTTGAAGCTACATCTGAATTACTTCAAGCTAAAGATATTTCTGTTTCCTCTAGAATACCCCTTCATATAGATTATGAAGTCTTTTCCCCTTCTAAGACCACCAGAAGACCGACCTGAATTCTGCAAGGACAAATGCATACACATTTTTAACATTTTATTTTTTACTTTGTTAGAGATGGGGTCTCATCATCTTGTCCAGACTAGTCTCAAACTCCTAGGTTCAAGGGATCCTCCTGTCTTGGCTTCCCAAAATTCTGGGATTACAGGAGTGAGCCACTGCCCTTGGCAACATATGCTTTCCGTATAGACTTCAAGGGCAGAGATGTACTATGAATGTTGTAAGTAAACAACTATCCAATGAATGACTCATAATTTGTCTTTTTTACTTAACTAAAAGGGAGTTACAGATAAAATTTTATATATTATCATTTTGTCCATGATATAACTTCATTTTTTGTAAGGTAATTGCATATACATTTATTTGTGGTAATCACAGTTATTCTTTCTTAGGGATAACATCAGTACTGAGCATTGTAGTTAGATTTTATTAGCAATTTTACATTAACTCACTATCATCTCCCAATGGCAAATATATGGTTATAAATATGTTATTAGAGGCAAACAATTCCAACAATTCATATGACTGTTGAGATGTTGGAGAAAAATGAAAATTTCATGAAGTTTAAAGGTTTGGAGCTAATTTTTGTACAGTTGTTTTTAGATATTTAGTGAAGAGGGGAATATTGTTATGCTGTATATGAAAGTCACTGACTCAGCAATGCCTATTAAATAGAAATAGCTTCTCATATTTAGGCAGTTTAATTCCATCATTAATCTAGTGGGAGGTTCAGAGGAAAACTTCAAGGTTATTATCTCTTTCTCATATTCCTTAGGAATTTGTGCCTCAACACTTACCAAAAATAAACAAAAACAACTTCTCTGGTCCTGATGTCTTTAAAATATTATAGAAATAACCCACCATTTTAATCTCTAGAGCCAGTATTATTTGGGTCAGATCATA
Source organism: Homo sapiens (assembly GCF_000001405.40). NCBI lineage: Eukaryota > Metazoa > Chordata > Mammalia > Primates > Hominidae > Homo > Homo sapiens. The sequence goes on along the minus strand of NC_000004.12, from coordinate 29,328,484 downwards.
CTTTCTTAAATTCGATGAATTTAATAGGTTTTTCCATAAAGAAAAAATATGTCAAGGAATTACCACGTGTAGAATTAAGATAAAATATTGAATATTTCTATTAATATTAAATGCACAAGAAATTTTGGATACACATTATAATTATATTAGCAAGTGATATTTTACAACACATTGTGAGTAGATTTATGAATTAACTCCATAAATCAATTTGCATATGTAGAACACTGCTCACTGTAATCAAATTAATGTTCACTTAACTTCCAGATGACATAAATGTTTTTGTCACAGGAATTTAATTGAGAACAGGAATTCTCAGAGAGTTGGACATTTCTTTGTGTATTGACTGTATAAGATGTTTACTAAGTGTTGAGGTGGTAATTTAAGACAAATGGAAGTGCAGATTTGAGGGTTTACCCTTAGTAGCTGCACATTCTCAGGCACCTGATGTAACTTTCCTAAGCCTCAGTATCTTCATGTGATAATGATACTGACTTTAAACAGCCACTGAAAGGAGTGAGAAAGCAGATATTTGACACAGTGCCTGCACTAAGTAATGAGTATATTTTCATATTTACACTTAGATCAATGAATTTGTATATTAAATTCTTTAATTTTACTGAGATGAAATTAAGAAAATTTTAAAAAGTCTTCAACTGTTTGATATTGAATTAACTCAGACAACAGAGTCATTCTGTATTCTAAATCAATAAAATAAATTATGTCTCCTAGCTAAATAGAAAAAGAAATTTGTATTCATTCATAGCTTGATAACTTCCTGTAAATTACATCAAACTATTCTGGAGCTTATGAATGACTGCAAGGTATGTGAACTTTTTAAAATTATGAATAAAAAGGTTTATGTAAAGCAGAACCTGCAGGCTTTTGCTTGGTCAGAGGTCTGTGAATAACAAATGCCCTAAACAAAAAACTACACCTTGATATATTTTTTTCCTATTCTAAGAAACATTATTCTATCTACTTAATGCAGAACAGAGAATAGAGGCTCTTTTTTCAGGTGAGTGGGAAAATTTATATATCTGAAAGGTTAATATTGTCATTCTTTTGCAATCTGCCTCTATGTAGCCCTGAGTGTACTCTCTTCTATGTTTTCTTTACTGTTCCTAGATTGCTATTGTTATCTGTGTGAAGAATTTTGAAACCACAGGTTGAAGTTTTTTTCTTTTAAAACAAAAAGTAATTGCGTTCTTTTCTATTTTAGACTTCATTCATCATGAGCATAAAAAAATAGGCAAAAATAAGGTCACTGATTTTTACATTGAGGAACTATGGGTAACAATGGGTTTAGATCACAGTGCTATTATTAGAAAGACAGCAAATGATGCCTATGAAATAATAACATAGGATGATTCAATCATTTTCAACTTCCTGCTATACAAGGGTGATATTCTTAGGTGGAATGAAAGCTAAATTATGTAGTCCACACATGCTGATTTCCTGTTTCTGGAAAGGTGCTTTTCTGAGTGTAAGTCATCACGTTAAGAGGAAAAAATAAATTTCACAGGAAATGATGGCTAATTCACTGGTGTTAGCTGGTGCTATTTGCACTATGCCTTAGTCACAGATTCTACTGGTTGATGCTCTCTCATACAATTATTAGCTTGTATAGGTCATGTCCATTCGGCAAGTTGTACTATGGATTGTCCTGCCATTCTAGTTTGGAACCTTGAATAAATATATGCATATTAATCCCTGATGTGAGAACATGGTCTATTTCATATATCAGATGCCAGTTAAACCAAATACTATTTCAGAGAGATATGATTTTGAATTGGCAAGACATGAGAAATTAGCATTTGGAATAAGTGTCAATGTTATCAAACCATTTTTTTTCTTCTCCATTTCTTGACTGAAATTTTTCTTAATACCAGATGGCTTTCCTTTTTAGATGTTTTTGACTATAGCAGATAAATATTTCTCCTTGAAATTTTTCTTGCACCTTATCCTGTGATGTACCTTGCCCAAACTTCAAAACAAGTAGAGATAATTAATTTGTTCTTGTAAAGACTTCTTAGTTTATTTTGTGCCAATCTGCATCATGATGCTACTCAATTCTATCACAAGTTTCATTCACTCATTTCTATAGTGATTTATTTTGCAGTTTTTGATATGCCAGCCTATGGAAATACAAAGATGAAATGACATAATTCTAAGTTATAGTGATGCACATAGAACCCTGCAATTACAATACATGTGATAGTTGCCACAGTGACACTCTGCACTGAATTTAATACAAGTATGAAAGAGCATGAAGACATAATTTGTTATGAAGCGATGCCTCACTGGAGGGAGCTTAACTGGAGATTTGAATAATGAAGGTGTTTGACAGTTGGGCTGGAGGAGGCGTTGGAGGAATCAAGAGTTAGAAACATATGAATGAATAAATGAATACAAAAGTGAGCTAGTAAAGAAGTCTTTATTTCCTTTCAATCTTCTTAAAACTTTGCATATTAATAATAAATATAGATTTAACCTATTAGAGTTCCCATTTTCAAAGGGAAATAAAATTAGTTTTATAAGAAATGGCTTCTTTAGAACTAAAACCTTGAAACTTAATGGCATTTTGGGGTGCATTTACAACTTTAATTTCATTATTAGGAATTTACATATATATCACTAGTATATTATTAATTATTATGATTAGGAGCAACAATGTTCACAGTAATCCAGTTTTAAATGAGGTTAAATCAGGATTTGCACAAAAACATTTTTGCATGTATATCATTCTATGAGTATATATAGTTTTCTCAAAAGATAAAACAAAATGATTGATAAAGACATTAACATTATTTATAATATATGTACGTAATATAATATAAACAGTATATCATATGTTCGCTTATGAATGGTACTTAAATTAGGTTTGCACTGCTCCTGGTAGAATTGACCTAAATCTCTTCATTCTGGTTGTATTTGATCCAGCCTTTCCAGGGTTCAAATCCAAGTCTGCATTCATAAGCTTATTTGAGATATCGAACTTGGACTTTTGTAGCTTAAAAGAAATAGTGCTATTAACCAAATAGCAGATTTTGTATTAGTTTCAGCTAGAAGGTCTTTCCTAACAATGTTTCCCAATTTACCATAAAGAAACATGGTAGAAAGGAATGAAGAACTATGAAAAGCATAGATTACTGGAATTAGAAATTAGGTCAGTAAATAAAATAATATACCCACAACAGATATTATCATAGGAATCAGCTCAATAATCTACCTGAAAAAATATAGATAAATCTTCTATCTGTATCTCATATTTAGTTACATGAACGGTATATAAGGTATATAGAAAATATACCTTATTTTTTTTAACCCCTTCATTGATATCAGAAACCTATGGCTGGTTCTAGATTCTTTTATTCCTACAAGACATGTAATCAATTATCAAATTCTGCTGAGTTTACTTCCAACATATCTCTCAATTATATGCTAAATTAATTAGTTCATCAAAGTCATGGTTCCAATGAATTAAGAGCAATGTGGAAGAGAAAATCAAGTAACCAGATAATTAAAATGCAATGTTGTCATGTTTATATAATGATTTGGATAGGATCATGTAGGAATATATGAGTAGAACACTTGACCCATTTTTGGTCTAGAGAAGAGGGGATAAAGCTATATACTCCATCAGCTTTTACCAAAGCTGATAAAATTTTGGTATCCTTAAATTGCATAAACAATGATCATAACCTCTGTGGGACCACTATAATGTCTTTGCATTTAGGGCAATCAATATATTGGTGCTTTAAGAAATGGCCAAATGCTATGCATTTTTCCTTCTATACTCTAATTTGTCAGAGTAGATGAAGAACCCCTAGATAGAATAAAGAAATAATGCAAGAGAACACCTGTTTTTTTACAATATTTTGAAGAAGTAAAAGAAAAAAAAATGACTGTTAAGGTTATCAAAAGTGAAAAATATCATACCTTGGATAAAGAGAAAGCTACTACCTAGAAAAATTAAGGGTTAAAGTTTACCAAATCTTGCATACTTATTATGGGCATTAGGAAAGAGTGGTAGGAAGAGACATTCATGAAAGTGATAGAAAGAGACATGGTGTCAACTCAGAGAGTATATTGGACCAATTCCATATTTCAAGTCTGGAAGAAAGAAAGAGGCTTAAAAGAGTTGAGAAGTTCTGAAAAACATATGTCTAGTTATGCAATTAAAATGTTTTTATGATTGAAAATAGGATGCCAAAAGCAACAATATGAAAAACCAGGGAGCTCTCCAACAAGTACAACTTTTTAAAAAACTTAAATGAAATGTATAAAAGATGGAAATAAGAACACATAACCAAAAATAAATAGAAATGAGATGCACAAGTTTCAGAAGAACAAAGGGTTACAGAATATAAGGACAACAAATAAATAGTTACTTTAATCTCTGTTCACACAAGAAGGTGGCAAAATAAAAAAAGGAATAGGCCTATTTCTTAGCACAATGTTCCACGGTTAGTGAATGTCAAAGAGAAGGCTGAACAGTTATTCAATAATAAGGTGTCTATCTGTTATTACCTGAACAGGGAAAGTGAACTGTTAACAAAGAATCCTAGAGGGAAAATAAATAAGAGAACACCAATATGTCCCAGTGTCCCACTTCCATTCTCTAAATGAATTAGAAAGAGAAAGAGGAAGAAGAAGAGAAGTTAAATGATACTGTGCAATCTTAAATGCCATATTCTTCATTAGCTTGTTTCCTTCTTCGCTCACATTCCCCAGAGCCAAGGAGAAACTCCAAACCAAACCTTCCTGTAGACAGTGATTAAACAAATTTAATAAGATGATCATTGAGAGCAACTCAACCTGGGTTGTTTTTTCTTTCTCCCTCAAGTCAAATTTCTTAACTCTTTGCCCAGAACCTGTCAAGTACCTGCCTCTGCTCAGATAAGCTCCGTGGTTCCAAATGATGTAATTATGTTGTGTCCATATTCAGCAAAATCATCTTATCTTGGAGATAATCATCAGCATCTAGAGTACTTTGTGAAGATTCTGTGTATTTGATGAATATGAAGTATATAAGAAATACACTAATTTTAATTGAACTTTGAATTTATATTCCTAGATTTCTTTTTTAAAAAATGCCAAATTTTCCTGTGAGAAAAATAACGATGACTCAAAAATAAATGTTTAGTTACTATATTATTTTTATTAAAACAGTTTTTATTGGCAGCTCTCAAATTCCACACAGATTTTGTATCAAGTGCAGTAATTGAAACTTTGTATGTCTCCCTTAATTCCAGTTTCTTTCTTAGTATTTTTTTGTTTCTTTTAACATATTAAATTCCATTGATTTTATTTTATGCCAGACATTTTCTATAATTATTAGATGACAACTTGGACAGTAACATTCTCCCAAAATATTTTTTCAAGAAATCAGAAAGCAATATAATGTTTAAGATTTTAAGTTTTTCTTTTCTCATAGGGCTAAATATGTAAAAGGCTGAGTTAGAAGAATTCGTTGTGATTTTGGACGGTGTTCCAGAAAAATATACATATATATATATATATATATATATATATATATATATATATATATAGTTTATATATATAGAT